>NC_000011.10:132603116-132912304 GCF_000001405.40 Homo sapiens
GAGAAATGTTGGTGTTCTCCAGGAATTAACCCTCTTCTTCCTAAATCTGTATGTCCAGCCTAGACTCTCCCAGATTTGCATTTGTATATTCACATGTCTGCCAGTGATCTCCTACTGATCCATCATAGGAATCTCAAATTCAACACACCCAAAACTGACCTTAATACCTTTTTACTTTAAGCCAGTACCTACTCCTGTGCTTGTATCTTGTGCTATAATCCCCTTGGTCACCAAAGGCAGGCCTATGTATATCTTCTGCAGCTCCTTGCTTTCATCCTCCACATTCAGTTCGTCACCAGTTCAAGCAATTTCATCTCCAAAAGAGTTCTTAAATCCATACATTATTCTGTATCTCTACCATCACTCCTCTGGTTCAAATCCTTATCATCATTTGCCTGGATAACTACAGCAGCTTCCTAAACTATCTCCCTGTTTCCCTGTTCTCCAATTCATCCTCCCTCTGTCAGAAGGGTCTTTCTAAATATAATCTGAACTGTATAATTGCCCAGCTTAAAAACCTTTTGGTGGTTTCTTATCATCTGAAGGATAACATCAAAACTTATCATAGTGTATAAATGGTGCATGCTTTTCTATCTAATCTCATGCTTGCAAAAAACTGTATTCCTACCTGATTGTACTCTAGCAATACTAAACTACTTGAAGGTGCTCTCACATTTCTTGCTTTCTAACTCTTTAATTGTACTATATCTTCCTAATTAACTCATTTACATCCTGTATCCTAGATTTAGCAATGATCTTGTATCCTATAAGATCCAGCTTCCAATTCCTCCCTGATGGAGTCCCCCAGCACCCGTAATACTTTACGGATACTTTATGCTATAGCTCTATCAGTGAACTTGCAAGGGGATGTAATCCACAAGAAAGCCAACTCCACCAGGTCAGGGCCTTTATCTCCCTCGCCATTTCATGCTCTGTGCCTGGAATACTTGTTGGTGCTCCACATTTGTTAGCAAATGATTCTAAATATTTATTTGGAAAGCAAGAGCCACAGTATAAAGATGAGCAAGAGCTCATGTGTGACCTCTGTTGGGCTCCATGCGTCTGTCCTCAACAGTTAAAGAAAGCCCCTCAAAGTCATGGAGCTAGTTGAGGAGTCTTGGTTTGGGAACCAAATTATCCCTTGCTTCTTTGTGTTTATTTTCGTAAAAAAAAAAATACAGGGAGGAGTCCGTGCCTTGCTTCTGTTTTCCTCTAATTTCCCTTACATCTATTTGCCCGCCCTCAACCCTAACAGGCCCCTGAGCTTTTCCTAAGATTCAGTGTGGAGTTCTTCCTTCTCATTCCAGTCCCTTCTCCTGGCTCATTTCCTTCATTCCTGAAGCCTCAGCTCTCACTCCCTTGTAGAAGTTTCCAAAATCATCAGCTCCCTCTCTGATGCCCTTATGAACTCTGAGGCCTTTTCTAAGTGGAGGCCAGGCTGCCTTCCTCCTGAACATTCTACCACCAACTCAAACAAGACTTTCAAATAAGATTTATCCTCTTCCCCCAAGCCACCTCTCTTCATGACTTTCTTGTTTTGTTTGAAGGCGCCAACATTCCTAATCACTCAGCCTTGAAAAATGCAGAATCGACTTTGTCATCTTCTTCTTCTCTGCCTCCCACATTTAATCAGGAACAACAGCCTTTTTAATTAATATGAATGTGGGGAAACTAACAAAGTTTTCAGAAATGACAAGTAGTTTGGCTTAATTGATGTAGAGGGTATAGTGAAGCATTGATGGCCTGTAAGACCAAAATGTAAGCATACAATCAGATGCTGTGGAGGCTTAAATCTGAGCTAAGGAACTTGGAATCCATTCAAAAGGACATTTTGAAGGTGGTGAGTATACCCATTATAAGAAATAAATTTTAGTAAAAATTAATCTGGCCCTGACATGCAGAGGGTTTAGAATGGTGGAAAGGGAGTATTTAAAGTTAAAATACTAAGAATCATAGTGCAGTCACACGCCAGCTGTGTGACTTGGTGAGGCATTAAGTTTCTCTGAGCTTAAGTGTCCTCTCTAGAAAACAAATGCAATAATATTGATCACAGAAGCATTGCATGGGCTAGAGATAATGCATGCAAATGCACCTTTAATAGTGTCAGAACATTTGCAGCATAAAATAATTTGTTTCCATGGTTTTAAGAATGACACCACAGCTGGGCACGGTGGCTCACGCCTGTAATCCTAGCACTTTGGGACGCCGAGGTGGGTGGATCATGAGGTCAGGAGATCGAGATCATCCTGACCAACATGGTGAAACCTCATCTCTACTAAAAATAAAAAAAAAAAAAAGTTAGCTGAGTGTGATGGCACGCACCTATAGTCCCAGCTACTCGGGAGGCTGAGGTAGGAGAATAGCCTGAACCCGGGAGGTGGAGGTTGCAGTGAGCCAAGATCGCACCACTGTACTCCAGCCTGGCAACAGAGATAGAGACTCTGTGTCAAAAAAATAAATAAATAAAAATAAATAAAAAGGACACCACTAACTGGTGTCCTTCCTTCATTTTTTGTTTTGGCTCCCCCGGCCCTGAGCCCCAGCTATAACTTAGTCTAGTGTCAAGGAATATTGAGATTGTTTCTAGACACACTCAGACTTCATCAATGCCATAAAGAATGTCTCCTATCCTAAATTGAGACCACAACCTCCTTGAGAACACAGGTTTGTCCATGTCCAATCTACATAGTATAGTAGGTACTCAACACATAGGAAGAACTCAATATACATTGACTGAATAAATGAATGAATAAGTGAACAAATGAATGAGAAGAGCAAAGTCCATGGTTTGCCAGTGACCAGCAGCTTCCTTTCAGCTCTGGTTAGGTTTCCAGCTATTTGAGCAGCAGCATACTTCTCCAGCTCTGTGAATACTTTTGAGTTACCCTTGGCACCTGTAAGCAGATATTTTCTGGTACTTGGGTCCTTTTTCTTCCTTCCAAGTGTCCTCAAGTACACTTTAAAGCTGTTCAAATTGGCAGAAGGAATTTCGTCTTATATCTTCAAAAGATAAGGTAATGAGAATGCTTCAGTCCTATTTACATTAAAAGTTAATGCCTTTATTTATTCATCTACTTTTATGGATCTATTGTGCCTTCGTAAATCCATCTTCAGCTCTTTGGCTTTCTCTCTGGACACAATTGCCCTTGCTTAAGCCAGATATATATAGATAAATGAGCAATTAGCAGCCCCAGGAACTGCCTGCTGGGGAGACGCTCGTCCTGTCCCACGATGGCAGCTGTCCAGACCTCCCAGACATACTCTGACTTCCTTGACCTCTGCCCTGCTCGTCTTAGACCTCCGCTGCCTGATTCCCCTGCATTTGTCAGAGCATCTCCTTTCACAGGATGATGTCTGCGGGGTTTGCTTTGTAATTTGAGGGAAAAGGCACACAGTCAGAGGGCTTTCCAGGAAGAGCTGACCCAGGAGGGCTGCCACCACCCCCGTCTCCCACCTCCACTTTCTGTCTCTACACCAAGTAAAGCCATCCTGCAAGGATCATCCTGCAAGGACCAGCCTCCAAGCCTCTCCCCTTTTCCCACTTCTGGGCCAATGGGACCGTGACTGCCGTGACTGCACCCAGGAGCCAATTAGGGCATGTTCCTGAAGTTAGGAGATGGCGAAAAAGAAGACAAAGATACATTAAGAACTAGAATGAAGAAAAAATCTGCAAGTGAAATAAGAAAAAATCCCATGGACTTGGGGCTGGAATTGATAAGTAGATGAGCAGTGTCTCCCCCCACCCACCGCTCACCCCAGTTCTTTTTATTATTTCTGTTAGTACTGTTAGAGCCAATTTGGAGAGACAGTATGTAGAAATTGCTTCCCAGGGGTTTCTGTCTGTTAGGTTTCAGTTCCATGAGTATGTGTGGCATAACTTAGAGAAAAAGGGTTATATTTTGGCTTCTGATGGAATTTTGTTTTCAGGCAGACTTTTCAATCATATCACTAATTAAGTAAGCGAGTGAAGTTACCAGCACCAGCAGGGTGCTTGAGTCACCAGTAGGTGCCCAGCAAATGACAGGGCTTGGACTAATTACTATTATAATTACTGATTTTCTGTTGTTGTTGTTGCTGTTACTGTGAACAGTGGAATATCTTAAAAGTCAACTGGACCCCTTAGCCTCTTGTCATTGCTGCCAGGGAAGAGGATGCTCACTGTGCATTTGGAGCCCCCAGCCTTTTGTACAGCATCATGAGGTTGGGTGGGGTCTCTAGAGATAATCTATAACTGGACTGTAGGTTCTTTGAACACGAAGTATGGAGGCCAGGATATTTCCCACGGAGCTTTTGTCTCTGAAGGGCCAAACGCCACCTTGAATACATTAGGAGGAACTCCTCAGTAACTACTGACTGGGCCACATTGAGTTGGGTCGGGCCTGTGGTTCCTGTATCCTTGTGTTCTGGAACTGGTGATAGAAGCCCACAGTGTATATTTGAATCACACAAAGAATAGAGACCTAGCCTTAAACCACCTGCTTTTCTATACTGAGGACATATCACACAGTGGCTAGGGCATGGTTCTAGAGTCAGACTTGGGTTCCAGCTTCAGCTCGGTGAGTTCATTAGCTGTGTAATTTTAGGTAATTTGTCTCATCTAAGTTTCACTTTCCTTTTATATGAATCAACACTATTGATAGCACTACCAGAAGGGGTAAACAAAGACTTATTTGTTCTTACTCATATATGGGTCTCATGAAGACAGGGATTAGATTGGTGGTTACCAGAGGCAGAGAAGAGTAGGAGGGAGTGGGGAAGAAAGGGAGGTTGAGTCGTAGGTACAAACATACAGTTCAGTAGAGGAAATAAGAGCAAGTGTTTGCTAGATCAGTAGGGTGACTGTAGTATACAATAATCTATTGCATAGTTCAAAACATCTAGAGGAAAATAATTTGAATGTTTCTCGCATAAAGAAGAGACAAATATTTGAGGTGATTTGATTACCCTGATTTGATCTTTACGAATTATATAAATGTATTAGATCATCACATGTACCCCAAAATATGTGCATCTATTTATGTATAAATAAAAATAAGATAAATTATTGGAAGGGTTCAATAAACCAAAGTATGTAAGACATAAACCACAGTTCTCTCAGAAAGCACATGCTCAAATGAATTCTATGTGCTTGACTGCTGTAAGCCATTATGGATCCCTGTATACTTCTAGTCAGCAGCCAGCTCCTTGCATCTTCAGATCCACACTCTGCTCAGAGACACAATACTATGTCTCTGTTTTATCATTCTGACCAGTCCAGGGAAGAGGGACTGCTATTTTTATTTCTTTCTAACACTGGAGGCTGTTCAAACCCTGCCAGTGCAGCTTGTTTTCTTGATTTTAATTAAGTAAGGCTTTACGGTACTTGCTTCAGTAAAGCCCAAGTAATAGAGAGGAGGTTAGTTGGTTGAACCCAGACTCCAGGGTGTCAGTCCCAGCTTTGCTGAAGATGCTGGGCAATCTAGCTTGGCATCTTGTTGTGGAAGAGAATTAATAAAAAATGATTATGTCGCTCTTTGCAAATATGACCTGTAGCAGGAATAATCAATGGTAATAATATAGGACTGGAGCCTCTGGAGAGTAAACTAACCTTTACCAGTGGGTATACTCCAGGAAACCAGCCCCTCCTGGGTCTTCCTAAGGGCTGCCTGGCATTCAGTAGATATACAGGTATTCCAAATAAATGCACGCAATTACTCCAGGGAGTTCCTTTGCTCACCAGAGAATCTGATCACCGCATCATCCTTGCTTCCTCCTGCTCCACTGTGTACCTCCAGTGTGTCGTGAGTTCCAATATATCTGAGATATTTTTCTTTCTTTTCATTGCCACCACTTTGGCCTTGGTCCAAGCCCTTAGTTCCTTTCTGGAATAGTACAACAGGCTTCCAACTGGTCTCTCTGCCTCCCCTGTCTTACTATGATGCAGGCCTTCTTTCATACTAGTGTGAGAGTGACTTTTTTAATACACCGAGAACTGACCCATCACTTCTTTAATTCGTGTTTCTCATCGGCTTCTCACCACATGCAGAATCAATGCCAAACCCTTCTGTGCATGGCATGCAAGGGCAGGGGGTCTCAAAAAGAACTGACATGTAGGTCTGCCTATTCTGTCAGGAATTCACCCCAATGACATAACAAAATAAGTTTTATTATTATTCTCACATCCGGTTTAAAGAAAATGAGAATCAGACCATTTTGGTAGCTTGTCAAAAGTCTTAATGTGAATACTTGACCTCACAGGGTCTAACTTCGAAGGCCGTGTTCTTTCCACCAGGCCTCACTGCCTCATTCACAAGCTACTCCTGGCAGGTTCCGGTTAACATTTCCAGCCACAGTTGTTTCTCTGCCTACCCTCATGCTCTGCTTGGAAAAGCCACACCAAGCAACCCACATTTACCCACCAGCATGCAAATATTCAGGCTGCAAGCCTTTGCACGGAGTGCTGTATGCTTAGCACACCATTCCCACCACGCTTCCTCTTGTAGGGCTCCTCTGTGGCTCAATTCCTGCTCTTCCTTTAAAGAGTCAGTTGAAATGCCACCCATCCAGGAAAGCTTTCTCAGTTCCTTGGGCAAAGTTCATTGTTCCTTCTTTTGTGTTACTTTACAATAGCTATCACCCTTTCATTCATATACCTCTGCGTTAATGCTGCATTATCATTGCACGTGTTTACATTTCACCTACCTACCTCTCTTCAATGCCTGGGAACTGTCTGATCGATATCTGTATCTCTAGTGCCTGGCACAGTATAGGGAGCATGGAAGGTGCTGACATCTACTTTAGTGAATGAGAATAAAGGAAAAATAAAATATCAATCGCAGAAGTTATTCTTTTCCTTGTACTGACATTTGTCTGTCTCTCTAATAACCATCACACACACACACAAATACTTTTTCTCCTTGTAAATTCAGGTTACGTTAACATTTTTCAAATAAATTTAGCAAGGAAAATGCTAAATCAGCTCTGTGTAAATCAAGCAACCATGCTTGTGCATGAGAATCAATTACTCTATATCCCAGTTTTATAAAATAACATTCCTACTGGCACCTGGCTAATTTATAAGCTAGCTTAGGAACACCTATGCCTGCATCTCCAGCCCCTCCTCTCCATAATATAACAGAGTGCTTACATCTAGAGGGATTACTCAGCTGTTTCTTGAGGTTAGTTAGGCAACTCTGCCAAAGCCACTGGAGAAGACACAAACTCCTATAATATAAATATCTGGCTGTAAATCTCTTGCCAGTTACTTTTAACTATGAAAGCTCTATCAGTTTGACCCTTCAGCAGCACAAACCTAAGCTTCCCATCTTCGTTGATGTCATCACTTACGACAAAACACACTAGGAGGAAGGGGTTGAAACCATGGCAAAGTGCAGTTATTTGTATCACATTATCTCACAGGATAGTTGGCTGCCGAAGAGCACTGAGAGAAAATGAACTCGGTGAGAGCAACTTTTGCAATCGTTGCCGCTGAAGACTGGCGCTCGGAACTAGGGGAGTGGGTGGGGGATGCTCGATGGTCTTTGTCATTACTTGCAGCCAAAGAAACCACATCATTATTTCTGAAGGAGACTCTGGCCAGACATTTCATTTGAAAACTGTCATTTTACAAATGTTTAATTACTTCTCAAATGCAAAGGATGACTGCAAATTTGTGATCTGTCGTGTAAGAAGCTATCAACCTCAACCTCCTTGAGTCACTGGAAAGAAAAACATTTTCCATAGAAAATTAAAGCAGTTTGATCACTTTGTATTCAAAATGATTGTTCTGTCTTTCCTATGGCTTTGTTCTCTGATCTCATCTATACCTCAGGGGAGAGCTCCCAGTTAAAGCCCCATGGTGAGCAATGGCTTCTCTCTCTTCCCACTATGCTCATTCCTGGGACTCGAGATTTACTTTAGTTCCAGCTGCATGACTAAGAAATCACCTGAAAATGAACTTCTGATTTTAATTAGGAGAACCCCATGACATTTCTCTGGGATTCTTTGAAGACCTAGCTCATTTGGTTTTCACGTATAAAGTTTGAAGCTGGCCCAGTTTTTAACGGGGGTGGTTGCCATTTCTAACGATGTTGTATGTTCATTTTGACAGATATAAATGAGTAACTTGGTCCCTAGATTTAGATGCAGAGAGGACACAGAAATGAATAAGGAGAAATCTTTGCGTGCTGTAGCTCCGCTGGTCTCTACACCTGGAATGCACCCCCCAGCACCACCCATTTCCCTAACCCCAATCCACTGCCGTTCAGTTCCAATCCTCACTTCTCCACACAGCTTCCTGTGACACCTGCAACTAAAAATAATCCCACCCTTCCTCCATTAGATTTCCCACAGCTTTTTATCTGGAAAATTCTCCCAACATGGATAGTTAATAACCATGTTATATAGTTATTGCTTTTTTCTTTTCTCCTCAGATAGCCTTTAAGTTATTTGAGGACAAGGTTTTTATCTCATGAATTTTGTATTTCTCCAGAGACTAGCATGCAGGAGGCACTGAACACAAATGTGTTATATTAATGAAAGGATAAATTTCCTCAAATTATTTATATTATAGTGGATGTGTGTGGGGAGAAAGGGGGAGGAATACAGTTTGAAGCAGAAAAATGATGTCAGTATTATGAGACGGAAACCAGGGGCTCGACAAATTCCAATGAAAGAAAGTCAGTAATTTAATTGGAGGCAGTAGTAATAATTCAAGGCTGGAGCAACAGCTGTTCTAATCTGCCCAGGACTGAAGGGTTTCTCAGGATGGGAAAAAATGGGACAGTCCCAGGCAAACCTTGATGAGGTGGTCACCCTACTCAAGGCCAAGACTCATTTACAGTAGCGACCGGAGGAGACGTTCCACAGGAAAAACAGCCTGCCACAGCCAGAGAAGGGTTCTGACCTTGGTGTTTGATTATATATGCTGCCAGAAAATGGTATAATAATTTCCTTCAAGTTTTTCTATAACTATTAAGAGTATGGTAACCAGGTTTTTACAAGTTTTCCAAAGGTTAAAGAAGAAATGATTTGGGCTGATTTATATTTCATCAAGAAGAATGTAGGCTGGATCTCAGGAAGAGTTTTCTCACACTAAGTTACCTAGAAGAAAAACCAAGTGTTGTCCACATCCAAAAACCTTTTTCCCTTGGAACGAAACAGCTCTGGAAGTATTAACTTTTTACATTAATTTATTGTGAACGCAATAATGAACATGCACTTATGAAGCATAAGTTTGTAATATAAATAACTGATATTATAGATATTAAAATTAATACAGCTTTCCATTTTGTAGACTAAGTGGCATAATGAGCCAATTCTAGCTCACATTATTTTTCTCAAGCTTTACATGAATAGCAGACTGTGAAACCTGTTTTATCTTGAGCATCTCCTCAATGTGCTGATTCAGTCATACTCCATTCATCAGAACCAGGAAGATGTGGGAGGGGAGAATATCACAGAGGCTGGAAGCTGGGGGTTGATAGCAGGGCAAGGACATAAGACAAATGCTAGCAAGAAAAAAATGGGTCAAATTGGGAATAAGTGGTCACAACCTAAGCAGAGGCTTGAGAAGCCAAAGCAGGTAAACCAGAAACAAATGATCCCCTATAGGGTTGAGGTGCTGTAGGAAATCAGGTTGGGATGAAGCTGAGAGAAGTGCCTCACTCACAGCCAGAGCAAACGTGCACTAGCAAGCCTAGTGAAGCCTTGGTAGATGGTTGGGCTCTGCAGTCCGGTCACCTATTTTCTGCTATTCTGTTTGTGGGAAATTCTGCCCCAGAGAGCCATAAATGCTCCATAAGTGGCTTCTCATCAGATTCAAGGCACAGCCTCAATTCATTCTAGACAGCCAATCAGAGGATGGTTAGAGGAAATCTGTGACTAAGCAATGCATTTAGAAACTTATTCCTGGACGATGTCACATTCCCTAAACTGTGATTTAAAATTAGATAGGGGCAGAACAGATGAAAAGAAACTGGAGAAAAATAATCTCTTCATCTTGCAGAGGAAGTGTCATGAGATGAGCTGCTGGCGGGGATGTCACCCTTTCTGCTCATCCAGGCCTCCTGGAGAGCCTCCTAAGACTAGGCCGATGGCCACTATCCTGGAGAAAAGCACAGAGCATTGTAATCCTGTTCTCTCTAACAAAAAAGCTACGTCTTGGGTAAACCTTTGCCGGTGTACAACAGGATACATGCCCTTTTACAAAAGGAGGAGCTCATTGTTCAGGAATCTAAATCGGGACATCCTCACTGAACTTTAAATCAATTCAAGAAAACCTCAAAGACAGCTATATTTTCAGTCTGTTGCAAGAACTGCATAAACTCAAAACATGCATACGGAACAAAACAAAGCCAGCTAATTGATTTTATATACCTAAGCATTCACCTTTAGGAGAATTCCGTGGGATTCTTCTCTGCCAAACCATTGGAACTGTCCCAAGAAACACTTCAAAGAAAACCGAGGAAATAGATATTGGAATCCCAGTCGTTCTTCCCCATTCCTTGTATGACTAATCTTAGGGGTAACTACAAATGCTGAAAGATGAAATAATATAATGGCCTTTTAGCAGAATGGAGAGGGGCAGCATATAACACCTTGCACTGAATTTAGAGAACAGACATATTTTTTTACTTGAGAAAAGTAGAAATAGTATTATCAAGGCATGCAGAATGGCTGGAGAAAGAAGAAATCTGGGAAGCAAAATTATGGTTGCTGGTGAAATTTCTAGGAGCACATTATATGTGGGTATGCTTGCATGGAATGAACAAAAGAGTCGTCTTTTGAAACCTCTTCTGGGGATGCACTGCTATATTTGTTGAGTTCTCAAGTGCTTATTTTTAGACATGAAGTATGTTACCAAACACATATTTTCCGTGTAGTAATCAGATGACCAGTCAACAAAGTCAATCTATGTTAACTAAATAAATAGATGGGATAAAAGTAGAGATTGTATTCCATAACCATGCCCAAGTAGAAAAAGGCATTCAAGCTGTCCAGAATATGACCCCAACCAACTTTCCCATGCCTTAGGCCTACTGCCTTCTTCAAAAGACTCCCGGTTCCGGTTCAATCCGCTGCTTGTGCTGCCCAGACATGCCCTGTGCTTTGGTACCTGCTGGATTTGGTCTGTTTTTCCCTTTCCTGGAACACCCATCTTCTCCCTGCTTCCCCCATCAGATTTTCCTGAGCCTGAATTTCACCTCCTTGATGAAGCCCTGTCACCATGAAAATCATACCGTTTTTAAATTCAAAGAATTCTGAGTGACCTCTAGCCAACTCTTCGTTTAATAACCTTTGAGACTGAAGCCTGAGAAAATAGGCCTTGCTTGAGGCTCCATAGCAGTGAGTGGCAGTGACACCTTCCTCTTCCGTCCCTCTGCGGGCCTCTGCACTGACGTGTCTTCATGTTATACCGCTTGTGTGTCTGTCTTACTTTCTTCATCACAGTCCCTTCTCTCCCCACGAATGAGCTGCTTATGTAGGACAAGGTCTACCCGAAATGTAGAATCTTGAAAACATAGGGGAATGCCTAACACATGTTAATTCTCTCTAGTTGAAATGAGGAGAGAAAAACAAATCTTTCTCTCAAATTCAATCTATATTCACAGGTAAAATCTTCAGAATGGCATTGATGATGGGATAGGCATTTCCCAAATAAAATTTGGTGTTCTTAAAAGAGGTTGTATCTAAGAGAATTCAGACATATAGAAACAATTTGTGTATTTTCATAAGCTGGAAAGTCCAATAACATACTGAGATTTACGTTTTTGTCACTGACTGTTTTAAACCTGATTATTTTAACAAGCACTTTCTAACTTTTGCCACTGTACTGCCTGACAGTTTTTATTGCCAGTCAGCTGATTAGCTGGAGTGTTCAAGTCAAATTAAAATGTGACACATTTATTGAACATATAAATAATGCACATGTATTTTATTCTACCTATACTCTACAAAGGATTAAAAATGAGAAAAACAGTCTTTGAGCTTCAAGGAGCTTGCGTTTTTATTTATTAATTTTTTCAAAGATGTGCTTACAACATGGGATAGAGCAGAGGAGATAGCTCAAAAATAACAATTTTAAAAGAGTAAGAGGACTACTGGTTATTGCCAATAATACAGGAAATGGATATTTGTGGTCTCCGAGTGAATTATTACAGTATAGGGGAAAGGGTGCAAGTTATAAGGTCTGTCAAAACTTGCAGAAGTTTTTGCTCTGCCATTCATTAGTAGTGGAATCTTGGGAAAACTGCTTCTTGTCTCTAAGCCTTGGTTTTCATCCACGGCATAGGATTAATAATGGTATTTTCCTCAAGGCATCAAGGTGAGGGTTGAATGAAGTAGAGTTGGCTCTCTTTATCAGCGAGTTCCATGTCCACAGATTTAACCAACCACAGAAATACAGCAATAAAAATAACCATATAACAATATAAATAGCAAAAATATAAAACTACAGCATAACAACTATCTATGTAGCATTTACATTTATTAGGTATTATAAGTAATCTAGAAGTGATTTATATGAGAGGAAGTTCATAGATTAAATGCAAGTGCTATGCCATTTTATATAAGGTATTTGAGCATCTGCTGATTTTGGTGTCTGTTGGGGTCCTGGATCCAGTGCTGCATTGATACCGAGAAATGACCGTAATACATGCGAACTACTTAGTAAAGCTCATAGCAGGAACTCAATGAATGTAAGCTATTATTAGTTTCAGGAAAAGAACCTGTAGAGAAGAAGAATCATAGGCAAAGTATATGTTTTAGGAACAAACAGAAGGTGAGTAACCAAGAGGGAAAAAAAGGCAGATTGGCCAGGGCCAAAGCCACAATTGCGAGATGCATAAAAGTAAAGTGAAAGGACGGAGAGCCAATGAATCTAGGCTACACTTGAAGAAGCAGGTCTGTTTATGACTACCTGGTTTTCCCAACACCTATTTGGGCAAAAAAAGATACCTCAGGATATTTTTTTCTGGGGCGTTGGTCAACCTAGAATAATTCTACCTATGCTCAATAAAAACTTTTTTTGTACTTACCATCTAATTCTACCTTCATCTTTGGAGACATGGCTTTCAGTGTGTTTTAAAATGAGATATGAACTATTTTTTGTAACAGAAGACCTTGAGTAGTAAAAGGAAGCTCACCTACTTGTTATACAGTTTACAAGATTTTTACACACACGCATACCGGTTAAACTAATGCACACACTGTTAGTAAAATGTATAGCTGGCACTATTAAATTCTTCCCAAAGTTAGTTTGGTTCACCTCCAGTAATGATAAAGGACATCTTGGATGTTAGAAGCAAGATGGAGTCAGATACTTCAGATTTCTCTTACTGTCATAATTTTGCAAAGGCAGTTTCATATCTATTACCTGTGCTAACTTAGGGATATGTATTAACCTTCTAGGATCTGTTTCTTAATGCATAAAATAAGGGAGTAGAAGAAGATGGTCTCTGAAATCCATTTCTGCTCTAATGTTCTAGATTTTTATTCCTGGGAGTATACATTTTGTAACACTTCTCAAAATTTTTTCACAGACGGTTTTATATCATAGTCTATCAATTGTTTCATTTGTTCATTCACCAAATATACATTAATACCTCCTATGTGAAAGCATATTCAAGGAGAATTTGTTGAGCACCATCTCTGAATTAGGCACTTTGCTACACACAGAAGATAAAATAATGTAAATCATCACTATGTGTCTTTTGTAGGATTATTTCCACACCCCTCAGACTATATTTTAAGCACTTGGAGGACACACTGGTTGTGTCAACCTGAGCACCTAAGATGTGCAATGTGGATGTTTGCTCAATGGAATCAAATTGAATCCCACTTTAATTCTTTTGCCCTCATTTTAATATTTTTAATGGTGAGCAGAGACATTGACAAAGGAGACAGTAGCCATATTTATGAAGTTTTCTTTTCTTTCATTAGAAGTATATGTTGCAGAAGTATATGTTGCAGCAGATCAATGGCTGAAGTAGTCTAGTCCTACTCGAAACATTCTAAGATACTCTGAATCTTTCTATATCTTCTGGATACCAAACCACCACTTCTTAAGAAATCAATAAAATGACCTATTGCTTTCTTGAATGTCAATTGTATTTATGATATGTTAGAAACTATTGGGGAGGGGGTTGAGAAAAATCCAAGGAAGTATTTATTTTGGAGGAGAGACAGAACATATATTCACAAAACAATTCGAGGAAATTCTTTCAACTGAGCAAGAGTTAAACTACACAATAATAGGGCCAGGGAGAGTCTATTTACTCTCCACGTAGACTGAATTGACATTTTCTGTTGAATGTCTGAGGGACACTTCGAAGTCAACATGTGCAGAATGGAACTCAAACCTGGCCTATGTCTAGTGTCCCTCTCCCAGTGATTGGCCCCTCCATGCACTTAGATCCACAAGCCTTAATCATCACCAGTCATAGACATTGACTTCACTTTCTGTAGCCAATGATACTGTCTCAGTCTTCTCAGGCTGCCAGAACAAAATACCACAGGCTGAGTGCCTTGAACAACAGAAATTTATTTTCTTGTAGCCCTGGGGGCTGGGATCTGAGATGAAGTTGGCATCAAGGTTGGCATCTGGTGAGAACTCTCTCCTTCTCTTGTAGACAGTGCCATCTTGCTGTGTCTTCACATGGCCTTTTCTCTGTGCTTACACACATAAAGATCACTGACATCATTCCTCTTCTCATAAGGACACCAGTTCCGTCAGATTGAGGCCCTAACCTTATGAACCCATTTAACTCTCATTACCTCTTCAAAGACCCTGTCTCCCAAAATAATCAAAGTGGGGATTATGGCTTCAATGTATGAATTTTGGGTGAACCTAATTCAGTCTATAACAGGTACCAAGTAAGATAACTCCAGCTTCTTACAGCCGCAGTGTTACAGTGGCTTAATACAACTCTACTGCTTGTTCCTATATTCCAGTTGTTGGGGATGTGGGAGGGGGCGAAGAGCTAGGTTATATGCAGTTATTCAGGAATAAAAGTTGATGGAAGTGCTGCCACCTTCAAAGCATGATGACAGCACCAACTTTGGTCACAGATATCTAGCAGACAGAATGAACACAACGGTAAGGAGTGAGTGTAATTAAAGGCTGGTTTTTTAGTTTGGAGGGAGCTATTTATTTTTGTTTGGTGAATAGCTAGCTTGTCTGTCATACCAAATTCTTTTCAACATTCTTCAAAAATACTGGCCAACATGGTGAAACCCCATCTGTACTAAAAATACAAAAATTAGCCAGATGTGGTGGTGCACCTCTAATCTCAGCTACTCAGGAGGCTCTGGAAGGAGACTCACTTGAACCCGGGAGGCGTAGGTTGCAGTGAGCCGAGATGGCACCATTGCACTCCAGCCTGGGTGACAGAGCAAGACTCTGTCTCAAAAAACAAAAATACTTCTCAAATCTACCCACTTCTTTTCACCTTCACTACCCAACAATCTAGTTCAGAATATCATTGTGAACTAGATTGTTCACACTGAACGGATTTACCACAAAAACCTACCAACTTCTTTATCCACATAGATCTTGTAATTGATTTTATTTTAGTAAAATATACATAATATAAAATTTGCTATTTTAACCATTTTAAAGTGTACAGTTTTGTGGCATTAATTACATTTAAAATATTGTGCAAGCATCACCACTCTATGTCTCCAGAACTTTCCCATCATTCCAACCTCATTTAATGCACTTCTTAAACAATAAGTTTCCATTCATTCCTCCCCCACTCCTTGTAACCTGCTCTTGACCAAGTCCAATTGCCCCTGCAGCCAGAATAATCTCCTAAAAAGTCTAATCATTTAATCATTGTACACACACAAGCACACGCATACACACACACACACACACACACACACACACACACACACACACACACCGTGTTTAGAATTTCAAATGTTTCCCTATGGTTTCGAGGGAAAGCATGGAAGCTCCTGCGATGACTGGCACCCTCTGGAGCTCTCACCATAGCTATCTCTTTAACCTGATCTAAAAACACCTCCCCTCCAGGTTCGGTACTCCAGCCAGCCAAAATGGTCCTTCAGAGCTTCACGTTCCTCAAGCTCTGTCGCTTCCTCAGCAAAGCCATCTCACAACTTCCCAAGTAGGCCGGGCCTGCCCATTATGGAGTCTCATAGCACTCCCCATTTCTTTCAGAATATGTATTGCATTACTACATATATCTTCCTAATTCTGTAATAGAATCTCTCTTCCTATTGGACCTCAGATTTCACAAAGGCAGAGACTGCACTGTTTATGTTCACTATTTTATTTCTAGTACCAAACACAGTGCCTAGTGTATGGTAGGCATTTGATGAATAAATTATGAATGAACAGCTGAATGCTAGTGGCATCAGCAAAGGTTGAAATCAGAGTTACACAGAAAACGGCTTGGAATAAAGGAGCATGAAAGCATTGGTAAAATTGGCCTAAAACGGCCGGGTGCGGTGGCTCATGCCTGTAATCCCAGCACTTTGGGAGGCCGAGGCAGACGGATCACGAGGTCAGAGATCAAGACCATCCTGGCTAACATGGTGAAACCCCGTCTCTACTGAAAATACCAAAAAAAAAAAAAAAAAAATTAGCCGGGCGTGGTGGCGGGCGCCTGTAGTCCCAGCTACTCGAGAGGCTGAGGCAGGAGAATGGCATGAACCCGGGAGGCGGAGCTTGCAGCGAGCGGAGATCTCGCTACTGCACTCCAATCTGGGTGACAGAGCCAGACTCCATGTCAAAAAAAAAAAAAAAAAATTGGCCTAAAACAATGGGAAAATATTCCCTAGTGAATGAAACAGCATAATTAATTAATTTGCTATTTTATTATTATTCATTTGACATTAAATCTATTTAGCATGTCACCTTAAAAAACTCAGTGAAATTTTCTCTTAATTTTCTCTATGGAAAAATAAGAGATTTTCTTAATTTTAGAGCATGCCTTTCTTTGAAGGAAAGGAGAAGAAAAATCAATACTGTTGAATAGTAACCACTGTGTAAGCAATTTCACATGAGATTATATTTGATATTGAGGTTCTCTTAAAAGAGTAACTATGACATTTCTACTGCATCCTTGAAAGCTTTCACAAAGAATGAATCCAAGTCAGAGCCATATACTAATGCATTGAAACTCACAGACATAAAACACAAGACTAGAACTTGGTCATTCAAACCCTCAGATAAGTTGTTTCTTTCTCAGTCCAATATCCCAGTTACACACTCACATTTCAGCTCTTGAGAAATTGGATGGATTGGTAATATTGATCAAGCCTAGTTAATATGTTAAGGAATTTTTCTCCAAACTATCTTACTGCTGTGTCCCTAGAAAACAGACCCTGAGGAAGTGATTAAATGCCAATGCCTTATTTTTGTGGTGAAATCACATGGCAGAGAGATGGAAGGCTAAGGGGAATCAGGAAGGGAAAAACAGGAAGCAACCCAAGGTGACGCTTTACCAACACTGGCTACATAGCAACAATGAACAGGGGAGAGAAACAGCTGGTGACTTGGCAGGTGTTTCTGCTCAGCCATGCAGGATGTCTACAAAGGGACCCTAGAGAGAGTGTATGCCTTGGAATCATTGGTTCTCAGAAAGAACAGATAGAGAATGCGTTGACCTGGCTCTCTCTCATCTCATGTCCTGTCTTCCTTTGGTGTAAGTTTGCTTCACAGGGAGTGAACACCTTGGATGTCTAGATTGCCATCCATGGCCCCTGCAGCAATCACTAGAGAAGCCAGATCCCATGCCCTGAAGAATCACATTTCATCTGAGGTTGGGTGCAGCAGAGGAGCCAGAGATTTTGGAGGCTCAGCTGGTCAGCTTCAAAAGGTGGAACTGCAAGGTCATGCCAGCTACAATGGCAGAGGTATCTGAGCAAGCAAACAAAGGTTTGAGAGTCAAGGAAGCCAACAGAATCTGAGGACCCATGTAGGACACGTGTGACACACAAGGCTTTTGAAGGATTGGTGCATTTAATGTGGTTAGCTTGTAAATTCTAACCTCCTCTCATAGCTACCAGATGGCTACAATTTTAAAAGGCTAATAATACTGTCTTGCTGAGGATGCATCTTAAGTGAAACGTTCAAATATTGCTGCAGGGAGTTGGCTCAACTGTGTTAGAAAACTGTCTGGTAATTTCTATTAAATCTGAACATGCATCACTTTATGCCCCCAAATTCAACTTCTAGGTATTTTCCCAATAAAAATTAGTAGTTGTACATTCAAAGGACATGAATAAAAATGTTCAGAGCAATTTTATTCAAAATGGCTAAAAGATAAAAACCAACCAGTGTTTATCATAAGAGAATGAACAAATAGATTATGGAATCTGTAAATGGAAAGCTACTCAGCAATTAAAAAATGAACTATTAAAACACACACAGCATGGAAGGATATCACAGATATTATGTTGAGTGAAGGAAGCTGCACACAAATGAGTACCTCCTAGATGAATCCATTTATATGAAGCTGAGGAGAGGCACACTAGTGATGATGTTTGGGGAGGGATTAAATGGGAAAGGGCGTGATTAGAGCTTCTGGAACAATGCAATGTGTTATATGTTGATCTGCATAGTGTTTGTACAGGTGATTACACATATATAAGTTCTCCTTGCTGTACATATAAGATCTCTGTCCTTTTTTGCATGTAGCTATGCCTCAGTTACACACACACACTCCAAACTGCTCTCTTCCTGAGGTTTTATGGAGTAAGTTTGCCATGAAAACATATGGATAAGAGCACAAAAACCCATAGCTTTTGGATGTGTCCACTAAAATCTTTTGTGTAGGAGACATGGAATACATTTTCCCTCCATGGAATTTGTAGACACTACAAGAAAAGAACTGGTTTCCAATTATTGAAATAGAGATTAGCCATCATCTCTTTCTACCTTTAGAGCCCAGACAGCTACAATTAAAATAATTGATTATAAAAGAGAGAACAAACATTTAGGCCAAAATAAGGCACCAAATGAATCACACAGACTGCTAAAAAATATTTGCTTTCTGTTCCAAGAAGAATGATGAGAATAATAAAAAAAAAAAGTTGACTCACAAAGAAAACAGAAGGTTGACAAAGCTTTAGTCCGGCAGTAAAGATCAAAATTCAAGTCCGTCAAGTGACAAGAGAAAAATCTCAGGGAGAATAACAATGAATAGAGGGGAAAGGCATCCTAAAAAGAGGAGTCAAACAACAAAGACAACTGAAGAAAGGGGGCCTCTTACAAAAGAGCAAACATGAAAAGAGGAGAGAGAAGCGTGGAAACCTGTATAAAGGCCACTGAAGAAGCCAAGAGCACAAAAAAAGGACTTGAGATGAGAAATAAAAATGGAAAAGATTAAAAGGAAGAGGTGAAATGGCAGAGAGAGAGGGACTAACCAACTGCTCTTGGAAAAACATGGCTGTGCTAGGAAATTGACGTTTTCACGCCAGTGGGAGTCGAGCCTGATGTGGGTCAGGAGGCCTCTTCATCTGTTCTGCTGGCTTCAGCTGGCCAGCCCTGGAAGTCCAGTCCAGCCAGGACCTCAGTGGAGGAGAACTCTCAGGACCAGGAGACAATGGCAGTGCTTCTCAGATCCCATGGCCCTAGGATGGAACCATGGGGGGCTGCTAAGAGAGTTCCCCATCTCTCCAAGGTACCACATTGCGCTTTGGAGGCTGTAGTGCCCTTGTCTTGTGTTGATCCTGGTTGCAAGCATTTATCATATTGCACTAGTATTGGGGAAGCATCTCCATGCAGTGGACAGGAAAAGAATTTGGAATCAGAAACCTGGGTTTGATATTTAGTTCTCTACTTACTGTACAGCCTCAGGCAACTCATCGTATCTCTTTGACCCTCAACTTCCTCAACTCTAAATGGCGGTCATTTAAACGAGATAATGCGGAAGAAAGAATTTCATCCAACAGAAAGTACCTTATAAATTTTAGTAATTTTATTATCAGTTTGGGCTATTTGGAGGATGTTGGAAGCCTCAGGTCATTTGCTAATAAGGTCAAAGGGGAAAAACACACACATTCTGAATGGATGTCTTGGGTTAATGTTTGCTCCACAAACGAAAATGCTGGCATCTGTTTCTGAGCGGTAAAACCCCTGAGGCAGAGCACATAAACCCAAGTTTATTAAGAAGTGTGACTACCTATCAAATATGAAACAGCCTTGGCTCTGAGCTTCACTTCGCCTGGAAATTTTAAATGGCTCCTTCATCGCCCACAGTTGCACCTATCTAGTGTGTTTTGAAGAACTGGGACGTTAAAAACAACAACAAAAAAACAGAGCTGATTAATGACTGCAAAAGCTGTTTTGGGGGAAAAAAAAGAGAAAAGTTGTTGTCCTATTATATCTCTGAAAAAAATGAGCATTTTATTGCTTCTACAAATTGCTCCCTGGAAAGTACTTCCATTTTCTAATTGTTCATAAATTTACTGACAGGTGGTTACACAGTAGGTATAACATCGTTATTTTCATTTTATTATATACACTGTTTTAACGAGAAAATCTGGAAGGGCTGGGTATCATATATCATCCGACATATCCTGAAAATGTGTGGGTGGGCAGGCATGGCCCAAGGCTGCTACTTCCCCTAGCATGCCTAGGTCTGATGCCCCTGGCACAGGGTCAATTTGGACAGCTGTGACTGGTTGAAATACATTAAGATGATGACAGTAAAAATACATTGCTTTTCTATGCTTACTCTTTTGCTTAAAAAATAATATTAAAGAATAGTCTCCACTTTCACTGAAAGAACTGTCACAAGTTTTCATTACTAGAAACAAGAGAAATTTGGGGGCTTATACGTACACTACACACTTGATATTTGATGACCATTAGTCGTGTTGGATGGATTGCTCTTTTCAATTTAACATATGTTGGTGCTCCCACTTCAGATTCTTGAGTCTGTGAAGCTGAGAGTTGTTTCAGCACTGCTAAGTGTATCTGCAACATCTAATGTTTTGGTGAGATCATAATAAGGACTCAATAAATATTTGCAATTTAGTGTTCCAACTATTCTTCAACATTTATTTGTAGGGATTCATATATTGATTAATAAAGCTATCCTCTCATGGAAATAATAACCTTATGGTTTAAATAAAGGCAACTGTAGGCAAATGCATTCAGCAAACAGGCTCAAGTGTTTATGAGAACTGAAGAGGTAGAACAAGTTTGTATAGTTGGCTTCCCACCACACCCTTACTGAAACTGCTCATATCACTATCATGGTATGATAACAAGGTTATCATTAACATCCACATAGCTGGCTTTGTTTCCTTTCACATTTCTCAATAGATTTTGAAGCCGTTGGCCACTTTTTTCTTGTAGAAATACTCTTTTCTTATTTCTGTGATATCACGCACCTCATACTCTCTGTATGCCTCTACCGACTCCTTCCATTCTCTTCCAGGGGTCCCTTGTCCTCTATGTAACCTCAGATCACTGGGCTCCAATGATTACATCACAGCCCTTCTCTGCTTGCTCTACCCACTACACCATGTTGATCTCACTGATCCAAGTTTCCAGTCATAACTCCACTCGTTCTACCCATTCCTCCATGTTGGTCTCATTGATCATAGTTTCTAGTCGTAACTCCACAGTCTCTTCAGCAGCTAAATCCTTATCTTCCGGGAGGCACAAACATCTCAGTTCCTGCAGGTTACCTCATGCTTTACGTGTCCGAAACAAATCCTCATACTCACTCCTGCTCTTTCTTTTCTTTTTTCTATTATCAAACATGCCACGTTATTAGGGTTGCTAGATTTAGCAAGCACAGCAACAGGACATCCAGTTAAATTGGAATTTCAGATCAGCATCAAATCATTTTTTATTCAAATTTAACTGGGTATCCTGTATTTTTTCTGGCAACTGTACCCCCAGCCAGTTGCCAAAACCTAAAACAAAAGACCCAACTTCAACACTTCCCTCTCTCTTGTTCCCCCCAAAATAATATGTTTAAACCTACTTTTCTATTATTTTGAATGGATGGAATACTTTTATTTATGTTCAAAATCAACATTGTTATACAAGGTCCTGTCACTTCTTACCTGGATTCTCTCAAGTGCCTCCTGTCTGTTCATTGTTTTTTGTTTTTTTCTCCTGCCTCACCTCCCTCCACTCTGCACCCTACAACACCATCTTGCTGATTTTTGCAGATCAGGTTAAGTTACATGAACAGGGACCAGAAAAGGAGCACCAATGTAGTAGGTTTCTTCAGAGAGGGGTGTTGTGAAGAGGTGTATATTTTAGAAGCAGTCCATGATCTGAGTGGGGCTTGTTGACTCCTGTCACCTCAGATGTTTCTTCCTCCCTCTGTCAGCACTAATATCCGCCATGTTATACAGCCTCTAAGTCACCACCATAATCTCCAGCATCTCTGAGCCGAGGCAGTTACTTATGCCTCTGCCAGAAACAGCTCTGTTCATCCCCTCAGAATGCAGATTAGAGGGCATCTCTTCAGGAAAGAAGAGATTCACATTTCCTAAATGTGAAACTGAAATAAGGTGCTTTCCTATGTGCTAACACGTCACACACATACACCAATGTTGTAGGAGTTGTGTGTCTGCTTGTATTTCTGTCTCCAAAACCAGACCATGAGCTGTTTGAAAACAGACATGATGTCTCTTATTTCTGCATACCCAGCATCTAGCATGGTGTCTGGCATCAGTGACCTCTCAACAGGTATATGTGATGTGAGGAAGAACAGCCATACATGCAAATATCTTTCAAATTCCTAATTGTAATGGGTCCTGGGAGTCCTGACTGATGCTAGCCATTTTGAAATGCCTCTAATAGAACTGTTGGAACTATAGGCTGTCTTCTCCATGCATATTGGCCACATCTCTATTGTAGCACTTGTTATATTGTTTGAATCATATGTTTAAATACATGTCTCCATTTATTTTTTCAAGAAACATTCATTGAACTCCTCCTACAAGGTAGGCACCAGGCCATATGTAGTCCCTTTCCTCAAGGAGCTTGCAGCATTTGGTATAAATAAAACAAGTAAGGACGTTAATAGATAAAGCATCTCAGGCACTATACTAGATGCATGAACAGGGTAAAATGGGGCTTAGAGGAGGAAATGGTCACTCCTTCTGGGGCATGGCTGGAACATTTTACAGAAGGACTGACACTAAACAGATTCTGAAAGATGATCGGGAGTACCACCTGACAAGGGAGTACAGGTGTTGCAGGCATGGACCTGAGCAACTCTCAGCCTATTCAAGGCACTCCAAGGAGCTGTAGAGGCTGGGGCATAGGGGGAAGATAAAGCTGGACAAAAAAGAAAAAGTAAGATACTATGAGGAATAAATGCAAAGATAGGGAATTTGGAAACCACAGAAGGATTTTAAGTTGGGAAAGAAATAAGATTAATATGACTAGATTTTGATGTTAAAAATATATGTATGTTATGAATTCAGATAAGGTGTATAGAAGATAGGGAAAAGGCTTATAAAAATGAAAACTTAGCTTATCTATATGAATGAATTTTTCTCCAGTAAGGGCCTCGTGACATGGCTCAAAGCAATCTTTGTAGGAGTGGCTTTAGGATTAGAACAAACTGCTTCATTGTTATTTGGTATGAGCCTTTAAAAAAAAAAAACATGCATTTACTAATCAAGCTGCCCTGAGTTTTGGATTATACACTTTCAAATTTGTTCTTTTCTGAAAATATCTCTGCTGTACAGAACGGTTTTAAAGGGAAGTTTCTCTCTCTCTCTCTCTCTCTCTCTCTCTCTCTCTTTCTGTGTGTCTATATATATAGACACACACATACATATACATATATGTTTTATATATATAAAACATATATAAAGCTTTATATATATAGCTTTAAAAAATCATTTTTCCTGATATATTCAAATGATGAAACACATCACACCTGCCAACACTAAAAAGCTATAAATAGAGAATGAAGTATAAATCTAGAAAGATAAATAAGCAGATCCATTCTATATCTATTGCAATTAGGAGAGTATTTTAGTAGCAAACGAGAGGGAAATGATTACTGAATTGCTTACAAAACTTAGGAAGAGGAGATATAAGATATATAATGGCCAGAAAAACTATGTATATATTGAAAGAATCATTATGAAAGTGATATGAATTATCTAATAACTCCAACATCACAAATGAATTTATTACATTCACTAACCTGTAGGTGAAATGTCAAACATCCTCTTTAAAATAGAAAAAAGAACAGTTCAACCCAAATATTGCAGCCATCTTTACATCAGGAATATTGAGGGTGGGTGTTTTAGCCATAATTCCTAATGTTAAGTATTAATGCTTTAGATATATTGAGCATTTTCTATATATAGCACAATCTATCAGGATATAGAGATGCAATGACATGTAGGTATGGCCTCTGCACTTGCACAGTTTACACTATGGTGGTGGAGACAGAGAAGTAAATTATTATGATCAAATGCTGAGATGCAGTTGTGTTCTAACAAAACATCATGAATTTGTGGAGGAGGAAGTGAACTGTCTGGAGTGGTCATGGAGTCTTTAATGAGCTGAGTTTCAGATGATCGACATGTAGATGATTTCAGCTAGATAAGTCATGAAGCAACATTCTCTGTGGAGAGAACAGCATGCAAAATGGCAATAGTGATTAAGTTCTGTACTAGCCTAGTAGTAAGTGAAAATAACAGATTTGCCCTCAGGGAGCATCCAAGTTAAAGGGAAAGCTGATGCATTTACAATAGACAATAATAAAGCAAATTCAATCGAAGCTCATTTCCATAACTTTGGGAAGAAGAGTTTGGTAAGACTAAGGTAGTGTTTTGAAGTGGAGGTGGAGCTTGAACTGGGCCTCGTATAATGTGTAATATTTGGAAAGGTGATAGTAGTGAAGAAAAAGGGAATGTAGAGAAAGCATATTTAAATCTAGGCTGAAATTTTTTTGATTTGACATGAAATAAAAAAATAAGGGGATATTTACAGATTTGCAAGCAGGTAAGAAAAAGCAGTGTTTAAAGATTAGACTGCCCTAGGTATGCAGAATTGCTGAGAGAGGACAGAAGACAGGAGCCAGGAAGGTGAGATGGGAGGGCATGGTGTTACCTTGGCGTAAGTAATGAGGGGATGGAAGAGAGCCATGAACAGAGAAGGAGAGAGCCAGAGCCACACGGCTCACGTTACCAAGGGAAAAATGAGTGAATTGAAGAAGGTTTGGATAAAGAGGTTAGAAGAAAAGTATAATTGTAATGTTTGGAAACTGTATGAAAAAAGCATTTTTCAAATTTTACTGGCAACAAAAAAAATTTGAGAATTGTTTCTGTTGACATGTGTGTGATTCCTGTCTTTATTTTCTTTATTCTGATGCTTTGGCATCTGGGGTCTTGCTGACCTTGGAAGCACTACCCCTCCCAGGATTAGTCAATTTTCAGAAATAGGAAAGGACTCACCTGTAAGTGAATTAACCTTCTATATGCAAAGGAACCAATCTAGAGGCCACAGCTTCAATCATCTCCTTCCTCAGGCTCTCCCACTCTGGGCCACTATCGCCTGCCCTGATTACCCTAGGGCCAGGTACCAGATAATTACACCCTTACACCACCTGTGTCCCCAGCCAAATCTCATCTTGAATTGTAGTTCTCATAATCCCCACGTGTCGTGGGAGGGACCCAGTGGGAGGTAATTGAATGAGGGGGGGCAGTTACCCTCATGCTGTTCTCATGATAGTGAGTGACTTGTCACGAGATCTGCTGGTTTTATAAGCAGCTTTTCCGTCTTTGCTTGGCACTTCTTGCTGCTGCCATGTGAAGAAGGATGTGTTTACTTCCCCTTCCGCCACAATTGTTAAGTTTCCTGAAGCCTTCCCAACCATGCTGAATTAAACCTCTTTCCTTTATAAATTACCCAGTCTTGGGTGTGTCTTTATTAGCAGGATGAGAATGGATTACTACACACCTTCACTTTCACCCCAGAGCCCACTGAAATTATTCAGGCCAACCCATCCTAAGCCTGCTTGCCCTGCCCTGCTCTTTCCTTCCCATGGAAAGCACAGTAACACTTTCCTCTCACTTCTTCTGCTTCCCAGCCCAACCTGGTGCTTCCCTGCTTGGTCCTGCGTCATACGCTGTGCCCCTGTTTCCAAGAATCTGTGAATATAATGAACTTCTTCCTCGTGACAGTCATCTCCATGTCTGCATGTCCTACCATATCTAATTAAAGCAAATCCCAGGTGTCTGATTAAAACAACTTACTGAGTACAGTAGATAATGCTTGGCTTGCTTATGCAGTCTAGCTGATCAGAAGATAAATGAGAATTATATGCAACAAAATTATTGTCTTTAGTTTCTACTTGGACCACACAGACATGACCTTAGCTATGATCGGCTAATTTACATATAATCTTCAGTGAGGTTTTATCTGGATTAATGATGTCCTCATTGCATATGAAAATAGGGGTAACTCAAGAAACTTTCAGAAGTTAGTACCAAAATACTGTTACATAACCACTGTCTTTTATTATGCCAATAATATCCTCTTTTAAAATGTCAGAAACATCTAAAAATGATTTTTTGCTTTATTTTGTTTTTTTCCTACTTGGCCCCAGGTGCAGCGTTGAGTTCATCATATTCTTTAGTTTATGATACTCTGTCATCTTTGGTTTGTGGAAGGTTGTTCTACTTAAAACCAAGCAGATAAAGAAAACTGGAAAACATATTAACTAGAAACATGTCAAGCAGATAATTAACATTATTCTGTAAGTTGGCCATAATAATGGATATAAAGAAAATAAAAGGCACTAATAAGTTAAAAAGAAACAAGAATAGATATTTTGAAATCTAGATGTAAAAATTGTTAACCTAAGTATGTTCATAAAATAATCTAATCCACTTAGTATGAACGAATTGTACATTAAAAGGTCATTTTTCAATGACTATACTGGCGTTTAAAAAAATTAAAACAATAGTGAGAAAGTTGTGGTTAACAAGGGCACTGTTAACAATTGTTGGTGAGGTATACGTTATTTTACAAAGCAATCCACAATATGTATCTCAGCCCTTTAAAATGTTCTTATCCCTTAAGGCAGTGATTATACACCAATTAATTCTTACTAAAGAATAACAAACATCAAATGTCAATGTATGAAGATGTTCATCACACTGTTATTTATGACAATAAGGAAAAGCTATTTGGAGTAGTGAAGAAATGGTAGGACTGGGCACCGTGGCTCACACCTGTAATCCCAGCACTTTGGGAGGCTGAGGTGGGGCGGTCACGAGGTCAAGAGATTGAGACCATCCTGGCCAATATGGTGAAACTCTGTCTCTACTAAAAATACAAAAATTAGCTGGGCGTGGTGGCACGTGCCTGTAACCCCATTAAAACTGTACTTCAAAGAACATTTGGTAATATGAGAGAATGTATTTGTTAAATTGATAAGTTGAAAGAATAGGACACAATATGTGTGTGTGTGTGTGTGTGTGTGTCTTCTCATAGTTGAGAGCAGAGAGCATATACCACTACATACTAGAATAATTAATAGTAAAAAGACTGGCAACACCAAGTGTTGGTGATGATGCAGAGCAATCGTGATTCTCATACATTGCAAGTGGGAGTATAAAAATGTACAATGATTGTAAAAATGCTTGATAGTTTCTTATAAACTTCACCATCTATCTCTACCATGATTCGGCAATTATACTCCTTAGTATAAGAAATAGGAACGATGTCCACAAAAAGATTGGCACAACAACATTTATAACAGATTCATTCATTTTTACAAAAACCTGGAAACAACTCAAATATACATTCCAACTGGGGAATGGATAAACAAATTGTAATATATTCATATAATAAAATACTACTCAGCAAATACATAAAAACAAATGAACTATGTCTACATAAAAGACAGAAGAAAAATTCAGAAGCATGATAAATGAAAGAAGCTAAATGCAATAGATATATACTGTATAAAATCATACATAAGAAACTCAAAATTAGGCAAAACAAATTTATGGTGATAGATATCAAAAGAGTACATTTTCTCAAACCTAGGGAGATACGTAATATTTCCTTAAGTTCTCTCATAATTTTCCTCCAGTGGCTACTACTGAAGGAAAGTTATGAGAGAACTTTTTAAAAAAAATTCTTTGTTTTTGAAGGCAGTTATTGAGTATATAAACTTTTCAAACTCATCAAATTGAACACTTAAGATCTGTAGTTGCAAATTTTATCTCAGTAAAATAATAAATACTTAAATGTTAAAAGAAAAAAATAACCATATATACATATATATATATATATATATATATCTCCTAGGTGTAAATATACATAAAAGATATATATAATCTCCCTAGGTTTTAGGAAATATATATATACATACATATGTATATATATATTTCTTTATTTTTTTGAGACGGAGTCTGGCTCTGTCCCCCAGGCTGGAGTGCAGTGGCAAGATCTCGGCTCACTGCAAGCTCCGCCTCCCGGGTTCACGCCATTCGCCTGCCTCAGCCTCCCGAGTAGCTGGGACTACAGGCGCCCGCCACCACGCCCGGCTAATTTTTTTTTTTTATTTTTAGTAGAGACATATATTTTTAAACCACGACAAGAAACCTAAAAACTAGTTTAACAAGAAAAATATATTCACATTTAACTCTGTTTACGTTTTTGAAAACTTACCCTATGATCAAAATATTATTAAAAAGTCAATAGATTAACAATATTAGGAAATAGATTTAAAAGCACAAGACAGGTAGTGTCTACAAAATCCTTCAGCATGGCAAGACGTATCATGGAGTATTTATTAAGATCACAAGTCAAATCAATAAATTCTTTGTGTGTGTGAATGTGTGTTAACATCCAGGACATCTGTGAGACCCTAAGGACCTATTCACAGAAGGCCACTGAATTATAAGTTTTGTCCAGGTTTTCAGCTGGGTAACGAAACACGTAGCTGGAAATGAAAATGTGGCAGCCATGCTGATCAGGGCTGGGCTGTTAAAATGGTTTCTGCCTGAAAGAGTCCCTCCTGTAAACATCCCTAGGATAGGGAATGCAGATCCAGCTTAAAAAAAAAAAAAAAGAAAGAATGAGAACATGATTGTGCCACATGGAGATTTGGGCAGGATCTTGTTAGGCCCCTGAGGGTGCCTCAGGCATCTTTATTCAAACACATTTTTTTTTTTTTTTTTTTTTTTTGGAGGGAGCAAGGAGGAGATCACACAGTTGTGGAACTGTCGTCAAAGCAAGCAGCTGACATTTAAATAATATTATGATTTAAAAGGTTCCTTTGCATTCGTTCCTTAACTCATTACACCTTCACAACTCTGTGACACGAGAAGAGGAGGTGACACTATTTCCATGTGAAAAATGAGAACACTGATATTCAGAAAGATGAACTGATTTTTGTAAGGTCAGATATCTTTTAAGTAATGGAGCAGGGACTTCAAGTGATGTCTGTCTCTCTCCAGTGGCTCTATGATTCTCAGGATATCATCCTATCTCCACGCAACACAATGTCGCCGCAGAGGAGTCGCTTCCTGAGTGGTTCCATGATAGCCAGCCCGGTATATCTACTCCTTTTGGTCTTTTTCTGCTTCCCTATCTTCAGCAAGGCGAGGTAATCACTCTCTCTTTGGTATGTGAGATATGTATCTATTCTGTCATATCCGCCTTTCAGTTGTCACATAGCCAAACTATGCAAATGTGGCCATCTCCACATCTCTGCGTTCAGCACGGCTGCTGCTCCACTCTGGACTCCTTCCAACTGTTCAGATGGGCAGGGAGGAGTTTCATCATCAGAGATGATAAAGAAACATGACTATTCAGCCTTTCTCGTACATCTACCGAATACCTAACTAATGATGTTCTCACCATATTGAAAAAAAAAAAAAAAACCATCCAGGATGACGAATTTATTCCCTGAGTGCCTCATGACAAGTGAGTCAGCTCTCAGCAACCAGAATTACAAGTGGACTGAGCTGGGTGACGGTGGAGCATGAGGAAGTGCAGTCTGTCCTGCCTATAAAGGTGGT
Organism: Homo sapiens; assembly: GCF_000001405.40. Taxonomy (NCBI): domain Eukaryota; kingdom Metazoa; phylum Chordata; class Mammalia; order Primates; family Hominidae; genus Homo; species Homo sapiens. The sequence continues at coordinate 132,633,102 of NC_000011.10, forward strand.
CCTAGGCTAATCGAAAATCTGCACCAACAACACAGCAAAGTGTCTTCTGCTGCCAGTAACAGAGCACCCAACTGTTGGTGTTTGAGGGGGACAATCGGTAGCTCTCTCTCTTTTTTTCTGAGACAGAGTCTCGCTCTGTCGCCCAAGCTGGAGTTCAGTGGTGTGATCTCGGCTCACTGCAACCTCTACCTCCTGGGTTCAAGTGATTCTCCTGCCTCAGCCTCCCGAGTAGCTGGGACTACAGGTGCTGGTAGCTCTCTTTTCCCTGCCTAAGTTCAGAACAACTTGAGAGACAAACAGGGAGAAAATAGATGGAAATAAAAATAGCCCTTCATTTCTGATAGAAATTAAAAGCCGGGAATGTGGTTTATATCTTTACGTAAGCAAATGGGCATCCCAATCCTGAGCCTCAGGATTCGACCCCACTCCCCCAGTCACAGGAAGTGCGAGGAGGCCCCAGGCCCTGGGTCTGAGCCTGGCCTCTTACGCTGCATGACACAGGACATCTGTTGGAAGGTCAGTTTCTAAGACAAAATAAAGAGCTGATACCTCCTGATTTATCCTTCCACAAACCTGATCAGATTGAGCCATCTCTTCTCCCTGGTGGTAAGGGGTGTGTATGGGTGTGGGGTGGGGACAGCAGGAGGGAAAGTAAGGGAGGGTGCCAGGAAAGGCACAGAGTGTTACTTGGTAGAGTTTCTTTTGGGTAAAAGAGGCATCAATAATGTTTCCTTCCAACACCAACTAAAAAGGGTTTCAACAAGAAAGACGTTTATTACCTCATGTAAGAAATCGGGGGTGGGAGGCTGGGGGTGGAAGTCAGGGCTACAGTGAGAGCCTCAAGGCCCAGGTTCTTCCTGTCTTTCTTCTCCAGTGTGTGGCTTGGACCATCACAGTCAAAAGATGGGGGTAGCAGTTGCAGGCAAGCATACAGACACAGCAGTATTTAGCAGAAGCAAAAAGGGAAAGGGGATTTTTCTTGCATGTCACCTTTTGTTAAGGAAGGAAAGCTGCTCCAGATAGCTGCCCTCGGACTTCCCCCTGGATCCTACTAATTAAGATTTGATGGCCTGGCTATGCCCAGCCTGGCTTCCAGGGTGTCTCAGAAAATGAGTTTATGGTATTCGAGCTTCTTTAGAGGAAAGTGGCTTCTCTCATAAAGGAAGCAGGTTGTTAGTGTTATGGATGGTGGAAATAGCTATTGAGTATGTAAGCAACAATGTCTGCCATGATTACACCTAAAATTTCCACAAGGAACATCTGCACATGTGGAAAATTTCTGCAGGTTGGACTACATATGACAGTCCCTAATAACTGAATATACTTTTGAGTTCTCATTCCCAATCCAAAATAAAATAAGGCAAAGGGGGACTGAAATGTAAATATTCTATCCTGCCTGAGCCCATGCCTCAGTAGTTACATGCTTCAAGGGAAGGGTCATACAGTGGACAGCTCAACAGATGATTAGATCTGCACCTTGGGGATTATGTAGTGCTGCTTCCTCATCTCTAAAGATGGGGTGTCCTCGCAGGAAGAGATGAGGAAGCAGGAAGAGACTTTAGAGATGAGAAATCAGCACTTTCTTAAAATTTTTAACATTTTTTCTGTCCACTCCACCCTACTGCCCTTGGAAGCCAAAAGAAGGTTGTAAGGCATTCATGACCATAAGTTATCACTTAGAATCAAGTGGCAGGAAATTGAACTTCAGTAGATCCCAGAGTGAAGTCACATTTTTTCCACTATCACCCAACTTGTTAGGGAGGATTAACTGGGCCGATACACTCAGGACTAGAACACAAGATTCTAACTCAGCCTTGCATGCGAGATAAGAATATAATGCCCTCTTACTATGTTGTAAGACCAGCTGCAGAGGAGCTCATGCTCCAAGAGGAAGATTTTCTTGGAGATTTTAGTAGTTTTAAGATTTGTGCAATTGTGTTTGGAAATCCAATATCATTTTTAACTGTGAGACGGTAACACTGCCCATGATTATTACAGTGTGGAGTAGTTCTTCTGGAACAACTTTTGGGTATAGATTTATGATGGCCAATTATTTAGAGGTCTTTCTCCCCTTAAAAATCTGCAAAAATTGTGGAAATCTAAATTTCCCTGTCTAAAACTATGGAGTATGCTTACTTTTAAAATATAATACAATCCCCCCCATTGCAAAATAAAAATTGGTATATTTTTAAGAAGTCCTAAAGAACACTTAAATTATTTCCAATTCGATTCCTCCCATTCCTTGTTCTTGAAAGAAAACAATAACAAAAACAAAAACTTTAGTCAAATGTTGTTAAGGCTCAGGAATGATCGATGGCTTATATGAAAGGTCCTCATCAAAGCATATGATTTAGAAAAGAAGGAGACTCATTTTTTTCCCCAGTCTACCTTCCCATGTTTTTTCCTTTCTGAAATGGAGTTTTATTCAAGGAAAAAAAAAAAAAAAGCCAGACTTCATGATATATGTCTTGCCTACCAGAGAAATTTGACCAAAAAAAAATTTGTTGACCAAACTCTAGCTGACAGACATACTTAATCTATTATCTCGATAAAATCAACTTCAAGGAAGATCTCAGATTGTGCTGTCATCAAAATTGATTTTATCAAACAAGATAATCTTTGCTGTCAACAAGCAGCACTTTCTTAAAACTCTTAAGATTTCTTCTATTCACTCCACCCCACTGCCCTTGGAAGACAAAAGACGTTTGCAAGGTAATCATGATCATAAGTCATCACTTAGAATCTCCCCAAACAGAACCAAGCGGCAGGAGGTTGAACTTCAGGAAGCAGCTTTCAGGCTACATTCATGTTTAAGGAAAAGAAAGCTGAAATAGTAAATTTAGATAGCTACATGTTGAAAATACTCCCCCCCGGATACAAGATGTCCATTGTTTGAAGCAATAAAGTGCAAATGAAACCCGTCTTTACATGCACAATTGGGCATGTGCTTCCATAAATGCCTGATTGTGTATGCAAATGAGTGTTTTGCGCACCCAGTTACCTGCTTGCTGTATTCAGATTTTTAGGGTCGATGTAAGTGCTTTTATTATTTTTTTAATAAAATTGTTCTAAATTATCTGTGGATGAATGATGCTTTAGAAAATTGTTATTTCCCTAAAATCCAGATTTAAACAAGCGCCTCTGAAACTTTGCAATGAATAGTTATGTATTAGTAAAGTCACGTGCAGAATTCAAGCAATTATCTGGGTGCTTCAAGGTAAACATACCACTGTGCATACATTTGTCACATAATTCTGTTATTTTAGGTAGAAGAAAGGGCCTAGTTCATCCAGCTCATGTAGCTTTGCACTTTATTTAACTAATTCAGTCAAAACACAGGGCCTAGAATATAAGGCAGTTTCAGCCTCCTCTTGGAATACATGCTGGCATAGGGAAGTGGATCCATTGCACCACAGTGATCATATGTCCAAGCGAATAAGCCTTCCATATAATGCCTCCTGACTTGCATTTATTCTGGCTTTTCTCGGAAAAGAAATAGCGAATGTGAGGATACACTAAATTAAGGCTACAGAACTGTGAGTGGAGAGGAAAAATCTCTGAATAATTTTCTTGACACTTCATTCAACCCCTTCAGGACCTATGGTGATAAAGCACTGAAGATTTATTTTAATGTGTAAAAACCCTGCTCTGTTCCCCTGGGAGATGCTAAAGAAGACACTGGGAGGCTCGGGGATAGTTTATATTTATCAGGTAAAGTACTGTCTGCTCACTAATAAGCTTCATAAATATTTTTCCCTTCTCTTGAACTTAAAGAAGATCCAGATTTGCAATCTAAAAAAAGAGAAAAAAAGAAACAAATTTCAAAGGTTCTAATACGTTAGTAGAAAAATGTATCTGCATTACTAGCTGCTTTGTTGGCGAGACTGTTTGAATATCATTTATGTAATCCTGACTTCATTGACACGCCATCAACTAGCCAAGCATTTAATCACCAAGATAGATGACTAGGTCAGGCGCATACTACCTATTTATATATTTTTTACTTCTGTAGTTGTTAAACCTAGAAAAGGAATTAGATTTTTTTTTTTTTAACTGAATTTGAAGCTGAATTTTTCTGGCGACTCTTTCTGGGTGAAAATATCAGTCCACAAGATGTTACACAACAGTCCCTTACTGATGATTTCTCCCTATTTCCACCGTTTTTTTCCAATCCTGGCAGATCGGACCTTCTTAAGCTTCATCACTGAGACCAGACCACCCCCACATTTTAAGCCTGGTTCTCCCAAAGTAGGGGACAGACCTGGAATCGTACGCTAGCCTTTCTCTGAGCCTGCTGTTGAGGCTGTTGAAGGCTTGGAAACCTCCATCTTTCAGTGGCCACAGTTACTACTCTTGAGCCACAGCTTCAAAATAATTTAGCCCATAGTCTAAGTTTCCCTTGTTCAGCAGGTTTGTGCCCCTGACATTTGCTGCCAGCTATCTTTGATGCTGAATTTTATTTTTTTGGCTTCCTAGTACTTCTAGACTGGCATCCTAGACTTTGGTCTTTGCTTGGACTTTTGATTATGTATCTAAGTTCTACTTTGAATATTAAAGTTCTTAAATATTAGTTTATATATTTACTTCCTCCTATTCCCTCAGGCATTAATTAAGTGACTAATATGTTCCAGGCAGGTATTAGAACCTGGCAGTGCTCAGGACACATAGACATTGTCCATATGGAACTTTCTTGTGTCTAGATTCATTCACACTGATTGATCACGTGCCTGTGTTCAGAGCCAGGCTCTTCTGGGACCCAGAGGTCACCTGCTCTTCCATGTCCTGCTCAGGATAGTCTCTGCCTTTGGGAGACTTCTAATCTGCATTGGAAGATTGGGAAAGCTTTCCTTATTGGAGCAGCCACTTCTGTCCTACCCACCTCATGGGCAATGAAGTTGGAGAAGGACTTAGGAACTAATATCATATTCTAAAGGGAAGAGTGGCATGGAAAACATGAACTTCTGCATTTGTTTTCTTTAAGAGGCACTACGTGGAGAAGCATAGTATTAGATGTCAACTGCAATCACTTTTCTTCAGAAAGCTAAAGAGCATATATACAGACTATATATATATATATATATATATACAGAGAGAGAGAGAGCATATATACAGACTATATATATATATGATGTATACATATCCAGCTTGATGTAATTAATATATTAATATAGATCTTGTAACTCTGGTGTTCAGACCCCTGTATTTAATAGCTATAATAGAAATCACTATAGCTGGTAACAGAAAAAAAGTCATATTCTGTGGCTTTATGTCAAGAGAGAATTATATTTAGAATTTAGTTTATAGTTTAACCTTAAAGCAAGGATGACAATAGCCTTTCCCAAAACTAAACCACACTTGTAAAACTAATCAACGTCCACAAAGTTAGGATTATTACAGGGGCTTGAATTCTGCTAAGATATGGGTGTGGTTAAAAGATAACCAGCTGTTGTTTTGGAGGTCACAAGATATGTAACTTCCCCAATTACTCTTACACATAACATCACTATTGTGGAACCTCTGATTGGCCTTTTGAGATGTCTTTTAAGACTTTTAAATTGCTGACTCCATCCAGATCTGCTGCTTGTGATTCAACAGGCCCTGTGACCCCACCCAAAGGCAGACTCAGTGCATGAGGACTGTTTTCCATACCCCTATGATTTCATTCCCAACCAACCAACCAACACTCCCATTCCCTAGCCTCCTGCCCACCAAACTATCCTTTAAAACCCCTAACCTCTAAGCCTTTAGGAAGACTGATTTGAGTAATATCTCCAGTTCTTTGCTGTGGCCAGCCTCGCGTCAATTAAACTCTTTCTCTACTGCATTGTCATAGTCTCAGTGAACTGGTTTTTTCTGCGCAGCGGGTAGGAAGAATTTGTTGGGTGACTACAGATACTGGAGCAGTTTTCTAGATCTTTTGACTCACCGTACTGCTTTCTTGTAGCCACGTGATGATTATTTTCTTCAAAGAGAGCTCTACACCCTTGCATTCAAAAGATGTTGGCAACATGTCATTACCTATGGACCTACCTTGATTAGAAAAATCAAAACTGGTCAGGACCCAGTACAGCTTTTAACACGTGAGGAAAGAGCAGGCGGGTGGTCTGAAAGCTCCTTTCAGCAGAGAGATGTGCAGAATTTACTAAATGAGAGAAGCTTAGGTGCCTAGAAAACAGGTTTACTGAGAAGAAAGTTCCGGCAGCTTGCCAGAGGCATGCTCTCAAAATGTGAGAGGCAGCATCTCAACTCTTCACCTAACTATGTGCAAGGTGACACTTGGGGACATGTGAGCAGGACAAGGCAGGAGCCCTGCTGGATGGTTGTAGATTTAAGCTAGCCCCAACCCCTGGGTCCATCACTCATTCCCATAAATCGCACTTATGCTTCTCCCTGGAATAGCAATCATTGCAGCCCCTCCCACCTCCTTGTGTTCTATGGAACCTAAAGTTCCTGAATCCGAACACAATCCTTTCACTGTTAAGACTGGCACTTTACATAATCCTCATGTTTGCAGGCCGACTAAATGTAAATATATGCAAATATACTGGCAAGTTGGTCTGGCCCTCAGGCCTTCCAAAGAGACCTTTCCTGCTGCAAAAGTTGAGCATTGCCTGCTTAGAGGGAGAAGGATTAAGGAGCTGGTAAAAGAAGAGAGGGGACAACAGATAACTTTAGAAAGTAATATAGTGGGGAAAGAAGATGTAAGCATAACCTTCCTATAAATAAGCAAGTCACAGCTAGAAAGCAAAGCTCTGCTAAGGTAGCACTGGGATGGCTGTCATCGACAGTAGCTAGGCCTGGGGAGCATTTACTCACTAGAGGCAGAAAATCACTGCAAGGCAATAGTTTCTGAGGCAAATGTGAGCATCTCCTAAATTGCATGAGGCCCAGAAATTGTTTTCCCCTTCCTAACGTTAGAGAAGTCTATAAAACTTCTCTTGCTACAGCCACAATAGGTACTTTGTTGCTGATGTTTCACCTAGAAACCTCAGAAGAACCTGCTCACCCTGGCAGAGTTGCCCTGCCAGCATTCCACAGACTTCCACAGCAAGAAATGGGAGGAGAAAGAGCGAGGCAGGATGCATATCCCGGAGCCTGAGCAAACCCACAACAATGAGCACATCATCTCTAACGAAAGGCAATGAGCAGTGTGGGTGGGACTGCAAACATCAGTGCGTGGCTTGGTAGGATGGAAGCAAAAATTAGGAACCCCGGGATAAGCACAAGAGGAGAGTCTTCACATCTCCTAAATCAAGAATTTACTTAGAGCCAAGGGAGAAAGGATTGGTCATTAGCATCAGCCACACATTGCAGTTACCCACGCCTGTAAAATATGGGAGTTGTAGTTTATTTGTTCACCCACACATATGCCTGAATCAATTTGTTTGAGTTCTCTCCAACCAAATATTGTCATTTCTTTTATCATGAAATACTTATTGATTACTCATTACATGCCAGACGCATTCAATAAGCATTTTTGAGCGTCTAATCTATGTGAGTTCTGTGCCTTAGGGATAAACATTTCTGTTCATATAGAGGGAAAGACTTTGTTCCCATCCTCAGAGTGGATACATTTTGGTGGTGAAGACAGTGTAATGTGTAACGCAGTAGTTACGGTGTGGTGTGATAGAGCCACACCCAGGAGTTTGGCAAGTGGGAAAGCCTGAGCTCATATGACACCTTCAGGTATTTAGAAGAGAGAGCCCTGAACCAAGCAGGCAGAAGTAGGGCGCTGCAGGGTGCACTAAAGGGCAGGGAGAGGGTGGGGATCGCCCCAGGCCTGCCATGACATGACCATCAGGGCACACTGCACCTCCTGGGAAGGCCCTGAGTAGGACAACTTCTGCCTGGCATAAGCATTGTGTGTTGTGGACCTTCTCAGGAGAAGGCAAGCTGTCCATTAAGGGATTGTTCCAGTATCCTCTGGTCTCTCCCTCTAAGCAGGTGGCATGTCTACACACCAGGGGCCTACACCTGCAACTCTAGGCAGCAGGCATCACCTGGACAGGATCTGGTGGAGAAGCTGGGTGAGGCCTCTATCTCAGAGGCACTAAGGCTCACCTTACTCAGGAAACTGGGGGCCCCTCATGACGGTAAAGTGGCTTTGTATTTGACATGCCACCACATCCTGAACATATATGTTCCTTAAGGACGTCAATGCTGGTTAGAATCTGTTCCAGTTCAGCTTGAGGAAAGGCACTGAGAGGCCCTTCCACGCACACCTCCACCTCCTCTCCTTGCCCAGAGCTGCCACTTTCACCTCTTAAGGCAGGTGCAAGAGATCCCAGGTCAGGCCTGTCCTGTTTGAGATGCTCCCAGCACCTGCCTGGCACTTTTTCAAAGTGAGTTTCCTTTGAACATTGCCTGGACACCTGCTGATTGCCCCTGGTCTCTCTCAGAGCTATCCTTGGGCGTCTTTTTAATGGCCTGGCCTTAATTGCATTTTCCTGTATGCACTGTGGCAGTCAGCATGCAGTTTAATAAAACATTTTCAAACCACTGGGCCCATTCTTCCCTTCCCACCTACATCTTATGCAGTACAAGATTTTAAGCCTTATTTTGAAGGTGATTGATTTGGTGTATTTTCCACTTGCTTTCCTGCTGTGGGGACATTTTGCCTCTATGTGTGATAAATTTTTTTAAAGGAACTTTGATTTTCCTGTCCCCTCACTTTCCACCCTGCTGTTGCAGAACCAAGGACTGGGAAGCTTTACTCCTCAAGTAGCTATTTTGCCTTCTCCAATTCTGTGATTAGTTGTTGGTGCTTTGGATTAGCCGTGGCCAGTGCTCAGGGGTTGTCATTCAGGGCTCACATCGGCAGGGTGTTTGAAAGGAGGTGATGGAGATGTGTGTACCACAGCTACCGACGGTTTTTCTTTTGAAACTAGAGAATAGGCCGATATTTAATTGTATATTGTTTTGTCTTATTCTGGATGTGATTACAGATAAGGGAAATTCATTACCAATGAAGAGATTCCATTGGGTATGCAGTAGTGGCCCCTGAAAGACACAGACTTGGGGAGGTCTCTACATTTTCTATTTCCTGGCATAAGTAATATCGATGCTGGGATGGAAGGCTCTTAAGGAAAGCAAAACCTATGATGAAAGCTTTGATGATGTCTTGCTGATATTATTTCTCTTTTGTTTCAAAGTTATCTGCTTCATCTCTTCATTCTCTCTCAATGAGTACAATTGTGTGTGTGTGTTTTTCAGAAGTACATCTTGAACATGAGATTATAAAATTATGACAACAATATCAAAACTAGTTATAAGAAGAATATTTTAAAATAGCAAGAATGTTATAAGATATTGAGAACAGAGGTATCACACATAAACACACACACATGTTCACATGTATTAAAAAGGAGGCACAGTTATTCCATTGTTATCCACAAAATCTAACATAATTTATCAAAACTTATGATGCCAATGCTTTTATGTGATAAAATCATATTAGGATAAGTGAAGGGACAGTTCTAAAAGTTGCTGAACCACCCTGGCATAATATTTGTCATGCAATCTCAGAAGCATTTTCAGGAATTAACCTAGCAGTGGAAAACAAATAATTTTAATAAACTATAGAGGGTTGCACCTTAATGCCCAACCTCATGAAGAAGGTGGGGCATGCTTTCTTTCCCACAGTTGACAGATGAAGATTCTGAAACATAGCAAGGTTGAGTAAATCATTTCAGGTCACAGAGCAAGTGGTCAAACCAGGAGTGAAATTTTACATACCTTCCTCCTAGAAGCAGCTCAGTAATTGAGACTCTTTTCCATATATAGGAATTAAGGCTTTAGCCAACATTAGTATTGCCTTTTCTGTTGAATATACCTCAAAATTAGAGCACTTGGAAAATGCAAGCCCAACCCTCAGTGGCCAGCAATGTGATTAGTTCTCAGTGGTGGTGTGGAAAGGAAGGAGGGTGGCATAGGGTGAGAGGCAGACACCTGGCCTGCTCCTGCTGTGCCCCACGTGGGAATATTTTAAAAAGTTCATTCCTACCCTGTCTCTACTAAAAATACAAAACAGCCAGGCATGGTGGCACGAGCCTGTAATCCCAGCTTCTCGGGAAGCTGAGGCATGAGAATCACTTGAATGCAGGAGGCAGAGGTTGCGGTGAGCCGAGACAATGCCGCTGCACTCCAGCCTGGGTGACAGCGTGAGACTCCATCTCTAAAAAAGAAAAGCTGGCTCCTGCTCTTGCCTCTTGCTGAAGGAGCTCAGGCAGAGCGGTCGGAGAGCAGAGACCCTCCCTGGGGAGTGTGCCATTTGCCCAGAGAACCGCAGGGTGTCCTGGAACAAGGTGCAGATTGGGCTTGCACCGGGAGGGCTGCATGCAGAGCCTCAGGGAGGCTGGCTCTGCTCTTTGATTTTCCCACCCCCAACCAGGGAGGCGCCCTCAGAACACCAAGCCACGGGCGAGGCTCCTCTGTCTCTTCCTTCTTTCTCTTGACTCTCGACCTTCCTCTGCTTCCTTTATTTTCATTCACATCCTCCATTTGTACATCTGTGGCTCTTTGCAGGCATCTTCAAGTTCTTCTTCCATCTCTTTCCCTTATCACCTTTTACTTTCCCAAATCTCCCAGGCAGGAGCCCCACTCCTCCAGCCCTCCACTTACCAGGGCTAACTCAGACTCTTTTATTAAGGGGAACATCCAGTGTCAAACTCTCCCATGCCTCTCTCATTCAACAAGCTCAGTTTGGTCTGCGTTAGAGAGCCATGTGCCTAGAAGTGTGTGTGTTTTGCTAATTGTAAATCACATATGAAATCTACATCCTGAATCAAAAAATTGACTGCAAACTTTGTGTCTGAAAGAGACCAAACTTTTTGTCCTCAAGCAACCTGTACCTTGGAAATGACAAACACTCCTCGTGGTCGTCTGATCCCAGATCATTGCGGAGTTTTTAGAAAACACTCTAAGTTCTATTTAAATTTATTGCTTGGCATTTCTGGGACACAGAATAATCTCTTCTGCCAACCTATAAATTCATTTAAAATCTGTGCTTTCCCCTGAAAAATCATAATAACCAAAAGAACCAATAACAATGCTATAATTAATTATTATTTCTATTAAAAGATAGGGCTTATTTTTTTTCCTACCCTGTCTCTACTAAAAATACAAAAATAGCTGGGTGTGGTGGCAGGCACCACCACGATTTAGGTGACATTCTAGGAGCAGTATTTCTACAGCTCTGTTAATCACCCTTCATCTGTCAATCAGAGGGAACTCCTTCTCTGCTTTTAACTAACAAAAACCCAGTAATAAAACTCGGACTCCCAGGGGACGCATGGCTCGCTTACCTGCGGATTTTAGGTTACCCGGGGAGCTGTTATGTTGTGTCTGAGGGGGAAATAATCTATCTGAACAGAAATTAAGAAAAAATAAGAAAGAAAAAAAATTAAAAGAAAGAAGAATTGAAAGAGAGGGTACAAATATCTATTACAACGATATCATCTTCTAAAGCTGTTTATGATAAAAAGAGGATTTGGTAGCTTGTATCTCAGCTATATTAAATTAAATCCAAGATCCCTTTCCCAGACACACACAGGCCTGAAAACATCAATCCTGTCACGACAAACTAGCCCCTGGGAAAAGGAATCCTCCTGGCAGTGTGCCACCGACCCTTATAAACTGTTAACCGTGGTAATGAACCAATCCAAGAGACATATTAATAATGACATGAAGAGACACATTTATTGTTGATTGTTGGGATGGTGGCAGATTTATTGCCAGCTTGCCAGGAGGGAGGGCTTGGCCCAGCAATGGTACAATTAAAAACAAATTGAATACAGGGACAAAGAATCAATAATCTAACAGAGCAACTTTTAGTTTGCAAAATACAAATATAAATTAATTGACCTGAACACAGTTGCTAACTGGTCATTAATGTCTGCTTACTGGCCAATCGGAGCACATAATCCATCCCATTAAATTGATTGCAGCAGGCTGGGTCCCTGCACTTCCAGCTCTGCCTGCCAGGGCAACCATCAGGGCACCTTGTTTAGGGGTGATTTTTGACACCGCTAAAGCAAAGTGACTGTGTTAGAAATTTTCCCCAGAAGCCCTAAATTAAGGAATTCTTTTTAAGGTTTCACTAAGAACTTCTTTATTCAACAGGCATGTTTTCAATGCTACAGTGTACAGTGATCTGTCCCAAGGGAAAGGACTTGAAGGGAATAAATCCATGCTGGACGTGGCTTTTCATGATGTGGCTACCAATATCTCCCCCACTAAGCTGCCCTTTGAGATGCTTATTTATTCCTAAGAATAACTGACATTTTCCCTCAATCTTTCCTAAAATCTTAAAAGCATATTTAAGACATTTTGCTATTATTTTTATGGATTAATAACCTTTTATATGAATTTGTGAAAGAGAGACTTCTATGGTCATGCCAATTCAGATTGCTATCCCTAAGCTGTGCCTCTGTGAAAAATTATGGAGCCACCTCCTCTGGCTTGTCTTCAAGGAAATTACAGTCTAGGAGAGCAAGAGAGTTACATCCACCAATAACTGAAATTTGAAACAAAAAGCTACAGGTATCACAAGGAAGTACAGGTAAAGTGGCAGCTGGAATTTTTTTAAAAAGCCCTAGCAACTCTAAAATTGTGCAATATGATAGCTACTGGTCATGTGTGTCTATTTCAAATTAAATTAATTAAAATTAAATAAAACTAAAGACTTGGCTTTTCAGTCACACTAGTCACAACTGAAGTTCTCAACAGTCACTTGTGGCTAATGGCTACCACGTTGAAGAGTGTAAATACAGAGCATTTCCGTCATCGCGGAAAGGTCTATTGGACAGTACTGCTTTCTGTAGGATTTGGATATCCAGGGAGAAGAACATTAAAGGCAGATGAATTCTATGAGAAACGAAGAAGAATGCAGGATGCTGGGCAGCGGGGATTACACAAGGACAAACTTGACTAGGTTGTGTGTAGGATGTAAATGTGGAGAAATAAGAAATAAGAGTGGAAAGGGTGGGAGGGGGGTGAGGGATAAAAGACTACAAATTGGGCTCAGTATATACTGCTCAGGTGATGGGTGCACCAAAATCTCACAGCTCACCACCAAACAAATTACTCATGTAACCAAACACCACCTGTTCTCACAACTCACCACTAAACAACTTACTCATGTAACCAAATACCACCTGTGCCCCAAAAGCCTATGGAAACAAAAATTTAAAAAGAAAGAAACATTCCTCCTACCAAAAAGTAAAAAAGAAATAAAGAAGTAAGAATAGAAAAGACGGTTTGGCCCTGGATTGCTCAGCACTTGGAAAGACAATCTAAGAGCTTTTGACTTGACTTCATTGTCAACAGGGATCCATTAAAATACAAGTGGGGTAAGTGACATGATCAGTATCTGCATCAGAAATACTTAGACAACACTGTTAAAATGAATTATAGGGCGGGAGAGATGAGGATTAGGTATCAATTAGGATGTGACAGGCAAAAGTCAGTAGAGAGTAAGATTCTGCACTTTGAAGGTAGTGGTTGTGGGAACGGAAAGGGAGAGAATGACGTTATTGGACATGACATTTGCTTTGATAGAGAAGCAAAAGAGAAAAAGAGTCAAAGCTGAAGCCAAGGTTTTATACACAATGGTGTTTCCATGAATAGAAATGCGAATTACGAGAAGAGGAACAGGTTTTGGAGAAAAGAAGATAAGTTGAGAGTGGAACATGTTAAGATTCCTAAGGGATACCCAAGTTGAGGAGCTAAGAAAATAATCAAACATTGGAGAATGGAATTAGGAAAGAACTAAAAACTGGAAATTTAGATTTAGGAGCCAATGATATAGAGCTGATATTAACTCCAAGAAAAAAAGTTATAATTACTAAGACAAGATCAACAAAACAAGAGAGAAAAAAGTTTAAGGACAGACCCTGACTCCACAGAGATTAGACTACAATGCCTTAAGCAGAGGCAACCTGACCTGACACAGAAAGGATGTGTATTGTAAATGACCTGGCGTGGCAGTCTGACCTACTTATTTAAAAGCTATGGAATTGAAAGGAAGTTAAGCTAGAAGCTGAGTGGAGAATTGAAAGGAAGTTAAGCTAGAAGCTGAGTGGAGAATTCCACTGTCAACGGAAGTGAGTTTAAGATACAACCTTGTACTTATCAGCAGGGCCCTTAGCTTCTCTGAGCCTTAGTTTTCTCATTCAAAAAAATGGGAACATGAATCCCACCCTCTGGGGTTAATTGGAAAATAGAATCTGATAATGTTTATAAGATGACCGCCACCCCACTTAGTTAACTCTTGAATAATATAAGGGCTGGGGGTAATGACCCCCACACAGTTGAAAATCTGCAAATAACTTTGACTCCCTCCAAATTTAACTACTAAGAGCCTAATGTTGACCAGAAGCCTTACTGATAATATGAAACAGTTGATTAATGTATATTTTGTATTTATATTATATACTGTATTCATATAATAAAGTAAATTGGAGTAAAGAAAATGAGACTAAGTAAATAATAAGGAAGAGAAAATATATTTACTGTTCATTAAGTGCAAGTGGATCGTCATAAAGGTCTTCATCATTATTGTCTTAATGTTGAGTAGGCTGAGGAGGAGGAGGAAGAGGAGGGGTAGGTCTTGCGGTCTCAGGAGTGGCAGGGATGGAAGAAAATTCACATATAAGTGGAACTGCATGGTTCAGACTCATATGGTTCAAGGGTCAACCGTACTCAGCAGATGATAACCATTGTTTATAATTACTGAAAAAGATTATTGACTGTTTTCCTGGTGATTATTTTGCTTCACTTCTATTGCTCTTCAATTTCTATGCCTATAGAGGAGAAATTTAGTGAACGAAGAGTAAAAGACTTCTTGAGAAGCCAGAATAAGAATAGGGACAACAGTTACTTTCGTCAAGGCACTATGTTTGAGGGTAATACTTGTTAACTAGGAGCTCAAAACCAGGTTCGGAAATGCAAGTGAGACTCTCCAAATCTGTGTACACCTGCTATGTGTAGAAAGACATCACTATTCTGAATTCACAGTTTACTTGGATGCTAAACAGTGACTGACTAATCTTGCGGGTGGTGAGGCTTGAAACCTTATGTAAGATCCTCACTATATGAGGGTCATGGTGGACATTAATCTATCAGGAGAGTTTATGAACATTTACTAATTTGTCCTTCTTCTGAGGTGTGATTGCTCCCCTGCTCACAGCAGCAGGAACGTGTGGGAAAAGACCTATTTACTGGAGGTATTGGCAGACAGGTCTCTTCGGAAATAAGCTGAGATCACCATGCAAATTCAGCAGAACATAACAGGCATTTCATTTTCCTTCCATCTCCACATCAGTGATGATTTTGAGAACAGGCATTACGACTGTTCCGTTTATTTAATTCTATTGCAAATAAGGCAGATGACAGCCCCAGGCCCTGACACTTCTCTCTGTCTTTTTTTTTTTTTTTTCAGACAGAGTCTTGCTCTGTCACCCAGGCTGGAGTGCAGGGGTGTGATCTTGGCTCACTGCAACCTCCGCCTCCCTGCTTCAGCCTCCTGAGTAGCTGGGACTACGGGCGCACGCCACCATGCCCAGCTAATTTTTTCTGGCTACTGTAAAAATCATCATCAAACCAGGTGCCAGGACTGGCAGCCTCTTCTTGGATCATATCAAGGAGTTTCTCTGCCTTTTTCCCAGCCAGGACTCTCAAGCGGAAGTGCTGCCTCTTGCCAGGGTCCACCCGTGATTTGTTCTGACAATGTATTCATCCAGAGTCACATTTTTTTTTGGTCTCACTCACCTTAGAAAATACCGACTCCTCCTATTTTTATAATTAAATAGACTATAAGTGTCCGAGGAGAAATGGAGTGTGTCCTTCCCCCTCTCGTCTCCTAGACAGAGGCTTAGCCTACATATTTGTGGGTAATGGGATGGAATTCCAGAGGCCACGGAGGAAATAGCCATAAACCCTATAAAAACTGTGTGAGCGTGTGTGTGGAGTACAGAAGAAACAGACAAAACCCATGAAAACTGTGTGCGTGTAAGAGTGTGTGTATGTGTGAGTGCGTGAGTATGTCTGTGAGTGTGTGTATGTGTACGTGGTGTCTGTGTGTGTCTTAGTTGCAAAGCAAAGCAGAACAAAGCCCCACATGTATCTTCACAACAGTGGGAGAAAAGGCCTGATACAAGGAGAAATCTGTTTTTTTTTCTTTTTTTATAAACTGTGTTGTGAACTGTGTTGTCACCAACCACACACAATGTCATGAAAGGTCACAATCTAGGAGACGCGTGAAGGTCAACGTCAATTATACTCTGGCTACGCAAGGTGTCATATTCGTTAATATCTGAGAAACACAGTAGTCTGAGAGCCGGGATAGGACCACGGCATGGTGGGGTGAGTGTGGCCTTGCTCTAACCCTGAGCGCAGGGGGCGGGGCAGGTGCAGAAGGTGGTGTGGGGACACCCTCCCAGTGAAGGGAGACTTGAGATCCCTTCCTTTATGTGTTATAGAGGGTATTCTGGACAGTAACTTCATTCTTGATTCCTTCTGTGTTGTAGTTGCCTTCTTAGTTAGCCTAACTCTTCCATAAAGCATGTGTATGTATACACATATACATATATACACCTCAAACATTGAACATGTATATGTGTATATCCAAGCATATATATGTGTATCTTTATATACTCGTATACATATATATGCTTGATGTTTGATGATTTCTCCATTGATCAGGTCTCTTCTCCCATTGTTGTGAGGAGAAATATGTTGGTTGTTCTGCTCTGCTTAGGAACTAAGACATACAGAGGTACCACGTACACACTCACACTCACGAATGCCCTCACACATACACGCACTGTTACACACACACACACACACACACACAGTTTTCATGTCTGTTTCTTCTGCAGTCACATGCACACACTCACACAGTTTTTATAGGTTGTATGGCTCTTTCCTCTGTGGCCTCTGGAATTCCACCCCACTGTCCATTAAATATGTGTCCGCTTGACGTGGGTTGTGGAGGTTACAAATGTTAGAGAAGAACTTGGAAGCAAATGGTATCTTTCTCTTCCACCTTCTCTAACCAAAAAGTGAACAACAAGGTTTACAGTCACCCCTAACTAGCAGTGTTAGTAAGGGACACTAAATCCTAAAGCCTCTGGAGAAAAATACAAATAAGAAATAGTAGGAACAATGGCAAAAGACTGCGATTACTTTCACACCAACCTAGTAATTGTGCCATCGGCGGGTGAAAGTAGGAGAGACACAGAGTGCAGAGACTCCTGGTCACACACAAATTCCCAGATGAATTACACTGACAAGTTGTCACACAGAATAACTAGAAAGGACTTTCATATCATCAGTTCAACCTTTCCATTGCAAAGTCAAGGACATGACGCCCAGAAAAGTCCTTAACCTAATTTTGGCTGTGTGCTTTATCTGCACTAATATACAGAATTTGCAGCTTAGAGACCCCTTCTCAGAATCTTATTTCCAATTGACATACACACACACACACACATACACACACAAAAAAAACACACACAGCCACACATGGGATTAAAGTATGCATATGTGCACATAAATAAATTACTCTGAATTCTACTCTTCACCCCATGTTAATAAGCCAGGAGAGGAACGTCTTGGAGATGCAGGCCTGCACTTTTAGGAGCCGAGCGCAGGGCTGAGGAGTGAGCATTCTGCTGGCCTGTCCTGTTGTTTTCCACTCTTCTATCCTGTCTTTGTGAAGAGTAAATGTGATTACAATTTTAAGTAGCGGTTGAATACATTAAATTTATTTCAGGTTAACTGCCTGCTTTTCTTTAAGTCTATAAGCACACATGTTCATTTAAATGTTTGGGTAATATTTAGGAAAAGAGGAGAAAATAGCCTAAAAAAAGAGATTGCTTACAAAGAGTTGAAAATAGGGAAATCCCTGGCAAAATTGTGACCTATGGCTCTGCCTCCCTGGGCCTGCTGCAACCGCTCCTTGGTGCAATCCCAGCATCCACCTGCTGCCCCAACCCCAGAATTGTCACCTCAGGGCCCACCCTTTTCTGGAGCACCTCTGAAGGTTGACATTTTTCTCACATAAGAACAAGTACCTGTCTACGTATTTAACTCTGAGTCAGTGGTGTGTTGAACACTCTGGTGGCTACAGAGTAAATATACCCGGTCTTGGGTGTTGCTTTGCCACTTCCTCGCTAGTGTAACTCGGACAAATCACTTCCAAGTCTCTGAATCTCACTTTCTGGTCTTGGAAAGGTGTGCCTTTCTATTCTGTCATGTGGGGCTTTTGGGAAGCATAATCAAAAGAGATAATGCATATAAAGTACCTTGTTAACTGTTTGTATTTTGATAACTTTTTTTCTCGTGAGAAAAGCTTAACCTCGATGAGTAAGTCTAGTGAAGGGGATTTAAAGCACGCGGCAGCTGCATCAGCGTTGGGTAAGTTGTTAATCTTTCTAAGCCTCCATTTCCTTATTTGTAAACATGACTAGGGTGGATATTCTGTAGAGTGGATAGATGTAAGGAACGGCTGAGATAACGTTTATACTTAGTGCACCCAATGCTGAGGTTGGTTGGTGATCAGCAATATCTAGGACTGGCAGGGCTGGGAACACATTTTTCTTTACAAGCAAAACTCAACTTCAGATACCAACCAATTTCACCTGAACTGACACCAGGCTAAGAGATGTAGAGTCTTTTGTTTACATAGAAATTGCATAAGCTTGCTGTGGAGCCTCCTATGTAAGAATTTAATAAAATTCATCATTTCCAGCCCTTTGCATAAAATTGGGCTTAGCAAGAGGAGTTCATTCCATAAAAGGAAGTAACCTGTAGTGAAGAGATTTCTGAACAAGGCAGGAAAGCAGGTAGAGAATACCTACATCCAAAAAGCAACCATAGACGGATCTTCTTACTCCATCTATCTCCAACAAACAACGACAATGACATACCACTGGCACACATAGATCTCTGCATTCTTTCAGAGTGCTGAAGAGCTCATGACAGTTAGAATGACAATGAGATTCTGGATCCACAGAGGGTCCAGGGTTTTCAGTACTTACATAGGATAAAGTGGTAACATTTAAAATGCATATCCCTGAAGGGATGAGCTACTAGAAAATTAATTATCCTCTCTTTGCCCCCCTCACAGCCTCTCTACATCATTTATTGTAGCTTTGGTGTCCCACTCCCACCACTAATTTTCTTTCTTGAGCTTTGTCCTCAATTTCTGTTGCTACAATGCAATATCAATAGAAGGAAGAATGACAAACACACACACACACACACACACACACACACACACACAGAGAGAGAAATCCTGAAAATGTTCCATTGATCTAGAGCAGAGAACTAACTTTGGATGTTGTTGGCATTGGAGGGACTGCAGAATGCTGAAAAGACACTACTCTGAAAGTCCTGTGGCCATGGTTCAAGACCCAGCTCTGCTACTTACTCACTGGGGACTCAGCCAGGCTCTTAACCTCCATGAGCTGCAGTTACCTAATTTGTAAATGGAGATAACGGTCACTGCACTACAGCCTCCCAGGGCTTGTTGTGTGAGTCAAAGGTGACAAACACTGTGCCATCTCTGTAAAGTACTAAATAAATGCCTGGAATTTGTGTTATCCTTTTAGAACAATCTCTTAGCTTGTCACATCGAGGACCCTCTCCCCTCAGGGACCTTTCCTCCATGACTGTCCTCTCCGAGTCATCTGGACATAGTCTGACTTCCCTGCCACCTGTATCTGCAGGAAGATGCTTTATGATCGCTGTGTTCCTATGCCACTCCAGTAGCAACATCAATCTGCTTCTGCTCATTGTACAAACATTTGCTGAGTGCCTACTGTGCCTCAGACGGTGTGCTAAGTGCTGAGGTTGGATATAAATAAATTATGATTCTTACTGTTATCTACGAATAGTTAACCTCAGAACATTTACCTACTCTCCAGCCAGGAAATTCATGCTGAATCTCAAATATGCCCTTTCTGGTGTTAGGTTACACCTGTTCCCTAGTTCTGCAACATCTGTGTAATGTTTGTGTGTTGTTTATCTCTAGACCTCGTAAGCCCAAAGCTGTTCTTTCCGAGTGGCATAGGATCGTATCTCCCCAATCACTAGCATTTCTCCAAACTAAAAAATCTGGGTGATATCATTTTAATTCTTCCTCTTTCCAGGTATGAGGATGAATGCTCTCAGTTTCCTGTGGACAGTGCCTCTCAGGCACCTCTGGATCTTTTCAGGTAGGCCCACGGTCACCCTGGCTGCACTGCTTAGCGGGGATGGGAGTCACTCCTGCCTGCGCTTGTGCCTCCAGCTTCTCCCGCTTTAGCTCCTGCTCTGCGGGGCTGCCAGGCTGATTTTCCCCCCAACTAATCCGACCCCACAGCTGAGCATCCCCCTTGCTCCGGATTTCCTCCACACTGAGGTGTGCAGCCTAGATCACATTATCACATGCTCACACGGTGCCTGTGCTGATCCCCTCAGTGGCTGAGATGTACCTCAGGTATCAGTGACACGATTTTAATGAAGGCAGCTTCTGTTCTCAATGAGAAGGATTTGGAAATTAGTTCCATCAGATATGTGGCAAAGGCTGCCTTCTACAACAGGAAAGGGCAGGCAGGAAAGTTGGTGGCAGAGTGTCTCTCAGGCGCTCCCATGGCAGGAGGGATAAAGCTGAGTCCCTTAGGCGTGCACTCCCTTCTGCTGATGGCATCTGGTTGGCAGAAGAAATGAGATACCCACCTTCTCAAATGGACAGAAGATACATAAACACCTTTTGTTTTTATAAACAGACAAGTGGCAGCTCGGAAATTTTTCTGTTTTCTCTCATTGCAAAATCAATACCCATCAGCAGTTTGAAATTAAAGGCAAGATTAGGCCTCAGTTTTATACATGCCTTATTGTCTTCCAAAAGCTTTCTACTCAGTCAGATAAATTTTCTTTAAGAGGATTAGGAAACTTTCATTATCTTTATCTAACCTGAACTAACACTATGTCTGAAAAATTAATCTATAGACTGGACAAAAGCTGATGCTGCTGGGAGAAGAACTCTGGGGCTTCTTTCTAACTGAGTAGTGGGGTCTCTACATCCACCCTCTGGTAATTCAACTGTCTTCCAAAGAAAGAGCAAGTCACTGGATCACTAAGCAAGAGGAAATAATTCAGCTTTCTGATCTCCTTCTCTGTGGCCTCTCAGTAAAGGTACAAACCAGCCTGCCAAGGATCCCAAGAGAATGTCCTCCCGAAGAGAAGATCTTCCCAAAGAGAAGCTTCTCCCCAAGAGAACGTCATCATCAAGAGAAACTCCTCCCCAAGAGAAGATCCTCCCCAAGAGAATGTCCTCCCCAAAGGAATGTCATCCCCAAAAGAAGATCTTCCCCAAGAGAAGCACTTCCCCAAGGGAAGCTCCTCCCCAAGAGAAGCTCTTCCCCAAGAGAAGCTCCTCCCCAAGAGAAGCTCCTCCCCAAGAGAAGGTCCTCCCCAAAAGAACATCATCCCCAAGAGAAGCTCCTCCTCAAGAGAAGCTCCTCCCCAAGAGAAGCTCCTCCCCAAGAGAACATCATCTCCAAGAGAAGATCTTCCCCAAGAGAATGTCCTCCCCAAAGGAATGTCATCCCCAAAAGAAGATCTTCCCCAAGAGAAGCTCTTCCCCAAGAGACGCTCCTCCCCAAGATAAGCTCCTCCCCAAGAGAACATCATCCCCAAGAGAAGCTCTTCCCCAAGAGAAGCTCCTCCCCAAAAGAATATCCTCCCCTCCCACCCCCACCCATCCTGACTGCCTCTGGACTTCCCAGGCCACCTCAGAGGGCTGGAGCCAGAGAGTAGCTTGGCCTGGAATGCGGAGACTGAGGAGCTGACCTCTGAAATAGATGCCATGCTGTCCTTAGACTTTTTCTGACCTGAAGCTTGGAGGTCCACAGGGAGACCCCACAGGCTGCCACATCCCACCCAAGGGATCGCTCAGCATGTGTTATGGAGAACATCCTTCTCTGTTGCTCAGCCCCCAGCCCATTATGTTGTGCATTGACTTTGATTTGCTTATATCATCTATCTTCGTTCTTGAAAAGGGATAGGCTTGCTCTGTTTGAGTCTGTTTCTCTACAGTGCCTGACAGTTCTTTTTTATTTCGGTGCCACATTTCCTGAATTTGAAAATAACTTTGCTGTCAAGGCCACAGAGGTGCCACTGAGGTGGCACTTCCGATGCCGAGAATGTCAGCTCCTCTGGAACCAAGCCCAGGTGCAGGCAGGTGGGGTAGTGAGAGCTCACAGTCTTTTGTTTTCTACACCCTCAGAAACGTTCAACAGATAGCCCAGCTCATCTCCGATGACTGATCTCACCAAGTGCCTCTGTCGTCCTCTGAGGAGAAGTATCAGATGTGACAGTTGTCTTGATCTCCAGATGGCAGGCAGTCTTGTCACTCCAGAGCTGTGGGTGGACGTGTATGGAGAGTGGAAACCCGCAGCATCTGTAGATGTCTGTCGGATGGCGTGTGTGAACGCCTGAAAGCACGCGAGGAGGGGAGCAGGGCTTGGAGGCTGGGCAGGAGCAAAGCTTCAGGCAGCATGGCAGTGCCAAGGACTGCTGGGGAACAGCAGTGACAGCAGACAGCTCTCTGGCCCCACACATGCCATTACAAATGGCTACAGAGGCAGGCCTGGCTGCTTGCGCCAAAAGGAAAGAATGGGCAACCTGAATCATGCAAGTGACTGAAGCATGAATAGACAGCCCCCACGCAACCTCTCTCTAGGAAACCAATTGAAATGAGCAACATCGTGGTCCTTTTTTTTTTTTTTTTTAAATCAGAGATGAGGAATCTATCTTAGCTAAGCAAGGATGCCATACACATTTCACAAACTAAAAAAAAAAAAAAAATTCTGTTGGATCTATGACAGATGGGATCTGATAAAAGGCAGATGCTAAAGACTAAATCACACATAGGGACCCTTTCTGAGAGCTCACTGTGTTTCCTCAAGATATCTGCAAACGAGGCTCTGAAAGAAGTCCACCCGAACCTTTCATTTGGTGGAGGAAGGATGCATCACTGGCTGACGGAACTAATGTGCTTACAACTTCATTCCTGCCGTGAGCCAACACCTGACAGAAATGGCTTTACATGGTGATGATAGTTGGGGTCAAGTTCAAAATAAGTTCATTTGGATTGCTGCCTTGCTTTAAAATGGTTCTCAAATTCTTGGAACTGCTATCTGCATGTGTTTTTAATTCTTAATATTTAATATCTGAGAATCTGACATTTCTTCAGCCCCATTTTTGAGGTGTAATATGAAATTTAAATTAAAAACTATTTTAAAATGCACGTGACACAATTCCTGGGCTATGTCGATTCAAGTTTTTAAAGGAGAATGGAAGAAGATGCTAAGTCTTCCTTCCTCCTTCTCCCTTTTTAAAATTGTCTGAATTTATTACTAACATTAACCTGCAGATATCATTCTGACTAATATCCCTCTTGGATCTGGACTTCATTGTCTGGCTATGAGAGAGTGTTTAAAGACAGCAGCAATGCCAGGGAGGACCTGCCTAAACAGCACTCAGAGACCCCTCCAGAGCATGCATGACCAGCAACTGTGCGAAAACAGTCATGTCACGTAGTTTCTCATTGGCATTATTCGTCTTTTATCATGAAATAAGCCTATAAGAGAATTAAAAGGCACTGAGAGTAGTACTGTATTTATCTATGTTTGCATGTATCTCACTCCAGCTCCAGAGTGCTAAGTAACTTACGAGAGCTCAATACGAGTGCATGTTACACAACGTATTGATGAGAACAGAAGGACTAGAGATAACATTTAGAAACTTTGAGAAGATATTCAGCACTTAGTTAAGTACCCATTCGATGGGAAACATTCCAAGACATATAGTCAAACTCTGAATTCAGTAGAGGAAGATGACTTTTGTGTCTTCGCACACAGGTAGAACAAACACCAACACTGTTCTTCCCCTCCATCACTGACGGGAATGGCAACCCCAGATCCAGCTGGGACTTACCTTGCACTATTAGGTGAACCCGGGACGTTTTGGGATGATTGTCTGTCTGCACAGAGCAGGTGTACGGACCTTCGTCATACACATCCACATTTTGGATCATGATGCTGTACTGGGTTGGTGTATTGACCAGGATGATCACACGAGGGTCTATGGACCACTTGTCATTCCCAGCGTAGAGGATGGTGCTGCGGTTTAGCCAGGCCACCCGGGTTACCCGGTCATCTATGGTACACCTGCAGTGAGGCAGGGAGTGGTGGAGGGAGGAAGAAGGGAAAGAGAGAGAGTGGAGAGATTATATAATATGGTAAATAAGACGTTGCATTTTGAGGAGTAAATGAAACAACAAAACACAGTGCTAAAAGGAAACAATTATTGATGAAACTTCCTAAATATAAACTAAGAGTGACCAGAATCATCTTGAAGAACTGACAATACAAAATCATTTCTATTTGACTTCGAGACATATTATGTATCTTTGCCATCCATTTGCTTTCCCTGTTATTTTTTTCCCCATAGGCTTATATGAAAATCAGTTTATGTTTCTTGAGCACATTTACCACCTTGGGGAAGAAGTGGCCCAGGGGCACATGGGAGAGAGAGTGGATCAGCATTTCAAATAGGTCACAGATAACCCACAAAGCAAATACTTAACTTGTAGTTAATCAAAAATTGAACATATTTACCTCCAGACCTCCCTGGTGTTGGTAATCTCCTTATACCCCTAAGCAGCCGAAAGCCTGCAAACTACAATTTATAACATAGGTTGGTAAAATTCACCTTAGAAAGCCAACACTTCTTGAGGAAGTCAAAACTGCATCTTAGGACTTCAGGAGAGGAAAAAGAAAATTATCAGCAGAATCCCTGTTCCTCATACACTCCCTGTCCCATTGGGAGACAGAACAAGGCTATTATCAAAGCAGGGAACTGTGCAACACCTCTCACCTACTCTCCTTAACAATTCAAAGCTATGAACACAAACAAGGCCTGTGTGTCAGTGTGGATGACCTGCAGGCTGTCAGGTCTGATATAGGACTGAAAGTGTTGGACGTCTGCGCATGTGCCCAGGAACTGAGGACGTGGGAATGGAAGCATGAGGAAACAGAATGCTTTCTAAGTGTGGAGGCACACCCATCACTCCATGCTGCACATAGGAATGCACAAGGACAACCACTCTTGCCAATGTCCTGGCAGAGAGAGGAGGGACTTGAGTCCAGCACCTGCAGGTGAGGAGAACACGGGGAATAGGCATGGCCTTCCCTCACTGGATCTGACCTAACACTTGGGTGGCAGCAGTGATCCTTCAGGCAGGTCTCAGGAGATGGAAGGACCCCAGAGACACTGGCCACAGTGGAGATGTCAGGACCTGGCCAAGTGACCAGTCTCACCTGGCCTGCATGGCTCAGGGTCTCCAAGCACCAGAACCATGACCCTCTAGAATGGGGAAAGCACCTGATCTAGGGCGGTCCTCTCCCTGGTTGGTAGGAAGAATAAAAGCAATACCAGCTTCCGGTCACCCAGGCCTTTTTATGAGCTGGCCCATCTGCCCTTTAGCCGCTGAGAAGTTGGGTAGGGAGGGTGTTAGGCACTCTCACAATATTGCAGGAAGACATTGTTCTTTTCTAAATAAGCATGTGAACAATACAAAGTGAATAATGCATGTAAATAACACTAAGATGATACAGACCCATCTAACCATTCACTCCTCACCAATGCCCAGCACCCCATGGTGATTTGCTAGCAACTTGTTATATCTCAGTCTACATCTTACTCCTTATACACATGCATGAACTTGTATGAAGCTTGTGCTGATTTGCTTTCACCTGAAATAGAATCATACTCTAACATTCCAATGAAACTATTTTTTTTTATTTGACCACAGGCATCCCTTGCACACCAGCAGTTACAGACCTCAATCTGCATACTTTCTAGGTAAGCGAGTTTCCAGGGCCCAACTGCATTCACCAGTAGGACCTGATAATCTAGGTACCATCGAATGATTCTTTCACATCATTATAGAAATGTCATTGGTATAAAGAAAAAATGAAGTCATGTTATCTCCTCCACATCGTGAGGCATCTTGCTTCTTTTCCTGTTGCTTTCTTACTTCCATAGCATTTTTCTATTTCCCTTATGAAGACCTAATGGATCTTAAACGTTAATGGATCCTCCCTGCTCCCCACTTTCAAAGGCTTTTCTTGGGGAAAAAATATGATAAATTTATTCATTCTCAGTTGCAAATGACTGATAAGGGGAAATATGCAACCTTTCCTAAGGATAGGTGAATTTTCATAAAGGAGAAATCCCTGTTTGAAGAGCTCCTCCTAAAGAAAGTTCAAATAGTAGAATTCCAAAAATCAGCACACCTGGAATTAGATGCTAAATTGAGACAGAGTGAAGGGCGTGATGTTCCAGTCGCTTCTAGTTGTGTGGTCTTCTAGTCACCACACAACCCAAGTGACTAAGTGCAAACAAATATTGCTTTAATTTTGCTTAGTTATGTAACCCCTTGCACATTCTTAAGTTGCCATAAAAAATTGTAAGCTACAATTGAAAAGGATGATTTTTTTGGCCTTTAGAACATATTCACATTTAAAAATTTTTTTAAGTCACAAAATTCCTGTGTGTGTGTGTGTGTGTGTGTGTGTATTTGTTCAGTAGAATTTAAATATCACAGTGATTAACACTCCTGATTATCTGCTTTCAAAATTCAGGAACTAACTCTTTTTCTAAAAGTCATAACACGTGCATTGTTCCTTTTTAAACTGGAACTTGTTTTTCCACTATATATCTTCTGCAGAAAAATGTACTTTATGCTTGAAGGTCTTTTATTGATCACCTACCATATTTATTTGCAACCAAAAATATACAGAGATTGAAATTTAAATTTCTTTTATGTCCTATGACCATAAAACTTTAAGCAATAATATATTTCTTAAATGAATGATCATTACAAATATAAAATTGATAGAACATAAATATAGAGCACATTTCGTTAAGCAATAATTAAACATGAAAAAGCAAACTTACTAGAAATATAGCTTTTAATAAGAGGGATAGGCCCCTTTTTTTAAATGCCGTAGATAAATATCACTCACTGCTAGAATGAGATGGAGTTCAGGATCAATTCTATTCCTACTTTTGCTTTTAGAGAAACCTTGTTCACATAAGAAGATGGAAATGAAAATTGTGCATAGCAATGCCAACTCAATTATTTGAATGCTTTCCAAGATATATGCCAAAAATCACATAGTAATATAGCTTCAAAGATAATTTCAATGATCTCGCAGCTGACAAATCAATTAATTCCTCTTTCAATTTATTTTAATGCAATGAATTGGAAAATACCTGACTCGCAAAGGGGTTTATAACATGGCATCAAATTCATTCAATTTCTCAGTATCTGGAAAGTATATGATACCATTTTACCAGGCCTTATCAGATGGCTGCAAAAAGATGTTATTCTTTTACTGGAAGTGCCTTGTTTAACCCAATACACTCAGAAATGTTGGGAAAATACAAATACTGTTTATTTTAATATGCTAAATCACCGAGCCCTCTGTTAGGACATGTCTCATCTCCAAGTTCTAATTCTAAATGGAGAATGCACTAGTTTGCCATGAATCTGTTCCTGATGCAATCAGGTGCCATTGCCTTTAGTGCCCTGCTTTGCTTCTGTGGGAGTCTCCTTCAAGACTGATACCCTGCTCCATGACAGTCGGCTGATGGAGGTGACAAAGAAAGCCAAAGAAGTTTATCTCCTGGACGAAGTGTGAAGTGGGAGCTGTCAGAAGGGAGACACAGAATTACACTGCAACCTCAGGCACTTACTCAAGCAGATCAACTTTAGGGAATTTGAGATCTTTGAAGTGCATTTCCTGAATCCTATCGTTGTCCTTGTATAGGACCAACCACTTCAGGTTGAGGGTGCATAGAACCAGTGCAAGTGGCCACAGGCTTGAGTAAGGGTGGACTTTGAAAAAGGGCAATCCAAAACTACTCTGTGGGCCAGAACACACTGTCATTGCCCTAGCCACACAGCCCTTGGAAAGCCTGTGTGTCCCTTGGGTAATCCTCTCCCTGGTGAGTAGCCATGATCCGGTGTACTTGCTCTTGGACCTGGGCCTCCTTATGGGCCTGGAGTAGAAACAGAAAAGAGTAACTGAGTAAAAGCCATCTCTCTAAATGGGCAAAGATGGTTCACAAGTTTGTATGGTTCTCAGAACCTAACAACAGAGAAACTGAGGGAAACAATGAAATCAGTTGAGGAAAGTTATTTTCCTCATGATGTTGCTCTGCTTCAAAAGAAAATGTAGTTTCATGGCTTCATGCTTTCTTCCATCACCATAGGACTCTTCCATAGTCCCCTGAACAGCAGGAAAGAGAACTCAGGGAAGGACTTAAAAAGTTGGCTTGAGTGCTCTTCTAAACTCAGGCTCCTTCCCTGCTGTCTGTGGCCGTGTCCTGGACTCTCATTAACAAGAAGCACAGAGGGGAACACTTTTGAAGTTAAATAAGGGGGAGCCAAGAGGCAAGTTGAGGAAGGCTAATGACAACTTTCTGATGTCTTGGAAATTATTTCAGATATTTAAAATTCTTACATTCCAAGCTAACCCTACCTACTGATCCTTGATAAAACAGAACTCATTACAACTACATCACAAGTAACCTCTAAAATTATATATTGCTTGTACTGCACCAGGCATAGTTGTAAGAACTTTCAATATATCAAATCATTCTATCCTAATAACTACCCTTTGAGATGTGTTCTATTAATATTATATCCACATTTTACAGATGAGGAACCCAAGGCACAGATAAGAAAAAAGGAAAGCTATCTGGAAGACACTTGTACACATTCTTAACCTCTAGCCATGTGTGAGGAAAGAAGGTATAAATGAGAGTCTGGAAGAGCAAAGAAATGCCTGACAGACATCAGAAGGCAGAGATGTTTCTGAATATGTACCGTGGGGTTAAGATTCAGGGTCGTTTTGTTTTGTTTTCAGAGGAAGAGGTGAACTTAGGGAAATCCATGCCTTAAAGCAGTGGTTTTCAACCTTTTCTGTGCATCAAAAACAGATTGCTGAAGCCAGCCCCCAAAGAGCTTTTGGTTCATGGGTCTGGAGGGACCAAGAATGTGCATTTTCAACAAGTTCCCGGATACTGCGGCTCTGGGGACTCCTCCTGGAGAACCACTCACTGCCTTAAAGAAATGAGGCAAGTGACAGGTTGGAATTTTAATCAAAATAATCACTGAAAATTAAAATCAATTGGCTTTAACTTTTTTGTGTTCTTTACTTTTGTTTTTATATTTTGTCTTTGAAAATGCAAAAAAAAAAAAAAAAAGTGCCAAGATTCATTCAACAGATATGGAGTGAGTGCCTAAGGTGCATGAGATAACTTCCTAGGAGCTGAGAACACAGTAGGAACAGGCCGACAAAGTTCCTGCCCTATGAAACTACACCTAGTGAGAGACAAATAAAGTATGTATGTCTAGATATATTTGTTTCAGAAGGATACCTGGATAAAATAAAAGAAGGTAAGGAATGGAGAGTGTATCATGGGAACTGTGGATATATTTGGAACAGAATTCCCAAGAAATGCCCTTCCATGGCCTCATGCCAGACGTTGAATGGTTGAATGTTTATAACTCTAAAGTTGGGTGCAATAAGATGCATGTCCGAAAATTGTGTCTAACTTTACAATGAAATTCTCATCTCACATACAGGCACAGATAGCTGCAGGGACATTTAAGTGATCTGGGTAGTTGGAGAACAAGTCTTTTAAACCAGCCTCACAAATGGTGTCCTCATATATTGAGGACTTTGTACGTGTTCAAAGAATTGATAATTGATATTTTGATAAACTGAGAGTTAACTAGAAAATGCCTTTATGTTTCCTCCTTTGTTACGGTAATAATACCTAAAACAGGGTGCATACCTTTGTGTTTTAATTAGTAGACAATGGCAAATGTAGTTAAATCTCTAATTCAGACTCCATTCTCTTTGTAATATACGGATAATACCAAAGATCCTAGACTCTTCATAGAGCTTACATCACTGAATTTAATTATTTATACTCTCATGTGTTAAACTACGAATGTCACATGGATAGTAACCATATTCAGTATCACCAGCACCTCCCAGCCTCTACCCAGGAGCTAGTAGGTCATCAATACATATTTATAGTGATAAAAGGTGTAAGACAATGTTTTTCAAATGGGCATCAAAAGAACCCACATAAGGAGACTTATATGTGGGGACATATATGTGTCTTTCTGCAGGATAACTGAATCTATATCTTTATCTGTATCTACATAGACACACATAGAGTCCATGGGCTCTTTATGTATATTTTTCAATTTAGTGTTTTCATTTCTATTGTAATTGGGAGATGTATAATATAAACCTATGCTAGATGTGGTATGACAACAATTAAATTTAAATGTTCAGATTTGCACCTGTGTTCACCACACTGGCACATTGAGAAGTCCTTGCATCATATCAGGCTGATGACAAAAATACAGAGGTGACTGGCTTTGTCAGTGACGCCTTCCTACCAGCAAAAGCTGAATGATATGGGCTCCACTGTAGTAATGAAGGTTCCCAAGCGCTAGAATGAGCCACTGTGGAAGGAGAACTTCGTTATCACAGGATGAGCGTGGAACCCAGAAGGGCAGGCCTTACAGCAGTCAGTGCCACATCCACATTGCAACCTGGGATTTAATGTTGTTTTTTTTGTTTGTTTTTGTTTTTGTTTTTTGTTTTGAGACGGAGTCTCACTCTGTCGCCCAGGCTTGAGTGCAGTGACGCGATCTCGGCTCACTGCAAGCTCCGCCTCCCGGGTTCACGCCATTCTCCCGCCTCAGCTTCTGGAGTAGCTGGGATTACAGGCGCCCGCCACCACGCCCGGCTAATTTTTTGTATTTTTAGTAGAGAGGGGGTTTCACTGCGTTAGCCAGGATGGTCTCGATCTCCTGACCTCATGATCCGCCCGCCTCGGCCTCCCAAAGTGGATTTAATTTTAATAAAACATCATCTGTTCCATTAAGTTAATGTTCCAAGTTTAAATTTTAGTGGCTATATATGTGCATAACTTATAATTTCAGAAGTTACAGTCATATCAGAGTGTAAGCTTAAGGCATTTATACCTAGTTTTATGATTGCACATATATAAAGTTTTTTTTTAATAGTTACCACTGGAAATCCATGAAAATCTTGTCTCTCTTCCCATCCTTGACCCCTGCTTTTAAAGTGGTCTTCTATAGAGTACTCAATTTAAGAAATGCTGGGTGGAATTTTAAAGCCCGAAATGCATTTCTCTGAATTTACTTTTTTAATACATTCCCCCATATTATCTTGTAACTTTTTGGTTTTCCTTTTATCATTTGCCTTTTTCATAAATTGAGAGTTAATTGAATTTTTGCTAAGAAAAACCTGACTATGTATCCAAATATATTAATAATGCCAGTCCAAAAACTGGGAGGAAGACCTTGCTTTAATAAACTCATAAACCAGTGATAAATAATTTTTTAAGGGAAAGAAGAACAGGCAAGCCAAAATGAAATATTTTTAGATCAACTCCCAAGGTATTCTAAATTGCAAAAGCTGTTCTCCCAGGAGGCTTTAACTACTCATTTATTTCCTGAGTTACAAATAGAGCCAACTTCAGAGCATCAACAGGGACCCTAAATTATGTAAGGGAAAACTTTATGATTCAGATAGTTGGAAATGCAACGAGAGTAATCACTCTGCTAGAGCTAATATTTGCTGATAAGGTATTGGTTGAGAATGTATCTGAAAGCCTCTGCAGAAAAATGGTGAGGGATAAGAGCTACTTAAGGAGAGTACAGCACAAAAATATTTCAGTAGTGCAACGGGTTGACTTTGAAATCTGACATAACATGACATCTGCCACTCGCTGGAAAATTGGAAGACAGTGCCACACTAACACCAGCTGGAGGGGAGATGTCACATTAATACATAGGAAGGGTGCATGCCCACGTGTGTGTGCATGTGTATGTGTGTGTGGAGCGGGAGGGGAGGTTATGCAGAGAAAACACACTAATGCCTTCAACGTGAGGGCCTGCAACATGAGGACATAGAGTAGTGGAAACACAACCAAGGGAGGTTGCAGGCTTTCCTGAAAACAGCATCACCTGAGGCAGAAAATCAGCCACTGGATGATAATGTGCTGCACTTTCAGCCATGTCTGATGATAGATGAGTCCACCAGAAATTGCTCATTGTGTCCTGACGCAAACAAGGGGAATCTCTGGTCCCCACAAGCACAGTGAGGGCTCTACCTGAATGCAGAAAGCAATTTCTCACACCACGCAAGTGAGGCAACTGTGCTGACGGCAGCTCAGAACAGAGTATCTGATGCCGGGAAGGAAAATGAAAGGAGTGATTTATATGGAAAGATGGCTCCACAAAGAGGCAGAAATTGCTTACAACTACAGAAGTGGGGTTAAACTGCTTGGCTGTGGGAGGAGAGAGGAGGAGAATTCCTATCTTGGTAAAAGAAGTAAAGCGTAGGGTAGCGAAACACAATTATAAAAAGTAAGGGTGAGCAGAAAGGCCAGAGAAAGCTCTCTGAACAAAATAATGAATGATTGAGCTGGTTTCTTCCCAGGCTCCAAGTCACTCTATAAATCCACAGGGTATGTTGAGGAGATCACATTACTAGTTTCCCAAGAAGAGGTAGGCAAGGTTGAAATAAAAATAACAACAAAAAACATCTGAAAAGGCAATACCTGCTTTGAAGGTCCTTATGATCTCAGACAAATGATAGAACACAAGAGTATTACAAAGGCACCCTATCACATTCATGGATACAATAAAAAGTATACATCTGTCCATTTGTTTAACAAATATTTAGTAAGCACCTGCTAAGGACCAGACACTGTGTCAGGCCTTATAAATAGAACATTTAGGAGAGACGCCCCACCTCTACCTTCATGAAGCTCGCAGATTTGAGGTAGCAATATGCAATACACAAAGTCACAGAACACTGATACATGAGTACAAGCTGAATTAGGATGGTGTCTTCGTCCATTTCCATTACCATAAGGCTGGTAATTTATAAAGAAAAGAGGTTTACGTGGCTCACGGCTCTGCAGGCTGTAGAGGAGGCATGGCGCCACCATCTGCTTCTGGTGAGGGCCTCAGGAAGCTTCCAATCATAGCAGAAGGGAAAGGGGAGTTGGTATCACATGGCAAGAGAGGGAGCAAGAAAGACAGAGAGGAGATGCCAGGCTCTTAAACAACCAGCTCTCTTGTGAACTAACAGAGCCAGAAATCATTCCTCACTCATTACAGCCAGGAGGGCACCATATCATTCATGAGGAATCCACCCCCATGACCTAAACACCCCCAACCAAGCCCCACTCCAATCTTGGGGCTCACATTTCTAGATGAGGTTTGGAGAGAACACACATCCACACCATATCAGATGGTCATGTAGGGGTGGCATGGGCAAGACCTTACTCACACATGCAGTCTAGAGACTAGGCCACTCTGAAGAAGTAACATAATTGTTAGATTAACAGACAAATATCTAAAGCTGATAACTCAGAAGAAAAACTAGGTACAAGTATTGGGTACTGATAGAGTCTTAGATAGAAGGCAGGGCAGCCATGTGGGGTCTGGGATTGAGGTTGACTCAGGTAAGGAATGGAGTGGAAGCCAGAGTAGTCCAAGCGAGATAGACAAGGACATGGTTGTGTTCCACAGGGCTGCAGAGGTAGACATCTCCATGGTAAAATGTCTGCATAGGTTTAACTATAGGCCTGTATTTTATGAGAATAGGCTGGACTTCTTTTGGAGAATAGACTGTAGCAGGGCCAGAGGCAGAAAGAATAGTGAAGGGACCATTGCATCCCTATAGATGTGAGAGTACAGTCACATGATGAAAGGGTCTGCCGCTTAAGGAAGAGCTTGAGGGAGCTAGAGTGAAGGAAGGAGTCATCAGAGAATCAGGCATGAGATGTTGATGAAAAGTTTGCAGCCAACACTTTAACGAACTTTGATGTCAAAGTGGAGTGGGGAAAAGACACAGAGGTAGAGGCAATTAGGTTCTTCAAAGGGTTTTTGTTTTGCTTTTTTGTTGTTGCTTATTTGTTTTAAGAGTAGGAACACTTGGGAACTAATTAATTCATTTTGCAAATATTTACTGAATACCTATTGGGTGCTGGGATGTTTCTAACTTTTGTTAGCCTGCATATCACCTGTGCATCTTAATTCACTAAATCCGAGTGGGGACCATGGTCTGCATTTCCAACAAGCCCACATGCTGAGGACTTAATGAACTTTGAGTAGCCTGATTTTAGGCAGTAGAAACAAAACTGCATGAGACAAGGACCAGGCCTTCTTACATTGCAGTATGTAAGTATATATACTAATGAGAATGATCTTATCAATGGGAGCAAGTGCTAATGCAGGAGAAAGGGGATAACTGTCAGAGAAAAGTTACAGGGAAAGTGAGAAAACATTAGATATAAAGTATATGAAGGAAAGATGCTCTATCTGCTCTATAAGAGAAGAAAAAATAAGAGAAACCTGGGTGGCTTTGTGGATTCAGCTATGGGAAAGCCAGGAGGCAATCTTTTCTCCAAAGTGGAAGACTAAGTTATCAGTTGAAGGTAAATGGAAGAACAGAAGAAAGGGGATGAAGGATGCAAAAAAGTGAAATAACTATCGCAGAAAATGACATCAAAACTACTAGGGAACTATAGTGGGACTTATAGGCTATGTTGAGGTCCCATTTGTAGTTGGTGGTCAAGAATTTGTAGTGACAATATTCTGCTAGCTTTGAGAATATTCTCCAGCAATGCCTAGCTTCAGGCATAGAGAATGTAGATGATGGGTTTATCCCGTGTTGGAGTACGCCAAGTGAGCAACAGGGAGGAAGGCAAGGATTACAGGAATTACAAAATATTGAATAAAAATAGTGAAGATAGGAGGGGCTGACGGATACAGAGAATGTGGTAGGCTCAATGCATTAGAAGTCTTAATAAAGTCCTTGAGCAAATCAGCTGGAATGAAAGAAATTATACACGATGAAAAGTTGAAATAAGTGTGAAATGAGCAATAGTCACCCTTGTCAATGATGGGGATGTGAACTAACTTAGAGGCAAGTTGGTTCTTCTAAGTTCATATTGACAATATCAAGAATGATGATGAGAGCTGAGAGTTCTTTATGAGGTTTTGCGAAATGTATAAATCGAGCATTATAGAGATAATATTAATATATTGTGGTGTTCAGGAGAATGCCTGTCATTGGACAGATGTGGGCTCTGCCACTTACTAACACAGAGCACTAAGATAAGCATTTTGTTTAACCTCTCAGAATCTTCATTTGTGCATCTGTGAAGTGGGATGAACGTATTTTCCTCATGGCATTACACAGTGCTATTATGAGGACTGAAGAAAGTGATGCGTGTTGAGAATAGGAATTATACTTGGTAAATAGTGCCTGCTCTATTAGTACGAGCACTGTTGCCTCATCTGGACAAATATAATTCAAGCTCTATGATCTAAGAGTGCATGTGAGTTTAACCAAGTGATACTGAATCCGTTCGCATATCCTTTTCCAAGCAGTTCTGATGCCTTCTCCTTCTGTACTTCCAAATCTATAAAAACGGATATTGATGTGGTATTAATCAGAAATAACAAGAAATTTACATTTTTAGCATTACTAGCTAATCCTTCTAGGGCTGTTCCAGTCTACCTATAGATTCTCGTACTTCTAGTAACATTTTCTGTTTTTTCAAAAATGTCTTACTCTCCAGAAGTGTTCTATACTCAACCTACGTAGAATTCTGCAGTGGGATTTCATTTCCCTCTGAGGTTTATTTTCTCAGCTATAGCCACTGAGACAACTTTAACTTTTTATTTTGATCAGGCCTTTTTCACAGTGTGTTGACACAGTGGTTGATGGGCTGGTTTCTAGATTGATGTCCTGTGGTTGGTGAAATGCTGTATTTCTAAAAATACATAATTGGGAGATCAATCAACACAATTGTGCACACCTGAAGCAGAATTCAGTTGGCCCACAGGCCCCAATAGCTTAGGCACTAGTGTTGTCCTTTTCTTGGACAGCGTCAGTGTATAAACAGGATACTGCTCAGTCTAGAAGAACCATTCTCAAGCAGATTGAGGCATTCCTGAAGTCAGATGCCAACCATGTGTCAGCGCTGAAGGAGATGAGGGACATGGAGTGATGGGAATCAGATCACAGGTGAATGGGTTAAGGAGCTTCAGAGAAACACATCCAATTCCCTAAGGAGACATTCACTGCACAGATACTGCTGGGCACCATGGAAAAGGGAAAAGGGAAAATTATTCTAAGGGTCTTACTCCCAACCCAAGGTGACACCATTAGCTAGTGAAGCAGTTTTTTGGAGTCAGTAATGGGGCTGCATCTTAGGAAAGATGAGTAACCACAGATTTTAGCAAATGGTATCTCCACAGAAAAATGCACTGAGCAAGCTGCTCGGGTATTGTCATCTCTTCTTTTAGAGTCACAGTCTGGCTTTGGAACACCTTTATGTCCACCTTCTTCCATCGTGACTCACTTAAATGGTGGTGCTACAGTACAAGGCAAAGCCATTTCTGAAGCAATGAGCTTTTGGGTATAGAAGAAAAGTGT
Source organism: Homo sapiens (assembly GCF_000001405.40). Taxonomy (NCBI): domain Eukaryota; kingdom Metazoa; phylum Chordata; class Mammalia; order Primates; family Hominidae; genus Homo; species Homo sapiens. The sequence goes on from NC_000011.10 coordinate 132,669,734, forward strand.
CTTTTGAGGCAAGAATGATAAAAAGTCTCTTCTTTCCCAATATCCAGCCCCATTTTCCATCTTTCCCAATATCCAGCCCCTCTGGTCATCAGCAATGGTTTGGAGTTCCACGTAAAGTTGTAAAAGGCAATGAAGGTATAGCTCTCACACCTGCCTGCTTGTTATATAGAGCCTTTTAGGGAGCTACCCACTGACTAGTCAGGGATGCCTTAAGAAGCCACCCAGAACAATTCTTGTTATTTATTTGTCATCTGGCTCTGACTCTGCCCTCCCTTCCTCCACATCCTGAACAGCTTTAAAATTCAGCCTCCCAATTTTTTCATTATGCTTGGCAAAGAAGTGAGCAAGATGAAATTAAAATGTTTCCCAAGCACACACCATTTTAATTCCATTCAATAGATTATCCTGACATATTTACTCACGACCATGTCTGTCTCAGTATCATCCATGGAAAAGTATAAATTAAAATTTTAAATTAAAAGCAGAGAGTCTGGGGAGCTTGATATCTTTTTGAAGAATGGCGCAAGTCAGCCACAGGCTCCCGCACAACTATCGTGGGAGCAAAGACTTCGGCAGTGCAGAAATTACAGCCCACAGATTTCCCTACAAATACCTGCCTACATATAATGTACGGGATCACAGAATCCCACAGACGGGCAAGACCACAAAGGCCATTCTTCTTTCTCCAGAACTGTGCATAAACAAACCTCCTCCCCTTTTTGGTTCAAATGAAACTCACCCAGAACTGCTAAAGGACTGATTTATTTATGGAACCAAAAAATATACTGAAAATTGATTTGCTTTTATTCTGTCCATAAAATTTCTGTGTAGCATATGGGGTAAGATAATAAATATTTTAATAAGAAGTATATAAGTTCCAGTCACAGGTCTATAATTTACTAAACTCCTGATCCTCTGTGAATATCAGTTTTCTCATTTGGAAATAATATTTGTAAAAAAAACAAAAACTATAGATTGTAGTGAATATCCAAAGAAACTATTTTTTTTTAGCACTGTTGCCACAGTTCTGGAGCATAGTGAATAGTCAATAAATGTTTGCTATTATATTTACATAATTACTTACTACTAAAGAGTAATGATACCCCTCATGTTATAATGATCTTAACTTTTCCTAGTGTTCATCTCTCCATCTACACATACATCAGTTTTACAGTTTGGAAAATTAAGTAGGACATCCATCTCTTCCAATCACAACCCATAGACTGTGCTGCCTCAAGTTTAGAAAACAGAAATTGTGTGTGTTCAGGTGACTGTGGCTTAATGGCCAACTAGTAGGCCAGTAGCTTTCCTTGATTCATCCTGTGCCATCCTGAACAGATTACACATCTGAACAAAACCTTATTTGAGTTTTTAAAAATAAAACTCTCATGAAACAGACAGATGGGCAGGGACAGATGGCGGAGAAGGGATGGGAGGTGAAGTCTTCACCGTTCCTACAGCATTGCTCCTGTAGAATGTCAACTCTGCCTGTTTAAAAATATATGCTATATATTTTTAATAAGCCAATCATCTTTTCCAGAATAGTGGCTTATTTTATACAGATTATGCGAACTGTCTCTCCTAAAAAATAAAATAGAAGGCAGGCAAAACTCTTTCCTTGGGCCATGAAAAGCCCAGAGAGATATTCCCTGGAGGCAATAAAGCCACAGGGTTAACTTGCAAATGTTTCCAGTTCAGGCACCAAGAGTTGCTGCTTTTAATTTGTGTCACCTAGAAATCAGCACCACCAGATTGCTAATATGGGAGGAAGAGGGTATTCTTAGCTGCTGAGACTCTCTGAACTGCTCCGAGGCAACCAAAATAACAGGGAGTCTGACCCGAAGGTAACCTGAATTTCTCCAGCCTTCTCCATTTTACTCATATGTATGAAACAGCACTCAACATGTGGGCAAGACACTAAGAAAGACTGAGCTTGTGGGACTCTCTGTAGAGGAGGATCCTTCCATAGAAACTTGTAAGGGTTTAAGAAGCTCTGGCATGAAAACCCAAATTTTCATTATAAGTAGGGAAAGTCGAGTTTCCTTATCATGGATTTTAAATAAATAAGTTGAGAAAGAAAGAGAAGGAGAGAGAAAAGGAAGAAAAAAAAGAGAAAAAAGAAAACGAGAAGAAATAAATCTTTAGAAATGCATATGTAGAAAATGTATAATTTACTCTGTACTTTACAGCCAATACACCACCTTAATTGTGTTCTGCTCAAGTGACTATTGAAATTATTATGCACTTCCTCAGCACACTGACTACAGATTCCTGTTATTCTGTAATGATTCTTTTGTAACACTTCCCTATTTGGCACTCAACAGATCTGCTGTCTGTGCTCTTATAACTTGACCTCACATTGCCCTTGCCATCAGTCCAGCTGGGGTCTCTCATTCTCCTTTTCCTGCTCACACCTAGACTAGCACAAGTCCTACTTAGGCCACAGGTACAAAGAGAAGGGTCCCCTTCTACTCAAATTAACTGTGGGAAAGCAAAGCACAGCCTGGTTAAGCCCTCGGGGATTGCAGCAGAGTGGAGAATTACTCCTGTCTCAGTTCATTATAATGAATAATAAAGAAATACTTACATGTGCTTTTTAGTAAATTATTCGTCTTGTGCACTGAAGAATCAGGGCAGTAATACGCAAGGGAAACAACTAGTGCATTTGGGGTCCTAAAGTACTCAATCTAAAGCATTTTCAAAGACCATCTCCCACCTTCATTAAGCACTGAAGTAGTTGTGGATCTTGGAAAGAAGCGGCTTAAATCAAACACTTCCATCTCCCTCCTTGCTCTCTGTGTGTGGCTCCCTGTAAAGCTGATGCTATTTAAAACATATTTGTTATTTTAGCGTAGCTCCAAGTCTCTTGAAGCAACCGGAAAATCTCAGCAGGACCACCACTTTGCTGTCTGCAGCCATCATCAGGAGGTAATTAAGAGAGCGAGAATTGTTTCCAAACCAATAAAGCTCTTCCACGACCCTCTATTATCCCCATATTCACCCAGCCCCAACCCCTCTCTATTAACAGGAGATCCATTGATTCCTGTAGGAGACAACATATTTAGCTTGGTTCTTCACTGCTTCCTACTTGATTTCATTGTACTGTCATTTGTCCATGCTTAGGGGCCAACATATTGAGATGTTTTGAAAACCATCACTGATTGTTGTAATATCACCTTCATTCCAGGGTAAATGAACATGAGGAATGAAATATTTTGGGGCTTCAGATTTTGCTTCTCTAAGAAATAAGAGACTTTGCTCTTCTTAGGCCTTCATTTGTCAAGCTTAAAAAAAAATCCTAACACCATTTGACCTGTTGATACTTCTAAGTCATCAATGCATATTAGCAATAAGGTTAATGCTACACACCTTATTTGGTACAGTTTGCACAAGATGCTTGCCCCAAATGAGGTCTGGCACCATTCACTGATGAGTGGTATCGTCCTTCCTGACACAGCACAGTTAATGTCCGCTCATGACTTGGTCTTGTCCTTAGAACGCATGGGTGAAGATCAGAGGTGATGTTCATGAGCAAAACCAAACCAAACATAAAATGCATGATGATGATGATGATGATCGTGATGGTGGTGCAAACAGAGAAAAATAGATCACAGAGAGATGGAAGTGGGTGGGCCATTGGGGCATCAGACATGAGGAAAGTGTCTCTATGACTGTCCTCAAAACGCAAGGGAGAAACCAAGTGAGAGGACTATTTTCAGGAGTGAGAATCAAGAAGCCAAGCAATTGTTTTCAATGCTGTCACTGATGACCAAGAGACATTATTGAGCTCATCAACTGCACCCAGGTTGATTAGCTGTATTTATGCTCTGATAGGGTTGGGGCAGGGTTGGGAGGTGGAAAAAAGCCCTATTTTGAAAGGGGTCATTGGCTCCTCAGAGTTTGAGGAGAAAGCACTTTCTGTTTTGGTCATTGAGTATTGGAAACTACACTTCTGACAGGAAGAAACACGTATCTGTAACCATTTAGAACTCCACAGGGAGAATTTTTCCACCCATTTTTTCTCACCTTATGATGACTTGTCAAAACAGCAATCATAAATTTTCCCAGAAGCAGAATTGGGGCCAAAAACTGAATAGCAACTAGACAGCATGAATCCAAAGGGTAGTGGTCTCTGCCACTCTGTGAAGCTCCACTCTATCCCATTCCTTCCTTCCCTTTTCTCTCCTAACCCACTATTAGCAATTTACCCTGAGGCCTTCCTACTTCTGTACTACCCTGGTTCTACCTTTTTCCAATTGACCAGTACTATGAAAATGTATATTGAAAGCATATAGGCAGTGTATGGTTGAAGAGGCTCTTCAAAGTGTTTAGATAAAGCAGACAAGCTCTGACAAAGCTAGCTAATAAACCAGGCCAGGAGGTTTTTCCTTGAAGGTGGCTAATTAAGAACAAAGCAAACATACACTAACAGTCTCCTCTAGGCACTGCGTTCACCTCAGAAGAAATTTTACTATAAATCCAGAAAAGAAAACTTAGCATCACAGCAGAGCGGTCGAAGCAGAGAGAACTAGAGAGGCTTGCAGCTTTGCTGTGGGTGGAAGGGGCATCCAGGGAAAGGAAATCCAAAGCCTCTGAAACAGGAAGCATTTAAATCTGCAGGAAGCTGAGCCAAGCTCAACAGATGGCAGGAGAGGAAACCTGGCCTCACCATTGAAGGCTGAACTTTTTGGCAGGGTGAACAGCCCCAGTGAATAATCAGATTTATTTTGTGTTGTATTTTTTAAGTGGAAAGTTCGACTTGATCTCTTGACAAAAGAAAATGTCACCCAAAGTCTATGTGCACACTCCAAGAAACCCAAGGTGGGGTGGCACTTGTCTTATAAAATTAAATTAATTCAAAGACAACTTTTGGTGACTTTGAGGGTGGTGATAATGGCTGCTTTTTAATTAAAGTTTATTAAATTCTTAAGATCATAATACTTCTGAGTACAATTTTTCACATTATATAAGTGATTCAGGAAGCTTATGAAAAGGAGTATATTAAACCAACACAGAGCTCACTCTAAGGTGGAACAGGTAGGGTATTTGAAAGACCTTCTCATTGCTGAGTTGCAATATCCCTCTCTAAGGCACATCCACTGGTTCTAGTTCTTCCTTGTAGCAGAAATAAATCCAGTGCTGCTTCTTCATGGCAGTCCTTCATGAAGATGAAGAAAACTATATTATCCACTCTAAGTTATGTCATTTTGTGAATAAGCTTTTCCACTTACCGTTTTTAAATCAGCTACTATTCATATGTTCCTTGTTCACATGAGTAAATTTCCCTGTGTCATTAAATAGAATATCCTACAGAAAGACAGGCCATCTAGACAGGTGAGTCACATTAGGAAGCAACTAGAAGGTGCAATTCAGTGGTTCGGATTTTGCCATGCCTAGAAGTATGACAGCCCATATATATGTATGTGTGTGTGTGTGTGTGTGTGTGTGTATATATATATATATATAACTTTACATATATATATATAAAACGTTATATATGTATATATCTTTCATTGTGAATTTAAATAAAAACAAACTTATCTGCATATATAAAAGATTTCACTTTTATTTACAAAAATCTTGGAGACACAACCCCTCACACACAATGACACAATGTATAGCTCTTAATTACACCCTCGCCTCCCCTTTCTTATCCAGGAACACAAACATTTCTATTCAAAATTGTATTTAAGCTTGCAATATGCACAATTAGGTAAGAAGTGATATAAAAGGCACCCAGTTTGGAAAGAAACAATTAAAAATATGTCTCTGCGAATGAAATATCTTACATATAGAAAATCATAAGGATTCCACCAAAATAAAAAAACGCAAGTAGAATGAATAAAGAAATTTAGCAAGGTTGCAGAACACAAGATCAATATATAAAAATTAACTGTGTTTCTATACATTAGCAATGAAAAATCTGAAAATGAAGTTAAGAAATCAATTTCATTTACAATACAATCAAAATGAATAAAATATTTTAAACTACTTTTTACAAAAGAATTACAAAGCTTATGCTCTAAAAACAAAAGTGTTGAAATAAATTTGAAAAACCTAAGTATTAATAAATGGAAAATGGCCAACGCCCATGAATTGGACAATTTAATATTGTGAAGATGGTCATATTTCCCAAACTGTTCTACAGAGTCGATGCAGTCTTTATCAACATTTCAGCTGGCTTCTTGGCAGGAATTGACCAGCTGATTATAAAATTTACATAGAAATCCAAGGGACTCAGAACAGCCACACAATCTTGTAAAAGGAGAAAAAAGTTGGAGGAATCACACTTTCCAATGTTAAAGCTTACTAAAAAGCTACAGCAATTAAGTCAGTGTAGCACTGGCATAAAGATAAACATATAGATCAATGGAATAGAATTGAGAATTCAGAAATAAACTCTCACATTTAGAGTTGGTTGATTTTTGACAATAGTGCCAAGGCCATTGAATAGGGGAAATAATAGTATTTTAAAGAAATGGTGCTGGGACAGCTGGATGTCCACACACAATTGAATACAGCTGGAACTCTGTTTCATATCACATACAAAAAATAACTCAATATGTATCAAAACCCTAAAGGTAAAAGTTACAACTCTCTTAGAAGAAAACATAGACATAGTCTTTGGGACTGGATTAAGCAAATGGTTTCTTATATATAACACCTAAAGTATAAGCAACAAATAAAAAAATTGATAAATTGGATTTCATAAAAATTAACAACTTTTGTATTTCAAAGAGCACCAGTGAGAAAGTAAAAAAAAAATCTATAGAATGAGATAAAATATTTGCCAATTATATATCTGATAAGTGACTTGTTTCTTGAATATATAACTTAACACTTACAACTCAAGAACAACAAAAAATCCAGACAACCCAATTTAAAACAAAACTATCTGAATAGATATTTCTCAAAGATATATAAATGGCCAATAAGCACATGGAAGTAAGCTAATATTATTAATCATTAGTAATACATAAAGCCTTAATAAAATACCATTTTAGGCCCACTAGAGCAGCTATAATAAGAAAAAAAGAAAGAAAGAAAACAAACAAGAAAAAAAAAAAAAAAGAAAGAACGAGAAAAAAGAAGATAACTAGGGAGCAAGGCAAGGATGTCTCTTTGTACCACTACTTTTCAACGCTGTACTAAACAGCCTGGCTAATGCATTAAGACAAGAAAAAAAGCAAACTGATTAAGAAGAAAGAAACCAAACTGTCTTTGTTCACATATCACATTTGATATAATCATCTATGTAGAAAATATGAAATAAATGACCAAAAAATCCTTCCTGGACTAATAAGCAATTATAGCAAGGTTGCAGGATACAAAGTTAGTATATAAAAGTCAATCACTTTCATATATGCCCCCAAGAAATATGTGGAGACTGAAATTAAAAACACAGTACCATTGATATTAGCACTCCCAAAATGAGATACTTAGATATAAATCTAACAAAGTATGTGCAAGATTAATATAAGAAAAACTGTAAAACTGATGAACAAAATGAAAGATGAACCAACTAAATGAAGAGGTGTTCCATGTTCACAAACAGGAAGACTCAATATTGTCAAGATTTCAGTTCTTCTGAACTTTAGCTCTAGATTCAATGGAATTCCAATTAAAATCCCTGAAAGCTATGAAAGTTATTTTGTGGATATCGAGACACTGATTCTAAAGTTTATGTGGACAGGAAAAAGACCCAGAATAACCAACACAATATTGGAGTAAAATAATAAAGTTGGAGAACTGACAGTACCTGGCTTCAAGAATTACTATAAAGCTACACTAATCAAGACAGCATGTATTATTGGCCAAAGAATAGACTCCAAGTAAATGGGACAGAATAGAGAGCTTCCAAATAGATCTGTCTTCAGAGAGTCTACTGATCTTTTACAAAGGAGCAAAGACAATATAATTAAGATAGTCTTTTCAACAAATGCAACTGGTACAGCTTGATGTCCACATGAAAAAGAAAAAAGAAAAAGAATCTAGACACAGATCTTACACTTGTTTAAAAAATTAACTCAAAATGGAAAACAGATAAAACAAAAAATTCTAAATCTCCTGGATAAAAACAGGAGAAAATCTAGACAAACTTAGGTTTGGCAATGACTTTTTAAATAAAACAACAAAGGCACAATTCATGAAAGAAAGAATTGATACGCTGGATTTCATTAAAATTAAAAAATTCTGCTTTATAAAAGACACTGTCAAAAGAATTCAAAGAAACCACAGACTGGAAAAAATATCTGCAACAGACATCTCAGTTAAAGGGCTGTCATCCAAAATGTACAAAGAACTCCTAAAATTCAACAATATGAAAACAATTCATTTATAAAAGATGTCAAAGACCTTAATAGACACCTCACCAAAGAAGACATACAGATGGCAAGTAAGCATCTGAAAAGATGCTCCACATCATATATTATCAGGGAAATGCAAATTACAACAAGGAGATACCACTACACACCTATTAACCTGGCCAAAATCCAGAACACTGACAACAACAAATGGTGACAAGGATGTGGAGCAACAGGAACTCTCCTTCATTGCCGGTAGGAATGCAAAATGATATGGCCAATTTGAAAGATAGGTTGACAGTTTTGTACAAAATTAAACGTACTCTTACCTTATAATCCAACAAATGTCCTTTTTACTATTTTTCTAAAGGAGTTGAAAGTTTATGACCATGCAAAGACCTGCACACAGATGTTTACCGCAACTTTATTCATAACTACCTAAATTAGGAAGCAACTAAGAGGTTCTTCAGTAGGTGAGTGGATAAACTGCGTTACATCCAGACAACAGAATACTATTCAGTAGTAAAAAGAAATGAGCCACAAAAAGACATGTTGGTAACTTAAATGCATATTACTAAGTAAAATATGAATTTGAAAAGGCTACATATTGTATGATTCCAGCTACATGACATTCTAGAAAAGGAAAAACTACGGAAACAGAAAAACCATCAGTGGCTATTAGGGGTTGGGCGAGGGAGAGGTGAACAGGCAGAGCAATGGGGCTTACAGGATAGTTGAACTACTCTGTATAATACTAGCGTGGTGGCTCTATCTCATTACACATTTGTCTAAAACTATGAAATGTACAAAACCAAGAGTGAACCTTATTGTGAACTACACAGTCTGCCAGTGATGATGTGTCATTGTAGGTTCCTCAGCTGTAACAATGGCCCACTCCGGTGGGGGTGGTGATGATGGGGAGGCTCTGGGGGAGAGCAGGGGATGTGTGGGGACTCTGTATATTTCTCTCAATTTTACTGTGAACCTAAAACTGCTCTAAAAATAAATTCTATTAAGGCAGATATTAAAATATTTGACAATAAAAAAGAAAATATTAATGAAATAATTGTTGGCCAGGATGTGAAGAGATGGGAATCCTCAGGGACTGCTTGTGGGAATGCAAAACGAGGCAGCTGTGGTGGAAAACTGTGTCAGTTTCTCAGAAGTTGATCATGAGATACTATATGACTCAGTAAGTCTATTCCTAGATACATACACAGGAGAAATGAACACACGTCCACACAAAAACGTATACACAAATGTTCATAACAGCATTATTCATTATAGACAAAAAGGAAAAATAGCCCAAATGTTAACTGATGAATGGATGAATAAAATGTGGGTATATCCACATGGTGAAATATATTCAGCCATATATAAAGAATAAAGTAGTGATACATTCTCCAACGTGGATCAACCTTGAAAACACACTAAATGAAATAAGACAACAACAAAAGATCTCCTATTGTATGATTCCATTGATATGAACTGTTCAGAACAGGCAAATCTAAAAAGACAGAAAATAGTTGCTTGATTGCCTAAGATTGCGAAGGAAAGATGAGCAGGAAATGGGGAATGACTGTTAATAGGTATGGGATTAACCTGGAGGATGATGGAATTGTTCTAAAACTGATTGTGTAGATAGTTGTACAACTCTGCAAATATACGAAAAACAAACAAGGTGCACACTTTAAATGAGTAAAGTGTATGGCATGTAAATTATATCACAATAAAACTGTTACAAAAAGGGAGGAGTGTGCCTAATCCATGAAGGAGGATGTTAAAAGATATATTTGGTCTTCAGGTGATCAAAATTAATGCTATGATTATGGACGTGTGAGTGTGATTTGATGGTTATCCAAAGGAACTGTTTGTTGGAGACAGGTGGAGTGGTAGGTGATGTGCATTCTCAAAGAAGGACTTTTTAGTAGATGCAAGAGTAGAGAAGGTTTTATCTCAATTTATTCTTCAATTTTTTTTCTTTTGTGAATGCAAGATGCTTTATCAACCCACATGTATTCCAGAATGTGCTCAGGTCTACAGAGTGCAATTTCCCATGTCACTGTGGCAAATTCAGGTGCTGTGAACCATTCTGCTTTATTACTGGAGCTGAGTGGCCGTGATCAAGCCATTGTGCAATGCACCTGCCCCTCACCCAGTGCCTCAGGGTTGGACATCTGCTTTAATAACCCCAATTTATCATGGGATAAAACACCCACTTTATCATGGGCCCTCTCATCAACTCACATCCCCTCAGGTAACCTGTATATTTCAGTAGTGGTCTTCTCTGAGTCATCATCAGCATCACCAAGTATAAAGGAGTAACACAAAGGGCAGGAAATCTCTCCCAGATTGGAGAGAAACCCACCCCTTGAAGAAGTGCTAAAACATATCCTACCACATAGGCAGTTGTTCCCTTTGCCCACGTGAAGACAGATCTGATGCACTTTCCTCAGGGCTGAAGAATAAAAATTTCAGGTTCGGAACCTTCAAGAGAAAAAGGCCCTGGCTGCAGGCGCAGTCAAGTAAGAAGATGAGTGGAAGAGGGAGCTGGGGCGGCTGCGGCCACGCTACCTCAGCTGTAATTGTGATGATTCTTTATTCTTAATGCTAATTTTGAAGTTTTCCAAGGAATTATTTTACTTAGTGTCAACGATACAGATAACACTGTGGATAAGCTCTTTATATTCGAGCAGAGAAACTGGTCAGTGTCCTCTCTGGGGGCCTATTAGCCAGGCCCTAGCTTGAATCACTCTGGCGGTTGCATGCTGCCTTCATTAATGAGACTGACAAGCCGCTCCTGCATGTGAAGAATTCAGCAGCAGAAGACGCCTGTTGCCCTCATGCCCCAGTCAGTTTTCTCCCGCTCCAAACCCATGGCATCTTTTCTCAGGCAAGCATCGCGCAGCGTGGTGTTGGTGATGGTAAAGGGCCATGAAGCTGCTGAGTAATCTCCCAAACTAGCAGAACCCCTCCAGCCAAGAATGGCTGGCAGGCGGGGGTTGCCTTCCTAAGCCTGAAGGACAAGGCAACCAGAGGAGAGTGAGGCCACATGGTTGTCCCTCATGTTTTGACACTGCAGGACTTGTCTCCAAAATCTCATTTTCTGATAGTGATAGGGAGAGGAGGCAGGGAAATTCTAGGCAGAAAAGGGTGCGGTCCCTGGCAAGGGCCCCACCCTCAAGCCTGGAACTGCTGCCCACAGTAAGAACTTTACATCCCCATTTTCCCACTCAAATGTTGCCTTTTCCAAAACCATCCCTGGCCTGCCCTGCCCCCTGTCCTGTACCCATAAAATCCACTGACTTGACTGGCAGAGAGCAGAGAAGGGGAGAAGAGGAGAAGCAGCTGGATGTCGGAGACTGCAGTTCGACATGGGAGAGAAGCAGCTTGGCTTCATGGGGGACAGCTTGATGGCATTTTTTCAGAAAGGAGTCCAGTCAGGAACAACTGGACTCTGGGGGAAGATGACCTTCCTGCTCCATCTCCTCTCCAGCTCCCCTTCCCACTGAGAGCCTCTTTCACATCGGCAATAAAATCCTCCGCTTTCACCACCCTTCAGTTTGTTCCTGCAACCTCATTCCTCCGGGATGCCGGACAAGAACTCGGGTGTGGGTGCAAAAGATCACACTGATGCAGCCAGCCGTGGTGGCTCACACCTGTAATCCCAGCACTTTGGGAGGCCGAGGTGGGCAGATCACGAGGTCAGGAGATCGAGACCATCCTGGCTAACACGGTGAAACCCCGTCTCTACTAAAAATACAAAAAAATTAGCTGGGGTGGTGGCGGGCACCTGTATTCCCAGCTACTCAGGAGGCTGAGGCAGGAGAATGGCGTGAACCCGGGAGGTGGAGCTTGCAGTGAGCCGAGATCGCGCCACTGCACCCCAGCCTGGGCGACAGAGAGAGATTCCGTCTCAAAAAAAAAAAAAGTCACACTGATGCCCCACTGAGCTGTCTAACAATTAAGCCATCTGTGATGTGGCTGGCAAAGCTAAAGGAGCGCTGTAACACGTGCCCTCTGGGGCTTCAGGGGACTCAGGTATCCCCCCAGATGCTGCTGCATAGCTGCACGGAGTTTTGCTCCTGCCAGCACTCAAAAGCGCTCACCCACGCTCCTGCACCCTCTCACCTGAGTGCTCTCTCTCCCACAAGAGGTTGAGAGCTATGGGCTGGTAAGCAAGGCACCCTCGTCATGAGGCCTGGGAAGGCGTCAGGGAAAATTTCCTGTTTCAGTAGGTTTCTAACCTAAGCTGACAGAATCCCTAATAAAAGGCAGCAAAGACCACAAGAATTTATGTTTCTTAGAGGAAGGAAGGAGGCATGAAGAAAATTCTCTATCTCATTTATGTTTTATAACATATCATCTTTTAAAAAAACTCTTTTCCTTCTCTTTGTTTTTAACTGTTAAGATGCTAAAAGGGGGCCAGCCTCTTTCAAACCCTTGCTAAAAGGAATAGAATCTGAGTTAAGAGAGAACAATCATCTTTGGGACATTAATTAAGCACCCACACATGAGAAAGCCTGTTTAGAACCAAGGTCTGCTTATGGCAAACTCAAAGCAGTTTGTGCCCACAGGGCAATAAAGAGGCGATAAGGAGGCAATTAACCTCTCCTCTAGAGAGCAACCAGGGAGAGAATGGAGCAACCAGGGAGAGAACGGAGGACCGAGACCTGTGTAAAGGACCCATCTCAGCCATGAGTAAAAGTTGATCTCTCCTCAACAAGATCTTTCTCCCGTTACATAGATACTAATTTCTATTCTACCAGACTTCACAATGCGTGACCCTCTCTCACACTGTGACCCAAAGGTGTCATTCCCCTGCATGTGGAAGGTCTTTCACGCTCTCACTTGTCACCAGCAGGTGCCTTCTTCAAAAGGGTTTCTCACCATTCAAACTGGGTAATAGAGGCAAAATAATGTATTCAAGGCCAGTCAGAAGAATTAAGCCTCAAACTCATTTATAACATTCTCATTCTAGATTTTGATGTTCTTATGAGTTTAGCACACAACTTATATCTAAGTGGTTGAAGGAATTTTTATTTACTTTATGCTCTAATAGAGTATTAAAATACTTGTAAAAAATATAAAAGCAAGACCGAGTGTGGTGGCTCACACCCGTAATCCCAATAATTTGGGAAGTTGAGGCTGGAAGAGTTGGAGACCAGCCTGAGCAACACAGAGAGACTCTGTCGCTACATAAAAATTAAAAAATTAATCAGGCATAGTGGCGCATGCCTGTAGTCCCAGTTACTTACGAGGCTGAGGTAGGAGGATTGTTTGAGCCATGGTTGCGCCACTGCACTCCAGCCTGGGTGAGAGAGTGAGACTCTGTCTCAAAAAATAAAAAAGCAAAAGTTGACAGGTGCACTACTTTCTTAAGGAAAAACCTGGTTGATATGCTGCTCAGACTGGAAAAAGTAGATGATTTAGAGTCACAAAACCTAATATCAAGACCAAATCCTGCTACCTATCAAATGTATGACTTTTCGTAACTTAAATAACTTCTCTGAACCTCAATTTTCTCATTTTTAAAGTTGGGATGACACCATCTCAGACTGTGAGAATAAAATGAGAAGTTTGTAAAAGACATTTGCAAACCATAACTCATGCATTCAATTTGCTTATTACTACAGCCCAGTATTTCCAATTCTTCTCACTCCATCTTTAGAAAGCAGAATGTGCTGTCATTCAGAGTGATACTGATGCTGACTCATGGGTCAGGTTCAGCTATCCTTGTGTACATACAAAGCAGGTCTCAGAGGGACCTTGGGCAAGGGACCTTGGGAAAGTGGCTCTGAGTGAGTTTTGCCCTCTGTGAAATGATGGGATTGCATTGCATCATATCAAAGCTCCCTTTCAGTTTTAATATTCTATACCTCTAGCTACTATTAACAGGTACGTCATAATTTTGCCTCCCCGAGATGTCCCTTTCTGAATATTTGTCTCCAACTTTATACTTGTATTGACCCTTTTAGTATTAGCACAGACATTTGTTACACACCAAAAATACAATATTGTTTATGTTAAAAAATCCCTTTTGCAAATAAAGATGAGCAGTTCTAGGCTACACGATAATCGCTGATGAACTGAGAGATTAAAACTAAAGAACTTGACATACCTCTCCTTAATTAATTTATAATGCTTAATACCAATAACAATAATAAAGTTAGCTCCTGCTATACTAGTGGCTATTATAAATATATATGCTAGACACTGTATTCAGATTATTTGCATGAATTCTCTCAACATCTTTGAGATAGGCAACTTTATTTCCATTTTATAGGTTAGTAAATTGAGCCTCAGAAAGGTCGTGTGTCCCAGCAAATATAGTAAGTGGGAGAGCTAGTTTTGCTATAAAACTCATGCTTCACCCCTAATTCATATTACATCATATGATTCTAATATAAAGCAGAATATATTAATTGGCACATTAGCGTATTAAGCCATTTCCACAGAGGACACAGATACTAAATCTAAATTAAATTCCTTTGTTGGCTTTTATGGAGTTTAATATATATTTTTCTACCTCAATAGGACAAAAGGTTCCTAATCCTGTTATGAAAATAAATATTATAATTATAAAACCAATGGATTCATTAGCTTAACAAATATTTCTAGAGTGCCCAGGATGTGCTGAATATCATCTATACACAAAGAATTAATCAGCAGTGAAAAATGGACAAAAATCTTTGTTCTTGTGGAGCTTTGCTTTCTATATGCGTTTGTTCAAAAACCAACCAACAGACAGACAAATAAATAACTTTGCGGTCACTGTTGTAAGATGATCAATGTCTCTTCTGGGTTGATTTTCTTCACTTGAATTTCCTATTTGTCTTAAAGCTATATTTTAAAAAACAGTTTGGGCTCAATATTGGTACAGCTATTAGATATTTAAAAGTCAGCATCTCTTCTGTACCCACTAAAAGCTCTTTTATTAATCCACCTTCACCTAAATACTAAATTACCTGCAGAATGATTGTGTTTATGTAGAGCTTATTTTAAATTTGATATCAGGACTGATGCCTAAACCTGATTAAATTATGTATT
The DNA here is from genome assembly GCF_000001405.40 of Homo sapiens. Taxonomy (NCBI): domain Eukaryota; kingdom Metazoa; phylum Chordata; class Mammalia; order Primates; family Hominidae; genus Homo; species Homo sapiens. The sequence continues at coordinate 132,685,087 of NC_000011.10, forward strand.
GTCAATGTAACTTTTAAATGGCTATCTTTGGATTTGATTTGCTCTAAAAAGTACTCCTAATCAAGCTTTTTCTTGCCCTGTCATCTCCATGCCAATAGTCTATTGCAATAGACAAGCACTGGATTTTCCCTTTCCGTTTTTGTGGTCATTGGAATAGCTTTTCAGTGTGTCTGTATGATGTCAGTCTTAGTTGAATTCAGAATACATATGACATTTCTCCCTTGCTTCTTCAAGAGACCTAAAAATGTTGAGAGATTTGCTTTGGCTCCCTGAGTTCTTTGGAAATTAATCAGAACACTTCTTTATCAAGTTTTGAAGTCTGTAGCCTACATTTTCTTTGGTGCTATCATTTTTCATGACACACCGGGTCACGACATCCCAGTCTGGAGCCACCACTTCCTGTGGGGCAAGTTTCTCTTAGACAAGCTGCAAAAAACCACAAAGGAGAAGACACATGTTTTAAAATGAAATGTAGCAATCATCCTCTTTGGGAAGGAAACAGTAATTACATGTTTGAAGGAGTTATAATTGGATTTTATGTCTCCCTTTTTTTGATAGTTATTCAAGCTATGGAGTTAACACACTCCCCCCATCTTTTATTCAGTCAGTTTGAGAAAAGGAAGAAAGATTTATTTGTAATTATCAGAAATAAACACAGTTCCTGAGAAGTAAACACAAAGGAGTAGAACCTGGCTTGAATCCCACCTCGTTAAAGATGCAAATTAGAAACAGGTCATCGAAATGGGAGGTTTCACTAATCCTTTCTCAACAATGTAAATCACTAAATTAGCCCCCAGTTCAATGGCATCTGCAGTGTGTAACTTCGGGTTTAATACAAGGGATCCCAAAAGGAACAACAACGTCCTTTGGGCCTCTATTATTGTTCTGGTGGCATTTATTTTGAGTTGTGGGGCATGAGGCATGTTCACTTAATGCCTGCTCCCACCTGCTGTCATTGCATTGTCTGCCTCACCTATAGAGCTGTCCATTCCTTAATTCTAGTCCATCTGTGATCTCTCTCCAAACCTTCTGATCTATTTCCAGTTGATCAGCATCAGGCTGTCCTTCAGGTGCTGGCCCCAAGTTCCCCGAAGCAGATGTGTGCAGATCATCAATTCTAACTCAGACTGTGCAACTTGCCTTTGGGGGACATGACAATCCCAAATACAACAACATGAAAATGAGGACAGAAACCACAGTGCCTTGCCTCGGAAAATGGAGTTTTAACAATAATCTTCTAGGCTTTCTCAGTCATAATTGGCTAAATCCACGAAGGTCTGATCTGTCCTGTCCTCAAGAACTACCAAGGAAGATGGAGAACTCACTGCAGTCTACAGAAACTGACTGTATATTAACTTGCAAATAATGGAATCTGATTGATTCAATTGAAGAAATGCTTTTCTACTCTTCAAATCCCTTCTTCTCATGTAAAGTCCTTCCAAAACATCGTGCCTCTTATGCAAATAGTTTCAGTTTATGGCCAGCACATGGGTTCTCTGGAACCAAAGTATCAATGACCTCTCATTAGTCCAATTTCTTTACTGCTCAAAACACTTCTATAGGAGCATCTCCTATTCCCATTCCCCAGTGTCCTGAGAAGGTTCCTTAAGCTGTCCATTGACCCTAGGTTTCTAGGACTGTCAAAACTTTATATTTGTTTTTCCACGTGTTCTATTCTCCCACATTGATGTTTCGAATGCCCTATTCTGGACACATCACCCACAGATCCCCCAGGAGTGTTTTTGTCCCACTCACACCCCATTTTCAGTGTAAACACTCCTTCTTGATGGATATCAAAGAGAAAAGGCCGTGGCACAGAAAACCAGACCTATAAGCAGAATGTCTGGCTGCTGTGCTGGAAGATAGACACCCCTTCTGGACATCAGAGATATTTTTATGCTACTCAGCTGCCCCCTGAGATATTTCTAGCTAGCTGAAGTCACACAATATTGTAGGGTCATTTGGCAGAGACTATAACTAGTTCTATTTTAAATAAGATCTATAAATGTAGGCACTTGACAAACACTGAATAATAACAGGAAGAAAGACAATTCCCTCAGGAAATCGTGTTACTCTCTCATATGTATTACGGTTAGGAATTTTTCCACTCACCAGGGGACCAAATTTTTCTTGATTTAGCTTTATCCTATTAAGGTCAGTTTTGCCGTATTATGTTGTTTTGAATATGTTGATATATTCTGTTGATTTGAATGCTCTGCTCAAGACTTGGACTTCTATTTCTCAATCTATGGAGTTCATATAAACTGCTCTGCCTTAAGCTACATATATATATATATATATATATATATATATATATATATATATATATATATATATATATATTTAATCTGTATAGCAAGAAGTGCTGTAGCATTGATTTGCAATTTAAGATCCTTAACATAAATCCGATCTTCTTCTGCAAAACTTAAAACACAGCCTTTCCTCAGCATAGAAAATTATTTTTTAAAATATCTTTCTATTATATTCTTTTCTTTTTTAATCCCTCAAATACTCAGAGAATTAAAAGCAGAACTTGTATTTAAATGAGCTTCTTCCATCTTAATTTCACCATCTGAGGTCATATCATAGCATTTTCCATCTGAAAGCAACTCTCCTGTTTGTCACAAAATCAACTCCCAAATTGAAGTACTAAGTAACAAGTATTTAGAAAGTGATTTGATTCTTGTAATATCTCCAGTCTAATTTGCATCAGTCACTTTACTTTCTTTCTTTCTGCAACTGCTTCCATACTCACTGAAAAGTAGAGGGGTAGACTTTTTTAGAGCTAAATGTTTGGTATAAAACAGATATTCCACTAATTTGCTTTGCAAATTGGGCTCTCTGTGATTTACTATAGAATGCACTCCAGGAGACTTAAAAAATCTAGGGATAACTTGCTTTGCCATTCACACAAAGGCACTTAATCATTCTGGATGTTGCTGCTTCTATCCGGGAAATGACGATTCTATCACCTATTTCTTTAGCAGAAGGGACATTTGCTAGGATTCCTGCAAAAGCCCTTTTTGGATAACAAAACATGTACATTAATAATAATTCCGGCTTTTCTGTTTAGGAATCATGGTTTTTTTTTTTTATGATTCTTGCCGAAAATTAAACTTAAAAACAAACAAAAAACCCACATTCCCCTGTGTAGTCAAAACACAACATATTCTTCGCAAAGAAAAAGAAGTTGAATGGATGAGCATATTTTTCATCACTCATGCTCTTTGAACCGGCAGTAAATGACAAACATGAGGAGAAACAAGAGCACTAAACTGGTACCCGTAATCTAGTCCTGACCGACACTAGCTTGAGACATTGAGTGTGACCTTGGGAAATCAAAGAGCTTTCCTGGGCCTCAGTTATCCAATCTGAAATCCAGGATATTGGATGTGGTGGTTGCCAAGACCTCTCCAATTAAAGGCTGTAATTTAGAAATTGTCTTTTTTAACCTTTTTCAAGGAATGATAGTATATTCAATGCAGCCTGGAAATAATGATGGTATCACTGTTTTTGATGGAATTGGTACTGGATAACCTTACATTAAGTAGAACCAGGCTGCATTTTCAGCAAGAGAGCATATTATCTAATAGATACAAAATATAAAAATAGATTGGGAGGCCGAGGCGGGTGGATCATGAGGTCAGGAGATCGAGACCATCCTGGCTAACAAGGTGAAACCCCGTCTCTACTAAAAAAAAAAAATACAAAAAATTAGCCGGGCGCGGTGGCGGGCGCCTGTAGTCCCAGCTACTCGGGAGGCTGAGGCAGGAGAATGGCGTGAACCCGGGAAGCGGAGCTTGCAGTGAGCCGAGATTGCGCCACTGCAGTCCGCAGTCCGGCCTGGGCGACAGAGCGAGACTCCGTCTCAAAAAAAAAAAAAAAAAAAAAAAAAAAATAGAAAAGCTCCTTTTTGTGTATTTGAGAAACAAATTGTTAGTAAAATGAGCTGACTGTGCTCTTTGAGCCCCTGAGCTGCCTGCCCTGAGGATTACGTGTGACATGTAACAAATCCCGGGAATGCTGTTTCAGTCTGTGAGGCAGGGCTCCATAATTATTTTTAATACATTTCTAGGCTTGTTTTCAGAATATACAAAGAAAACATTCAATAATGTCATCTAAATTGTGAAGGGCAATTAGATTGTTACATTGGGATTTTCACTGGATTATGTGGTGAGGTTTCCTCACTTGGAATAAGGCCCTCCTTTGTTTTCTCATTGATTTAAAATGACAAGTTTATAAAGAGCAAAAATGTTTGGATGACTGACAGTTCAAATTTTGTGGTAAAGAGTAATGGTTTTGTTCTGAGGAATAGGGCAAAGACTCTCTCCGTGTATTGACAAAATTGTGATTCTAGAAGCCACACCAATCCCATTCCCAGCTAAGGGTATTAGAAAAGAAAAATGCCTGCAACCTTATCCACTGGTTCAAAAGTAGACTGTGTCACAGATAGCTTAGAAAAACATTTGTTTAGCTGTATTTTTGACTGAGATGGCTCAATGTCATAAATTGATATTTAACATCTCTGGAAGGTAGAGACGAGGTGTCATGAGGCAGGAAGAGCAGTACTGCACAGAATTTGATAACAGAGTCTGTGGAGTCAAAACACTGGCATTCCAACTCAGCCCTGCCATTTACTTACCTGTGAGATCTTATCCAAGTAGCTGAACCTTAAGAGGATCTTTATCTCATGAAATAAGCTTTGTAAAATACATCAATGGAAAGAATGGGGCAGATGCATTTTGCCACATGAAATATACCTTTATACCTTCTTTAAAAAGAAGTTAACAAAGAATTAAAATTTGCCTTGGACCATAAGTAATCATTTATAGGAAAAAAACTATGGGAGTGCTCATATCTAATGCTGAGAGAAAATGACTTACTTTATGTATGTAAACAGAAGCAACATTCTAAACAAGTTTCGTGGACCTTCTATGTGACAGTACTGGATCACACTGGCCCAAGGCTAAGAACATGAATCAAAATATAGGTTTAGATTTCACTTAGATCAGGTTCTTTGTCTTTTTCTTTTCTTTTTTGGCAGCGTCTTACTATGTTGCCCAGGTTGGCCTCAAACTCCTGGGTTCAAGTGGTCCTCCCACCTCAGTCTCACAAAGAGCTGGGGTTACAGGAGCCCATCACCATGCCTGGCCAAGCCAGGTTCTTAAACTTAACGTGCATCCGAGTCATCTGGAAGACCTATTAAAACAAGATTACTGGGTTTCATTCTAGAGCTTTTGAATCAGTATAGCTGAAGTGGGGCCAGAGTTAGAAAGTACATCTCTAACAAGATTAGATAATGCTTATGCTGCTGGTATGGTGAGCACACTTTGAAGACCACAATGCATTATCATCTCCGAGTGCCTATTTGTATAATAAAATCACTACTGGAGTGTGTCAAAGGAAAGCTGAGAGAGTTCACTGCATGAAGTGACTGGCATATTTCTTTCTCTCTGAGTACCAGTCTTAAGACAGAGGAAGAGAAATGGAATGGTTAACGTACCAAACCATTCTTTTTTCCTTCCACTGGTTATGAATACATCTATTCAGTCATTCATTCAAACATGGGATGTTTGAGTGTGTACGTGTGTGTGCTCATGCGTGTGTGCCTGCACAGGCATAGCAGTAGATTCTGGGTTACAGCATAAAAGGAGAGAAACCAAGATTATAGCATTGGGGTTAATAAAGCCTAAGAAAGAGGCAGGAACTCATTGCTCACCTCAAGCCTTACCCAGCAGGATTTCGGACTATTCTGTATGTGTTAGGTGGAAAGCAGCTTTCAGTTTAAAAGGAAATATCATAAGAAATTAAGAGATTCCATATAGAAAAGTGCAATTGTATAAAGAAAACATGCAAAATAGGCTTTACGAAACCTTTCAGGTTGACTCATTCTCTCATCAGACCACTAATAAGACCTAACATTGATCTTGCTCTTGCATAGAAGGCACATAGAAGGTGGAAGATGCTGTTCTACACATATTAGTCATTTTAGCCCCATGACAACCCTATGAAGTAGGTGCTAACATAGACCCCACTTAAATATAAGGAAACGGAGCCACAGATAATTTCTCCTTTGTTCTTAAGATTGCTTTATATATTAGATAATGTATACTTGAAAAACATTTGACTATGTGAATTGTGAGTGAATGGATGCATTCAATGGCAAGAAGATATTTTTGCTCACTGTTGATACCTCCTGACCTCCCATTGCATGGCTATTCACGGTCAAAACAGCTAGTGAGCCTCCTGACAGCTCTCTGAACTAGGTGAAGACTAGGTTAAAGCCATTGCAGAAAAATAATGGTCTCTTGGTTTTCACAAGATTGTCCAAGTCCTTATTTGCAATTGTGTCAACTTCTGTGTTATTTCTCCTACCAACTAACTCCATTTCCTTCCCAGTAGGGTAGCCTCTGCAGTGTCATAGGGCTTATATGTCATGCATTTTTAAAATGTAGGATAAAAGATGTTGAGTGTCAGCTACATGTGGAGTGTTGGCCTGGACCATCCAGTGACAGCACCTGGTGTACTCCCATGGGTAGTTTCAAGAATTCTGTGCCAACAACTCAAATTTTTTCATCCTGTTAGCAAATTGGATGCTATTAAATGGAGAACAAAAAGGCCTATGTCCATCCAGTTTCATTACCAAGTCTGATGAACATCTGATTATTGTCATGATTTAAATGTTCATCTACTCAGCATGAGAAGGAAACAGCATTTGAAACCATGTCTCTTCTTTTTCCAGAAATCCATTTTTATGCTTGTGACCAGCTTAGGGTACTATTTCACAGAGGGGACTTAGAAGTCTAAGCTCCAGTTGACAGTATCGACAGATTTGAGGGTGTTGATTAAGGGACTTGATATGGCAAAATACCCTCCTGGTTGCAACCTAGTGTTTGTAGAATCATAAGCTTGCAGAACACGTGCTTCAATCAGCTGGCTGTGTAAGAATTCAATCAGCGTTAATCTAACACAATGCAGCACCTGCTCCCCGACTGATTTCTAGTGTTCTTCAATCAAAAGCAGCAGAAGAAAAGCATCATTTATCGTAAGCAATGTTAGCAGACCTGAAAATTCAAGAACCTGAAGTTCAATAGGAAGATCAGGTTTGCCTTTTGCTTCTCTTCCTGTCATTGGTGATGCTACAGGAAAAAAAAAAAAAATGAGCTGTTGTTCACAAAGAAAGTGGGAGAAGGTTGGTGTGTCCAGCACTAAATTCACTCCATATAAAATGAGTGCTGTAATTAGGTGCTGGTAATTAACACTCGTTGCCATGCAGCTCATGCATCTATAGGATCAGGCATCTTTTGGGACTTGGCAGTTTTCCTCTAAGCTACAGCACTAAACAGAGAGGACAGATGACATTAGTAAGCTGTATTAAAGAGAACCTGACTATATTGCTCCATATTCAGTCTTAGATCCAAAGCCAGCTTGCCACTTTGGTGGAAAATTGATAAATCAATCACTTGCTGGAAAATTAATAAATCACCCAGGGGAGGTGCTTTCACTGCAATAGAAAATAAACCACAGAAACATTTTCCCTTCAAAATGTTGAGCTTCCGGAGGCAGGAACTAGTAAATCCTGTTCACAATTTCATCCCACGTGGTTAGAATGGTGTCTGGTTATAATAGGTGCTCCATGAATGTTTACTGAATAATAATTAAACAAAGCAAACATCACCAACATTTATGTGCAAAGATGTTCCCTACCACTCAAGTTCATGCCAAAATAAAAATTAAAATGTCCATTGGTCCTTGTATTGAAATTGATCATGAACCACCTTTTCCCACTGGCTTTAACAATTCCTCTAAATGGAAATAGCACAATTTTCCTAAAGCAGACACTTATTAAGAATGGAAATCATGCTTTGCAATTCAAACTCCCAACTTCATAGTACAATGCACAGTATTTGACTTGAGATAGAAAATGTGTGACTTACAAGTAAAGGAGAACTTGGTATCATTGGAGAATATGTCCTCAGTTCCTGGCTCTTTGCCCAGAAGGATTATTTTAGAGCAGGTTGAATTCTCTACTAATTATCTTCAAAACAGCTGGACTACTGGATAAACTCTATCTTAATGCACAGTACAAGAGCAAATAAGGATAATTAAACTTTGATTTCAGACGAGACTGACAAGGGGAGTGAGTGGAAGACTGTGCTCTAAGATTGAAGGCAGAGGAGACAGCATAGTTGTTACCTCATAAAACCCCCCTTCAGGACCAAAAAGTATGACCTATTGTTAATACATTGCAGCTAACTTTGATGAATGCCTACCTTAGCCTGATTATTTTATTTGCTTTGGGAAACACCTAATCAATTCCACTGGGGCCCTAAGTGATTTCAAACAAATTGTACAAACAACCCCTTGATTTCATCAGAAACATGCAGCTAACAGAATTAGCACCTAAACTTCCTGTGGGCAAAGGTAATAACATTCTCCAAATGAAGAATATATTAAAAAAGGAAAATTCAGCTTAAGGATGATGAAGCCATACTTCATGGTAAGTGTTCTGAAGCATTCTTGCCAAATGAGAAATCTGTAAATTACCTGGGTAAGCAATCAGCTCCAGATTATAATTGCCAATTTGAGAAAATTTTACCAACAATTAAGCAAAATCAAATAACCCATTTGAAGAAGTGGAGTGGTATAGGCCACCACCTTTTCCTTCTTGTTAAGGTTTGCTATAATTGGTTTTCATTTTCCTTTAGAAATTGAAATTCCTTTCTCTTTTATTGGGCTAGAAATAATCAAGGGCCACCACGGAGAGGTCCAGACACATCTGGACACGAGTCTCTGAGTGATTTGGTTTCAGTATGAAAATAGGAGTTATGTGACCCAGTAATAAGAATCTTAAACTCAAATGACAAAGAAACACGTGACCTATTTTTCTAGTTTATTATACCAGATTGGTTCCAGAAATTAGAATACAAACCACACTCTCTGCAGGATGACTGAGAGAGGCTCTGATTTCATGTTCTTCCTAAAACCTCTCACAGTTCTGCCATATCTAGCTATGAATCTTGGTGAAATCATTTAAACTCTTCAGAGCTTTCTTCTCCTAGAAAAAGAGTTTCGTTCTGTGAAATCAATGTCTTTTTTTTTTTTTTTTTTTTTTTTTTTTTTTTTTTTTTAAGACGGAATCTTCCTCTATCATCAGGCTGGAGTGCAGTGGCGCGATCTTGGCTCACTGCAATCTCCGCCTCCGGGGTTCAAGCGATTCCCCTGCCTCAGCCTCCCAAATAGCTGGGACTACTGGTGCGTGCCACCACGCCCGGCTAATTTTTTGTGTTTTAGTAGAGGTGAGGTTTCACCATGTTGGCCAGGATGCTCTTGATTTCCTGACCTCGTGATCTGCCCATCTCGGCCTCCCAAAGTGCTGGGATTATAGGCGTGAGCCACCGTGCCTGGCCAAGTCAATGTCTTTCTCTATAAATGTTTGATGAGTGCTTACTATGTGCCAGCTATTGTGCACAGTAAAGAAGATATAAAAAATGAACAACAACTTTGTGCTACATGCTGCCAGTTGCTTCCTATCTTCATGCTCCCCTTCTTTCTTCTAAGAGAACCTCAGAGCTGTTGAAGGTGGTGACTGCATAGATAAAACACATCTTTCTAGACTTTCTTGCAGCCAGAGGTGACCACGTGCCTCAATTCTGTCCAATAAGAAGAAGATGGGTATCTGCCCAAGGATCCCAGGACTTTGGAGTTTACAGATACCTATGCTGCAATTCTCCCCTTCCTTCCTTAGTTTTGTTCTGGTCTGTGGTGACAAAGGAAGGAACAAGCATTTTGAGACCAGGAAATGGCAAGACTTAGAAACTATAGACTACGTATGATAGAGAGAAAGGAAAGATGATACCTGCGACATTAATGGCATAAAAAATTATTGCCTAGCTCTGAAATGCATACCTTCAAAGATCTTTGTTGAGAAGAACGGACTCCTACTGGGTTCAAACACAGCATGTGCGTTTTATCACTTGCAGCCAAATACAACCTCAGCTGATGCAATGCTTCCGTGCCCTTGAGACACTTAGGGGGATTATAGGCACATATGCAAATTAATTAAAAGGATATGTGGTAAAGGTTATGAAAAATACGGAGAGAGAGTGAGAGACTGTTCATTGGAAGCACGGCCCCTTAGAACTTTGCCTGTCCATTTTGGGAGTTGGAGTCAAGTAAATGTTCCTGAAATACGATATGCTGCATAATCCTTGAATGATGGGTACTGTTAGTCTAGGGGGAAAGGCAGTGATGGTATGGTGTATTCTAGGCCAAATAAAAGCACAATGGAAGCCATGGAAGTGCGGGAGGCAGGAGCAGTATTATGGCAATGTGCAATTCAAAGTGAGCCCTGGGCAAGGAGGTGAAGGGCTGAGCATGAGAGCTTATATAACACATTAAGGAGCTTAACAATCCATCTTCAAAGGAGACAGATGCTGAGGGGTTTCATGACCAGGCTGAATAACTTCACTAGTCTGTGCTAGGCTTAGTTGATACATAGAAAAACAAGCTTAGTAGACCTGTGTGCACTGTATATTTATGTAATGACACAAAAGATGAGGGCAGCCAGCAGGACCTGAACTTGGAGATCTCACTAGACACATCTATTGGCGATTTCTTCTTCCTGACACCCACTACAATGACAGTAAAGGGGAAAATAAAAGGAATCATCACATAACATCAAAGAGCACAGGTGAGGGAGGATCAGCAGACAAGGACTTTCAAGAAAATCCTAGAAGTATGGAGAAAGATGAACAAGACACAAGGAAGCCACTCCTCAGGAGAGTGCTCTAGCACAAGTGTGAACTTGTCAGACAGAATTCGGAGTGGCTTGGAATTGAAGGCAGAGGTATGGAGGGCAGAAATGAGCAGTGGGGCCAACAACAGAGGATGAAATGGCAACTGCACCCACAAGTCAGTTCTTCCTCCAGCCCTTCCTGCACATCTCTTTGCACACAAAACACAGACAGCCCACTATTAACCCAGGCAAATAGAACAAATGGTTTCTTTTAAAAATAAATAAATAAATAAATAAGCTGCCAAGGAATTTGCCCCAGTTTAGCATTTGAGAATGCCCGACCCTAAAGTTTATTTCCATGTCTGTGTTAAGAAATGTGCCACCTGCCCATAAATGAGCTTAATCACATAAGCACCTAGATGCTTTAGCATTTATGGGAGAAACTCAGTAGGAAGAAGGATCTACATTTACAACATCACAGAAAGCCCACCCTAGCTATGATGAAATCCTATTCCAGTGCCTCACAAATATATATGACAATCACAAAATAAAACTAGTAAATTTTTTAGAAGGCTAAGATAAACAAAGAAAACTGGTCTCAGAAGAAACAGGGAACAGGAGAAAGTATTTTTTAAGCACCTCTAATTGGTATTCTTAGAGATTTAAGATGATACTATACCAATAAGATAAATAAATAGATACTATGTAGAAGTAATTGTCAGGGAAAAATAACAAGCCCATGGAATTAAAAATAATATTGTTGTATTAAAATAAAATTAATAGGCTACCCAGTAAAGCAGAGGAAATCTCTCAGAACTGGAGCAAGAAGACCATGATGGAAAGTATGTGTGAGGAAGCACTGCTCGTATCAGATAGGAACTATTGTATCACATACAACAAAACTTATGCAGAGACACACACACACACAGACACACATGAAGATGTAGTCAACCCAAAAAGTCCAACGCTGACCCATAAAACCTGCAGAATTAGAGAATGGAGAAAGTAGAGAAGAAATTACTTAGGAAATAGAAGAAAATGTTACCAACAAATTATAGGCTGAATACCAAACAGGATTAATGAAAAATGATTCATATACAGATACATCACTGTGAAATTTCCAAACACTAAGAATAAAGCAACATCGTGAACACTTCTAAACAAAAATAAATATATTTCCATGCTCATATGTATAGGTCCTATATAAAGGATTAGTCATCAGGACTGACAACAGTTGTCTTATTTTTGAATCATGGATGAAAAAAGCAAAATGTGGCAAAACTATTTTAAAATGAAAATTTCCCCGTTTCATTGAGGTATAATTGACAAAGAAAAATTGTGCATATTTAAGATGCACAACATGATGTTTTGATATATGTATACATTATGAAATGATTGCCACAGTCATGTTAATTAACATATCCATCACCTCACATAATTACCTTCTTTTTTTCTGGATATGGGAAGAGCATTTAAGAGATCTTCTAGCAAATTTCAAGTATGCGATACACTATTATTAACTACAGTCACAGTGCTGTACATTAGGTTTACAGAACTTAGTCATCCTGCATAACCAAAATGTTGTATCATTTGACAAACATCTCCCTGCTTCCCTCCTCCTCCAGTCCCTGACAATCACCATTCGACACTCTCTTTCTGTGAATTTAAATTTTTTTAGATTCTACATATAAGTGAGATCATGCAAAATTTTGTCTTCCTATGCCCGCTTTGTTTTACTTGGAATAATGCCCTCCAGGTCCATCCATGTTGTCACAGCCTTTATTATGGCTGAATAATATTCCATTGTATATTTTTATATAGAACACGTTCTTTATCCATTCACCCATCAGTGGATGCTTATGTGGATTCCATATCTTGGCTATTGTGCACAGTGTTGCAGTGAACATGGCAGTGCATATATCTCTTCACAATACTGATTTCATTTTGTTTTTTTCTTGAGACAAGGCCTCTCTCTCTGTTGCCCAGGCTGGAGTGCAGTGGTGTAATCATGGCTTACTGCAGCCTTGTCCTCCGGGGCTCAAGTAATCCTCTCACCTTAGCCTCCTTGAATAGCAGGGGACCACAGGCATGCATTACCACACCAGGTTAATTTTGTATTTTATTTTATATTAATTTATTTTATTTTATTTTCTATTTATTTATTTATTTATTTATTTATTTATTTATTTATTTATTTATTTATTGTAGAGATGGGATCTCTTCTTGTTGCCCTGGGCCCAAGTAATCCTTCTGTATCAGCCTCCCGAAGTGCTGGGATTACAGATGTGGGCTACCACACCCAGCCCTGATTTCAATTTTTGAGGGGGCATATACCCAGAAGTAAGATTGCTGGATCATTTGATAGTTCTCTTTTTAATTTTTTGAGGAACTTCCATACTGTTTCCACAATGGCTATACCAATTCAAATTTCCACCAACAGTGTACCAGGGTTCCCTTTTCTCCGCATCCTCTCCAACACTGATCTTTTGTCATGCTGACAACTGGCATTCTAATAGCTGTGAGATTATGTATGTTTGTGGTTTTGATTTGTATTTCCCTGATGATTAGTGATGTTGAGTTTTTTTAAATATACCTGTTGGTCAACTGTATGTCTTATTTTGAAAAATGTCCGTTCAGGTCCTTTGCCCATTTTTAATAAGGTTTTATTTTCTTGTCATTAAGTTGAGTTTGTATATATTTCGGATATTAATGCCTTCTCAGATATATGGTTTGCAAATATTTTCTCCCATTCTTTAGGCTGTCTCTTCACTCTGTTGATTATTTTATTTGCTGTATATGTCTTTTAGTTTGATGCAATTCCATTTGTTCATTTTTGTTTTTATTGCCTATGCTTTTGGGATCATATCCAAAAATCATTGCCCAGACCAATTTCAAGAATCTTTTTGATGGTTTTCTTCTTGTAGTTTTACAGTTTCAGGTCTTATGTTTAAGTCTTTAATCAATTTTTAGATGATTTTCATATATATATAGTTGGGTCCAAGTTCATTCTTCTGCATGTGAATATCCAATTTTTTCAATAAATTTTAGAATTGTTCTTTATATTTCTCTGAAAAAAAATGCCATTGATATTTTGATAAAGATTGCATTGAAATTGTAAATCGCTTTGGGTATTGCAGACATTTTAACAATATTAATTTTTCCAATTCAGGAACATGAGATATCTTTCCATTTATTCTTGTCATCTTTAATTTTTTTCATCAATCTCTTATAGTTTTCAGTGTACAAGTCTTTTACCTCCTGGTTAAATTTATTCCTAAGGTTTTTTTAATGCTATTGTAAATGGGACTGTTGTTTCAACTTCTTTTTGATAGGTTCTTATTAGTGTATGAAAATGCAACTGATATTTGTATGTTGATTTTTTATCCAGTAACTTTACTGAATTTATTAGTTCTAGCAGTTTGTTGGTGGAGGCTTTGGCATTTTCTATATTTAAGATTATGTCATCTGCAAACGGAGACAATTTTACTTCTTCTTTTCCAATTTGAAACTCTTTTATTTCTTTTCTTGTCTAATTGTTCAGGCTAAGACTTTCAACACTTTGTTAGATAAAAGAGATAGATGGACATCTTTGTCTTGTTCCTCTTCTTAGAAGATAAGCTTTCATCTCTTTACTATAGAATATGATGTTAGCTGTGGACTTGTCATATATGGACTTTATAATATTGAGGCACATTCGTTCTATAAATAACTTGCTCAGAGGGTTTATCATAAAACAATGTTGAATTTTGTCACCTTTTTTCTGAATCTGTTGATACGATCATATAACTTCTATCTTTCATTCTGTTAACGTAGTGCACCATAATTATTAATTTGCATATGTTGAACCATCCTTGCATGTTAGGAATAAATCCCACTTAAGTTATGATGTGTGACTCTTTTAATGTGCTATAAATTCAGTTGGCTAATATTTTGTTAAGGATTTATGCATTTATATTTATCAGGAATATTGGCCTATCTTTTTCTTTTCTTGTAGTATCCTTGTCTGGCTTTGGTATCTGGGGAATACTGGTCTCATAAAACTAGTTTGGAATTATTCCCTTCTTTTAAATTCTTTAAGAAAAATTTGAGGATTGACATTAATTATTTAGACATTTAGTATAATTCACCAGTGAAGCCATCAGATCTTGGGCTTTTCTTTTTTGGGAGTTATTTAATTTCTGATTCAATCCTTGTAATTGGCCTATTCAGATTTTCTATTTCTTCATGATTCATTCTTGATAAATTGTTCTTGGTTATTCAGTTCATTGGTGTATAATTGTTCATAGTAGTCTCTTATGATCTTTTGTGTTTCTGTAAACTGTATTGTGTACTCTTTGATTTATAAATTTTTTTATTTCAGTCTTCTCTTTTTTTTCTTAGTCTAGCTAAAGGTTAGTCACTCTTGTTTGTCCTTTTAAAAAACAACTCTGTTTTAAATTGTTTATTGTTTTCAGTCTTTATTTATTTCTGTTCTAATCTTCATTAATTACTTTCTTCTGCTAATTTTGGGCTTTGTTTGATCTTTTTTTCTAGTACCTATAGGCATAAAGCTAGGTGCTTATCTGAGATTTTTTTCCCTCTAATATAGGTGTTTGTTGCTATAATATCTCCACTTGAAGCTGTTTTTGCTGCATCCCTTAAGTTTTGGTATGTTGTGCTTTCATTTTTGTTTGTCTCAGATTTTTAAAAAATATCCTTTTGATTTCTTCTTTGACCCCTCGTGGTTCAGTAATGTGTTGTAAAATTTCCAAATATTTGTGAGTTTTCCAATATTCCTCCTATTATCAATCTCTAGTTTTGCACCATTGTGGTCAGAAGAGGAACTTGATAGAATTTTAAACTTCTTAAATTTGTTAAGACTTATTTTGTGGTTGAACATATAATCTGTCGTGGGGAATATTCCATGTGTGCTTGGAAACAGTGTGCGTTCTGCTGCTGATGGATGAAATGTTCTGTATGTGTCTGTTAGGTCTATTTTGGCTTACAGCGTTGTTAAAGTGCATATTTCCTTATTGAAATTCTGTCTGGATGATCTATCTATCGTTGAAAATAATGTATTCAAGTCCCTTACTATTACTGTATTGTTATCTATTTTGCTCTTTCATTCTGCTAATGTTTGCTTTACATATTTAGGTTCCCCTGTATTGAGTGCCTATATATTTACAATTGTTGTATCTTCTTGATGAACTGAACTCTTTATTGTCATTATATAGTGACCATTTTTGTATTAGTCTGTTCTCACACTGCTAATAAAGACATACCCAAGACTGGGTAATGTATAAAGGAAAGAGGTTTAATGGACTCATAGTTCAGCATAGCTGGGGAAGCCTTACAATCATGGTGGAAGACAAAGGAGAAGCAAAGGCACATCTTACATGTTGGCAGGCAAGAGAGCTAGTGCAGGAGAACTCTGGTTTATAAAACCATCAGATCTCATGAGACTTATTCACAGTATGGGGGAAATTGACCCCATGATTCAATTATCTCTGCCTGGCCCCACCCTTGACACATGGGACTTATTGCAATTCAAGGTGAGATTTCAGTGTAGAGGCACAGCCAAACCATATCAATGACCATTTTTGTCTCTTATGACAGGCTTTTACTTAAAGTCTATTTCTGTTGGTTAAAGTATAGCCACACCTGCTTCCTTTTGATTCCCATTTATACAAAATATCTTTGCCTATCCTTTCACTTTCAGCCTATGTTTGTCTTTAATCTAAAGTGAGGTCCTTGTTGACAGCAAATAGTTGGACCAGTTTTTTGTGTTTATGCTCTCAGCCACTCTATGTCTTTTGATTGGAGAATTTAATCCATTTAAATTTAATGTACTTATTTATAATGCATAATTTTCTGGTGTCATTTTGTTGTTTTCCAACTACTTTGTGGTTTCTTTTTTCCTTTCTTCCTCCCTTGCTGCCTTTCTTTGCAATTTGATGATTGTGTGTGTGTGTGTGTGTGTGTGTGTGTGTGTGGTGGTGGTGGGCGTGTGCTTTCCTTTTTTTTTTATCTTTTGTGTATCTACTATAGGTGTTTTTGTGATTAGCATAGGGCTTACATCAAAACATCTTGTAGTTATAACCGTCTACTTTAAGCTGATAAATCTTAATTTCAACCACATACGAAATTCTACACTTTAACTTCTTCCCTACATTTTGTGTTGATATCACAATTTACGTATTTTATAGTTTGTGTTCATCAGGAAATTATTATGGCTATAATTATTTTTAATAATCTTGTCTCTGAACTATTATACTAGAGTTAAAAGTTATTTACACACCACTCTTCTGTATTAGAGTATCCTGAATTTGAATATGTTCTTACCTTTAGAGTGACTTTTACATTGCACATATTTTCTTGCTGTAAGTTAGTGTTCTCTCATTCCAACTTGAAAAACTCCATTTGGCATTTATTGTAAGGCAGGTCTAGTGGTGATGAACTCCCTCAGTTTTTTGTTTGTCTAGGAAAATCTCCTTCATTTCTGAAAGACAATTTTTCTGGTATAATATTCTTGTTTAACGCTTCTTTCCCCCAGCACTTTGACTATATCACCCCATTCTTTCCTGGCTGCAAATCTGCTTAGAAATCTGCTGATAGTTTTATGGGAGTTGGGGGAGGGTTTCCATTGTATGTAACCAGTCACTTTTCTCTTGCTGCATTTAACGTTCTTTCTTTGTCTTTGACTTTTGAGAATTTGATTATAATGTGTCAAAGTGAAGATCTTTTATGTTTAGTCTATTTGGAGTTCTTTCATCTTCATGGATATGGATATTCATTTTCCTCTCCAGATTTGGGAAGTTTTTTGTCATTTTTCCCTTAAGCAAGTTTATTTCCCCTTTCTCTTTCTTTGCTCCTTCTGGAACACCTATAATGCTACATATTGGCTCACTCGATGGTGTCCCATAAGTCCCGTAGGCTTTTTCACTCTTTTTTTTTCTTTTTGTTCCTCTACTTCAAATGACATGACTTTGATCTTGCTGATTATTTCTTCTGCTTGATTGAGTCTACTGTCAATGCTTTATATGAAATTCTTCATTTCAGTCATTGTCTTCCACAGAAGCAGGATTTCTGTTTGGTTCTTTCTTTAATGGCTCTCATCTTTTTGTTAAACTTGTAATTTTGTTCATGTAGTGTTTTCCTAATTTTGTTTGGTTCTCTATCTGTTTTGTCTTCTAGATAACTGAGCTCTTTAAAGACAATTATTTTAAATTTTTTCAGGCAGTTCCTATATTTCCATTTCATTAGGCTAGGTTACACTCCTGCATTGCTTGACAACAAAGATATGTCCTGAGAAGTGTGTTGTTAGGTGATTTTGTTGTGCAAACATTATAGAGTATACTCACACAAGCCTAGGTAGTATAGCCTACTATACAACTAAGCTATATGGTATATAGTCTATTGCTCCTAGGCTATAGGCATGTTGTTATTTTGTATACTGTAGGCAATTGTAACACAAGGGTAAGTATTCATGTATCTAAATATATCTAAACATTAAAAAGGTACAGTAAAAATATGGTATTATAATCTTGTGGGACCACCTTTGCATATATGGGCCATGATTGACCAAAATGTTGCTGTCCAGTGTATGACTATACTGGTACTTTATTTTGTGCCTTTGGTGGCACCATGCTTCCCTGATATTTGCAATCCTTGTTGCCTGTACAAGAAGTACACATCTCTTCCGGTCTGTATAGACTGTCTTTGCCAGGGAAGTCATTTCCCACTCAGTCTGTCCAGAGATTCTGGTGGGCTGGTTGGTAGGGTCTACCAGTAGGCTTGCTGTTAGAGTTCTTGGGTGGAATGATCCGGTGCATATGTCAGTGAGCAAGCAGGCCTAGAGAGACTGATCTAAAGAGACTGACCTGGCACCTGGTCTGCAGAGAGCATACCTGGAGCCTGTGTCCACTGAGGGCAGGACTGGAACTTGGGTCCATGTGAGTAGGCCTGAAATCTGGGTCCACAGGGGTGGGCCTAAAGCCTGGGTCTTCAGGGGCTGTCCTGGTGTTAGGGCAGGCCTCAGCCTGAGTCCATGAATCTAGCCTGGTGCTGAGGCAGGCCTGGCATCTGGATTTGCAAGGATGGGCCTTGTTCTGATTCTATGAAGGTGACTTGGTACTGGGGTCCACGGAAGTAGACCTGGTGGCTGAGACCATGGTGGATGACTTGGAACCTGGATTTGCAGCAGTAGGCCTGGGACCTGAGTTTTTTGTTTGGTTGGTTTTTTTGCAGTCTACTTGGAAAGGCCTGTGTCCTGTGTCTGTTGGAGTTTGAAGCCACATGGACTAGTGTAGTCCTGGAGAAAACCTAGAGCCTGAGTCCACAGGAGCCAGTTTAGTGCTTGTGTCTACAGGAACCTAAAACTAAATTACTATATGCAATTAAAAGGGCCAAAAACAAAAAAGTATCAAATGGGCAAGCAAGGATTCAGAACATTTCTCTCTCTCATATTTTTTCTGAAGAAGTTACCTGAGAATGTACCAAAGAAAAATTAGGGTTAAAACAAAGAAGGTCTACCTACATTTAAATAAGAGTGAAAACAAAGAGGATGATATTGGATAAAAGAAATTATGGGATGAAACCAGTTTGTAAAGAAGTTTAAAGCCAGTAGCAGTAAGGCAGGTCTAGAAAGCAAGTAGTTTAGGTGAGAACTAGAAGCCAGTGGGCACTCCCAAAAAATGCCTTTGAGGGGAATAAATTAATTTCAGCATTGGAATGGAATAGGTAAATAAATGAAAGATATTACAGTTATATGAAAATGTATACATTTAGTTTCTCAGCAAGAAAAAAGAAATTTGTTTAGAAACTCTAAAATAAACAAAAGTAAGGTCAAAATATGGAGCAAAGTGAAATGTAGAATAAGTTTGAGCAATGGATGAACAGTAGGAAAAACAATTCATATCATCTAGATGGTAAGACTGTTTTTAATTCAAGTATTCAAGAAACTGTCACCCTAAGCCATTGAGAAATAGTCATTCTACAGAAAATACCATTTACAAAGCTGTAATGTAAATGCTTTTTATTGGCTTTAAGCCTTTATAATTGACTTAGAGACTAAATAATAAAGTAAAACATGGTTACAAAACAGAAGGTTAACATCAGTGGAAGTTAATGTTTAACCAATGGAGGTTGGGAGATGGAAGAGTGAAGTATGCAAACAAGGCTGGCTCAGTGCTGAGTTCCATTTTGTAAATGTTGAGTAAACAGATCTGGCTGAAAGTTAATCATACAGAACCAGCGAGTGTGTATTTATTTATTTTACTTGGTGCAGGTAGTACTTTGATTAAAAGGGGTGATATAGTTTGGATATGTGTCCCCACCCAAATATCTATTGAAATGTAATCCCCAGTGTTGGAGGTGGGGCCTGCTGGCAGCTGATTGGATCATGGGAGTGGATTTCTCACGGATGTTTCAGCCCCATCCCCTTGGTGCTGTTCTTGTGATGGTGAGTGAGTTCTCGGGAGTTCTGGTCGTTTAAAAGTGTGCGGCTGGCTGGGCACTGTGGTTCATGCCTGTCATCTGGGCACTTTGGGAGGCTGAGGCAGGCAGATCACTTGAGCTCAGGAGTTCAAGACCAGTCTGGGCAACATGGCAAAACCCCATGACTACAAAAAAAATAACAAATTCAGCTGGGTGTGGTGTCATGTGCCTGTAGTCCCAGCTACTAAGGTGGCTGAGGTGGAAGGATCTCTTGAGCCCAGGAGGCAGAGGGTGCAGTGAGCCCAGATTTGCCACTGCACACCAGCCTGAGCAACAGAGCCAGACCTGGTCTCAAAAAAAATAAAAAGTAAAAATAAAAATTGTACGGCAATTCCCCCCGCCCTTGCTCCTGCTTTTGCCGTGTGACATGCAAGCTCCCACTTGACCTTTCATCACGGTTGTAAGTTTCCAGAGGCACCCCTAGAAGCAGATGTTCATGCTGTACTTCTTCTAAAGCCTGCAGAACTGTGAACCTATTAAATCTTTTTTCTAATAAAGTACCCAGTCTCGGGTATTTCTTTTCTTTTTCGAGACAGTCTCACTCTGTCACCCAGGATGGAGTGCAGTGGCACAATCTCGGCCCACTGCAACCTCCACCTCCCGGGTTCAAGTGATTCTCCTGTCTTAGCCTCCTGAGTAGCTGGGATTACAGGCATGCACCACCACGCCCAGCTAATTTTTGTATCTTTAGTAAAGACGGGGTTTCACCATGTTGGCCAGGCTGGTCTCAAACTCCTGACCTCATGATCCACACACCTCGGCCTCCCAAAGTGCTGGGATTACAGGCATGAGCTACCGTGACCAGCCATCATGTATTTATTTATAGAATGCAGGAACGACCTAATACAAGGGGGAGCAAAGCTGAATGCATTGCAGATACTTGGCTAGAGTCAATCACTACGATGCCTATCCAGACTCCAAGTGCTTGTGTTTACAGGGACCTAAAACTAAATTACTATATGCAATTAAAAGGGCCAAAAAAGTGGATCAATTGTGTAGACAAGGACTCAGATCATTTCTCTCTCTCATATTTTTCTGAAGAAGTTACTTTCTGCCACCCCAACAAAGCTGGTGAAAAACTAGCAGAGGATAAGAATACAGGGTTCCACGACTCTCAGTTCTGATTCCCCCTACCAGGCACAACTGCACTTCCCTGCTTCTTGTAGAGATTTTTTAATGCTACTTCCTTGCCTTCTTCCTAGATGTTGAAATGATGTTGCCTGAAGAAAAGATGTGTTTGAGGAGAAGTGCAGAAGTCAACCCTCTGATTAAGAGGTAAAAGGTCTAAACCCACTTAGATGAGTTTACCCAATGTAGTAAAATTCCATTATGCGAGCCTCTCCTCTAACCCCCTACTACACCACGCCCCTAAGAGCCCCTATTTTACCTCTGCATAGGTTAGCACTCCCCCACCCTCTCAGAGGCCACTGAATGAAGTAAGTCAATTTGAGGTGTCTGACCCTGGTAAACTGGTAGTGTGCCCACATAACTGAATGAGTTCATCTAATTAGGGGTTTATTTGTTTGAGTTGTACATGAATATACCAAATTACATTATCAGATGATAGTCCTGTTTCTGATTTATTCCTTCTTTGTTCTTCAAGGCTTCGTACATCTAAGCAATTAACCTCTCAAAGAGCTGGAGAACACATAATTATCCTCATTTGTCTAAACGTCGCCAAGATGGCCGCCTTTCAATTAACCTTCTGGGGATGGAAGAAAGTTGGAGTGATATAGTGATCATTTTTAACCTTACTGTATGCTTTTTTAAAATGTAATTTAATTGAAATAGCCAGATGATAAAATAGTCAGATACTGTTTCCACAGGTAAAAGGATCAAGGGGGTTTTGAGGAAGAAAGGGCTTTGGAAAGTTGACAGAGCTAATAAAATAGATGATGCACTGTATGAGAGAGAAGTTAGGCAGAGCAATATACGGAACTGTATCAGTGAGCTTCAGAGCCAAGGCCCAATAGAATGCCAGGATGAGACGGCAACAAACACATATGCTCCAGCCTTTCATCAGCTCCAGCAGACCACAGGAGATCCAGGAGTAAATGATATTATTGCTCTAAGCAGAAACATTAAAGAAAAAGAAAGCAGCTAATGGTTATGGAATACCTAGTATGTGCCAGCACTCTGCTAGGCACTTTTGGTCCAGGATCCTATGGAACATATTTCAGTTATATGAGAATATAGCAAATGACATCTGCCCACTGACAATGAGAACAAAAATAGGGCATACAGATGAGGACTTCTAGTATAGACACATTATTACATTATCCAGGCACATGGCTGAGAAATGGTTCAAAGGGGCATTGTTTTAACCAACATGTAGAATTAGTTCACAAAATAAGATAAACTACCCTATTACAGCCATCACTAGCAGGCCTTATGGGTATTTCACTTACATATTCTCTGAGTGTCTGTGCATCTTTCAACTTGGATATGTACAAACATATTGCCCAGTAACTGATGAAGACTCAGATTGTGTTCAGTTCTGGGTAGCACTCTTTAAGAGTAATATCAATGAACAAGCATATTTACAGTAAACATATTATAGAAGAAATCATGAAAAAATTATAACCATTGAGCCTGAAAACAGTTCATTTGGGTCATATATGACAGTTCTCTCAAATGGAAAAAGAGTGTGTCACATAAAAGCAAAAGAAGAATTACTTAGAGGAAATGAGTAAAATCAATAGGTAGAATTTTCAGAATGATAAAAACTACAAATTTATATTTCACCAAAATTCAACTGTTGAGTTGTGTCATGTTGGAATTTGCCTCATGTTTTGAAGTAATATTATTTATAGTGTGCTTCTGCCGTGGTGATTATTTAAAGTGAGTGCTGAATGAGTATTTGTGTAAGAAGTACTAGAAAATGATTCCTATGCTGAATGGATAGACTGTAAAACTCTAGGTCTTTCTATTGTACAGTTATGTAACTATAACTCTATAACCTACAATCCTCACAATCACAGGGCTAATGAGTTTGCCTAGAGGAATTAACATTTTCTTTTTTTCCCAACATACATACACTTTCTTTCTTCTCTTTGTAATCCCCCAAATGTAAGGGAGTACCCTATTTGCACAGAAGTGTCAAGAATAATGGAAAGAAACTCTCAAATGTCAATAACACTTCCATATGTGGAGATCTTTCTAGTTAGGATGCAATTTGGGATGGAAGAACAATCCTTATTATTACTTTATACTCAGCTATAATCAAAGGGCTTCTATATTAACAAAAGAACTGAAAATCAGACCAAGTAGGTAACACAGGTCAAACGCCGCTGGATCCTTCTTACCCTATTGGTGTCATTAGAGTATAAGTGATTTACTCAGACTCTGATAGAAAGAACCAGAGAGATTAATATGATCTTTGCTCCTTGAGAAACACTGAAAGTTCATTAATTGGAGAAGGGAGTGAAGCTAAGAAATTTTCTCAGTGAATCAGAATAAAGCAGTTGCAGATAGCTCTAAAAATCAGACACAAACAATAAAATCTTTTCTTTACACATACATTATGGCTACCAGTGTCACCAGATATTAAACGATAATGAAAAAGGCTTAGCACTTTAACAAAATGATTTCTTGTTAAAGAATGCTCATTTCATACTGAGCATATTTAAATGGAATGGCCATCCCTCAGTCCCTTGTCTCAAGTTTTTTATTTTTAGTCTCATGGGTCACGGAGTTTCACTTTCTTTAAAAGAAGAAAGGCAGGTATTTAATAAACTTAAAGGGAATTTCACCAGTTGTCATTTCTCTTCTCTGGAATTTTCTGACAAGCTGTGCTCTAACCTCCTGTGGTGATATTCATCAATAATGCATAGCAGATAACCCGGTGCCTCCACCTACATTTGTGGAACACCTTTCACTTGCCTAATGGAAACATGTCAGCATACTGCGTGGTTTGTGATAAAAGTGCAGTCTTTCAAGCAGGCATTTTTTTCTTGTTCTTAAAAAAATGCCCAACTTTTTATTTTGAAATATTTTAGATTTATAGAAGAGTTGCAACGATAATACAGGGTGCTCCTGGATAGCTTTCACTTAACATCTTTAAAAACCATGGTACAATAATCAAAACTAAGATATGAACACTGGTGCAATATTATTAGCTAAACTGCAAACTTCATTATTTAGATTTCCTTAGTTTTTCCACTGATTTCCAGGACTCCATCCACCATCTCACAGTGCATTTAGTTGTCCTTTTTCCTAAATCTCCTCCAATCTGTAGTAGTGTCTTGGACTTTCCTAGTCCTTCATGACTTTGACTTTGAAGAGGAGTGACCAGGTATTCTGTAGCATGCCCCCCTGGTTTCGGATCACTTGGTTAAGGTGTTGTCCACCAGAATCCTCCACCGTAAAGTTACAGTTTTGCCCTTTCCATGCTCTATTCATGAGATGATAGCCACTAACTACAGCCCGCACTCAAAGGGAGGGAGATTAAGCTCCACCTCCAGGAGAGAGGGGCACCAAGGCTTTATGATTTGTTAAAACCAACACAATGATTGATACGCGTCAGAGGGGATTCGCTAAGACCGTGCGAATATCCTGCTTCTCTTTGATTTTTACCCCCTAATTTAAGCATTGGTCAGTGCCTCTTGCCTCTAGCACTGTCATTTTAAACAAAAGTTGACTTTCATGGGATACATAGATACATTTAATATTAGCTCAGTAAAGAAACAAATGTTTAGTGCTTACAAAATATCTGTAATACAGTTGGTAATCTAATAAATATTCCCCATTTATAATCTAAGTACACAAGTACATCGTAGTGGTTCTCCAACTCTGGTGTACGCTGGCGTCATATGTGGAGCTTCTGAAAAAGGCAAAGACCTGGGCCACAAATATTTCAGCTGAACATGTATTTCACGTAGAGCAAATTTAAGTGGACTAGAATCTGACGTAAATCAAAGGGTGAGAAACAGTTGTCTATTAGGAAGAATTCAGTTTTTTTCTCAGTTAAAAAAAAATCTATGATAGAATATAAAATAGCATAGTATGTCTACTTTAGGGTTTATGGTATTTTTTGGGATACAAGCTTCTTAAAAGTTGGAGTCATCCCATCTCTCAAATAATCAATAAGTAAAGTACCTATACTACAGTAAGCATAGTGGCATCCATTATAAAGGAGACACGATGATATGTAAGACATGACTGTGCCCAAAGTTGCTCATGATTTGGTTAGAAAGATGAAAACAATTAGTTGAACAATTGCCTATTAGTTGTCAAATGGTGAGCTTTCATATTGACTTTAAAAGTAAGTGAAGGCTGGGCACAGTGGCTCATGCCTGTAATCCCAGCACTTTGGGAGGCCAAGGCAGGTGGATCATTTGAGGCCAGGACTTTGAGACCAGCTTGGCCAACATGTATCTACTAAAAAATACAAAAAAAAAAAAAAAAATTAGCCAGGTGTTATGGTGTGTGCCTGTAGTTCCAGCTACTCAGGAGGCTGAGGTAGGAAAATTGCTTGAACATGGGAGGTGGAGGTTGCGGTGAGCTGAGATTGCACCATTGCACTCCAGCCTGGATGACAGAGACAGACTCCAACTCAAAAAAGAAAGAAAGAAAGAAAAAGGAAAAAAAGTGAAGAATCAAGAAAGGAGAGATGAGAGAGGGTAAGGGGTCTGGAGAGGTTTCATAGGGAACACACAGTGAAACATGGACTTTGCATGCTGTGGAGGAGGAAAGTTTAAGAAGAACCAAGGGCCTGAGTCAAAAGCTCCAGGCTGAATGCAGGAGACCAACGCCAGTGACAGAGACGTGGTGGGTGAACGAGACCTGCTTAGGAGGACAGCGAAAGCCCCAAATGCCATCTGAACTTAATGTGGGTAAAACAAAGGAACATCAGAGGAGTAGCCTAATGACAGGGATATTTTAAAAGTAAGCCCTTCTCTTACTGCTTTTGTCTCTTGATGAACCTTCATATGGTTCTCCGCAAGCGAGGACACTCAATTAATATCAGTGATGAACTGATGTGAAGACTAAAATGATCTTGGCAAATGGAAAAAATGGAAATAACCCAAAAGAATGACATTCAATAGGGCAAATGCAGGCAAGCGCAGTTAAAGAACAGATAGAACTGTCCAAAATATATCACAGGGATTGAATCCTGTGTTTAAGGATTGGAACGTTTTCCAGAACTTGACTCAAATTTAACATGAGTTGCGTGATTTTGATTCTCACACTTGCCCCTTGAACTAGTTATTTTATGTCCACTTACCTTTGAGGAAACTTAGGCTGGGCGAATATTAGTGTCTTTTCCAGGACAACATAGCTAGCAGTTGTCAGTGAGGTCTTTTGAGGTAGCATTCACTGTGAATTATCAAACCACATAGAACCATTGCGTGTGAGTGTGTATGTATGTATATGTGTGTGTATGATATTTTAGTATGTGTGTGTACATATACATGTGTGTGGTATACATATGGAAATACAGTGTACACACACATATATGGTGCATATGTATATATGTGTATGTGTGTACCTTACATATGCTATATGTGTGTACACAAGCACAGAGATCCTCCCTTCTCTTCCCTATTCCTTCCAATGTAATTCTTTCTTAAAATAATACAACACGCGTGCAATAATGGTATACACAAGGATTAACTTAAGGAGCAAATATTCAACTAAATAGAAACAACAGTTTGCCTCATTTTCATACGATTCCCCTGGCTCTCACAATTGGCAGAGCCTGCATGAAAGAACCTGGAAAGCTTCTATTGTTTGTAAAGTGTCTACCTGTCATATTCCCTCACCCTCTAAAGCCCCTGTCCCATAGGGTGGTGGCAGGAAGCCATTCCCAGAGAGGAGGAAGGGGTTGGTAGTACAGCTATATCTCACAGAAATGTACTGCAGAAAATGAGATTGGATGTTGTCGGCAATTGATTTGGTAGAGGCGAATGAGAAGATGAATGTAATTAGCGGAACTGCAGGCTACTCAGGACTTCAGCCTGGTTTTCTCAAAACCCATAAAATGCTCCACAGGTGCCCCCACCCTCCCCCACATCCTCCTCCCCCACAAGTGGTCTGATGCGAGCTTGCCCGTCTCTGTGGAGAGAATGAAGGTCGCCACTTAATAAGGCTCCCCCTCGGTGGAAGAGCTGTCACGGTGGAATTGTCTGTATTTATTTTAATAAAAGAAAGGTTTGGTTGCGATAGTGTCTGACACCGGGCACACTGTTTCTTTCTTTTTAGCCGTACAGTCTAATAAATATGTATCATTTCTAACAGAAAGTACTGGGTCAAACTCCCACCCCAAGAACATGGGATTAAGAAGACGCAGTGCCGGCTGTATTGCCAGCTCCGCGCCGCGTGTCAATAAAACTCTGAGGTTCATCACGTTTCATTCGCTGACAAGCGTGGCCTTCCAATTCATCTCTGAGCTGCCGCTTCCCACTCAGCATGAAATCGGACCCACCAAAAAGCAATTTCAGCTCTCGCTTCTGGCAAGGTTTCCAGTTTTGAGGCAGAGCTCTGGCACGGGGCAGCCTGGTGGTCAGGGAAGGAGAGGGGAAATGACATGCAGTTTACAAAGAAAGAAAGGTCATAAAATAATTATAAAGTACATTTAAAACTTTTGCTAGCCCACGTCGGCTTAAGCCTCATCGCTCTTCATCACTGGAGCAGGCGATGCTCAGGCCTCTGTAGCAGTGGGCTGCGTTTACACAAAGTTGACCTCTGCTAGCCAGGGTGGGCTCCGAGGGCGCTTTCCACACCCCAACACAGGCGCCTGCTTTTTCCCCCTCATAGATCCCTATCCCCTTTGTTTCCTCTCTTCCATCTGAAAGAGCTTGGGAGCTCCTTTAAAATTTTGAGGGAGCCAGTTATTATTTCAATCTCAAAATGTAATGTCATCCAGAACAAGACACTTTATCATGAAATTATAATGACACGACGCTTCGTAATTCATCACGTGCTTTATTTGCCGATTCATTAATTAATCCATCCAAGATTCCAGGATAATGGCCTCTAATCCTACAGGTGCAACAGTTCATGGTAACTGCCGTAAATTCCAATTACCTTTCCTGATTTCCAGGAAGGGCTTGGTAAGGAATCATTCTGTTTATCAATAAGGTGAATATCTTAACCAGTATACAGTAAGAAACTCTATAAATTTTACAAAAATGAACATTCTGTCATTATAAATAGAAGCCACTTTCCTGTGACCTCAAGTACAGCATTCATTTCCTATTTTACAATGATAAAAAAAGGATCTTATAGAAAACTTCAAACCTAAGTTTTAAATTTCCTATCCTAAACCTTAAGTCTCCTATCCCAAAACAAAGATATGTTCATTGATGTATTCAGTTCTCCTCCCTCATACCTAAAATGGATTCGGCCAGAAATCTGGAGTTGGCCCAAGATCTGGTTTCCATTCCATTTCTTTTGCATTCAGGGTCAACAGCTAAGCCCATGAGTTATGAACATGAACATCAGCCAGGAAAAAGAGTTATCCAGGTGCCATTTTGGGTACGTTCTCCACCTGCAGGAAGCTGCCTGTCAGTAGCTATTGAGAGTCTGAAACATTCATGACGGTTGACATGGTATTTCCACACCAGGAAAGGTCTCCTATGAAAATGATCCCCTTTCCTATTTCCCTTGCAAAGGTGTAATAGACAAAAATTATCATTAAAGTGTTATTCATTGCAATAAAAACAACCTAAGTAAACAGTAATAGAGGATGGGCTAATTATGTTATATTCCCAGGACAGGATATTATTACATAAAAATTTGAAATTGTTTATGAAAATTTTAAATTGCACTTGAATATTTAAGTTACAGTGTGAAAGAATAAATACAGTATAATGTAGACCCTATAAAAATGCAAAACAAGACTGAAAGAATATCCAGCAAAATACTCTCTGCCTCTCTAGCTGGTACTGTCACTGAAGACTCCTCTTTCTGCCTACTTCCTTTCCTTAAGATGTTAAGACATGTCAAATAAAAACATTTGGAATTTTTAAAAATCTGAATAAAAAGCAATACAAGTCTATCCATAGTATTGGACATACTGTAATGCCACTGGATACCACATCAGTCTGAAAGGTGGTCGGCCTGTAAATATGTGTTTTCAATCTCATGGAGATAATATGTGCGGCACAGAGTAGAAAGTTCACACTTAAAACCCCAGAAGATGCTTCAAAAGCACATCTTCTTCTACAGTAATTCAAGGACGGAGTGAGGAACCTGCAAGAAGCTGGGGAGCTATGGCAGAGCACGCAATGCCGCATCAGAATGAAAGTGTAGAAGTTAAAGTCAAAATATCATTGATAAATCTTGACTTTGGGCTCTGAAGCTTGACAGAAAACCTATAGTTGGTTATGTTGGTGCCAGAGTGGAAACAGGCCGAGAGCACTGGCTTATCGAAGAGTCTTTTAATGTTTTATTTGAGTAATGGGCCTTGCAAATTAGCACCCCTGCGGCCTGAAATACATATCTTTTCAAGGACACACCGGTTTTCCATTCGACAGGTGATACAGAAAGAAAATCCCCAAGGGGAGCTTTGATTTCTGTACTTTTCAGACACAGTTATATTTTATTCCAGCTAGGATGATGTGGAAGATAACAGAGAGCTCTGAGGGTGATCTGAGGGCTTGGAGAGGAAATGGAGCAGAAAACAGTTCACAGTGCAAAGGAAGGGAGGGCTCCAGGGAGGGAAAATGGGAAAGGCAGAGGTTTCAATCCCTGCTCCAATCCTAGTGACACTTAATGGGGTCTCTGCCATCTTCCCTGCTCATGGGCAAGGGAGGGCAGGCAGCTCTCAGACAGATCACCCCAGTCCTCAGCAGGAACTGTGACTCCACTGCTCCTCACTCTTATTTGACCTCATTCCTCCCTCTCTCCGGAGTATCATTTGTCACAAAATAGCAAGACAGAGTCTAGCTCAGCGCTGGCTTTTCACTGGGAATAGTTTAACTGGCTCACTCACTTACTCATCTGTTCAACACAGACTTACTAAGCATCTACTATGTACCAAGTGTCATATTAAATGCTACAGATATACAGATGAGTAATGCACAATTTCTGCCCGTGAGCTGTCCACAAATTGACAGTGTTCTTTAGTGTCAAGAACACAGACTCTGAAACTGGGGAAATTTGGATTTTATCCTCAGCTCTGCTACTGCCAACTCGGTGACCTTGAACAATGTATGCATCCACACCAACTCCTTGTCATGGACTGAATATTTGTGTACCCCCTAAATTCATAGGTTGAAATCCTAGCCCCTAGTGTAATGGTATTGGGAGGCATGGGGGTGGGGTCCTCATGAATGGGATTAGTGCTTTTTAAAAAAGAGGACAGCTTGCTTTCTCTCTCTGCTTTCTGCCATGTGAGGTTACAATGAGAAGATGGCCGTCTGCAACCTGGAAGGGTGTCCTCAAGACACCTCAGCTACACTAGCACCCTGGTTTTGGACTTATAGTGCCTGGCACTGTGAGAAATAAATTTATGTTGTTAATAGACCATCTGTCCGTGGCAGTTCATTATAGCATCCTGAATTGACTGAGACACCCCCCATTTTCTCATCTAGTCTACTGGGATAATGATACCTACCTTACAAATTAGTGGTCGGAATAGAGGTAGAAGCATGTGAAGTGGATGACCCACAGTCGATGCTCGATAGAAGGCATGTTTTAAATGACAGGTCGATCTGACTTTCCAAACAAATTTATGTTTCTTAGAAAAAAAATTCGGTGCCAATTAATTTTCAGAAATCTATCAGCTAGAGAATTCAGCACAAGATATACTTTCTAACACCAAATACAATTTATCACCAAAGGAAAGAAAGAAGGAGGGCTGCTCCAGATGAGAAGAGCTGCTGCTGAAGCTGCCTGGAGGTCTGCACTGTGGCCTGCACCTCCCATGTGCAGGCAGGTAATGAGAGCAGAGCAGACTCCCAAACTCACTCCAGCCATGTCCTTGACCCTGGTGTCACTGACCTGGGAATCCCAGAGGCTCAGAAGCGCTATCCAGGAAGTAGCATGTAGATTTAAGTGACCTGGGCTGCAGCGAAGATAGTCCCTGCTAAAAGACTGTGGGAACAAAAATCTATCTATCTGTTGTCTGTCTGTCTATCTGTCTATTTATCTATCTATCTATCTGTCTGTCTATCTATCTATCTATCTATCTATCTATCTATCTATCTATCATCTGTCTACCTACCATCTGTCTATCTAATCTGAAAAAGCCAAATGCCAATTGAAAACCCCTGGAAAAATGAACCCTGTGAAGGATTATATGTGAATAAAAACTTTATCAGGAAAATTTAATTTAAATCACTTCTCTAGGAGATGCAATTTAATAGAATTTCCCTGCAAAATGTACTCTTCCTATTTGATATAACTTTAATACATAGTTTTTACAACACAGAAGTAGATGTAATTTCTACTTTTAAAAAACCCAGCACTCTGAAGTCTAATTCCATAATTTTAAATTAATGTTTTCAGATAGATCTAAAACTGAAGGATCATTTATTAAGTACCTCGTACAGGCTTGGCATTGGGAATATACCAGGTGAGTCTCTTATAAAACCAATATTTAAAATGCCCCCAAGATAAGAGAGAAGAAGAGTTCTTTCTTATAAATAATTTTTAGAACTATCCCAATAGAAAAATGGATATAGTACATGAATAAAACTTTACAAAAAGAAGGATTTATAGTCAGTAAGCCTGTCTAAAAATGTTCAACTTTCCTTACTCATGAGCAAATAACTAAAAATTTAAACATGGAGATACTCTGGACATGTATCATATAATAATAAATAATTATGTACAAATAAAAAATAAAATAACCACAATAGTACTGTACAAGGATGGGAAGGGCCCTGTTGAATTGGACTATTGTTCATAGTTGACATATACACAAGCTATTGTGACCACTTTGTTATTGGATGCTAACAGTCTTACTTTTTAGAATCTATTATAAAGAAATAATCTGAGGTGGGAATATAAATTAATGCTCAGAGATAATACCAGAATTTTTTTTTAATAATGGAAGAACAAAAACACCCTAATATTTAATAACAGACGTGGACTTAAAGAAGCATGGCACTGTTCTAGAATATTATGCAGGCATTACAGTTGTGTTTTAAGCAATATTTTATAAGCTGAAAATGTCCACAGAAGAAAGAAAAACAAGATACGAAATAGTATGCAAACATCACTGCCACTATGCAAAGGAAACAAACATGTATAAAGCAAAACTGATCAGAAACACATCAAAATTTAACAGTCGTCATCTCTGGGTGGTGGGATTATTAGAAATGTTTGGTTTCTTCTCCATACTTTCTATATTTTTCAAATTTTCTAAGATTAACATATATCGTATTGTAGTTAAAAAAGTTAAATTTCCCTTATCCGAAACAAACAATCAAACTCAGAAAATAGAAAGAAAGGAAGAGCCTTTGAAAAATGTATCTAGTTGAAAGGTAAGGGACAGCTTCACAAAGCAGGTTCTTTCCCTCCTATGGTGTCTCCCTCTCTATGAGGGAAACACAGTTTTAATTTTGGAAGTCTGCGATTTTTTGAAAGACAACAAAAACTGAAGTCAATAAGCTGTGCTGTGTATGGAGGCAAGGACAGCATTCGCTAGGGATCTTCAATCCGTCAAGTTTACAGAGAACAGGTAGATGGCCCTGCAACCATCACTGAAGAGTAATCCTGTGGTTCTTCCTGCATTCTGCACAGGGTGCAGGAAACCTCCCTTTCCACACCATCGTCAAGGTGCAGTGATAGCAAACCACATCTCCCAGCCCAGCTGGGGAACCAAAGAAATGAGACGTGCTTCTTTTCAAGCCAACAGCCAACTCGGTATCTCAGGCTCAGTGTCTCCACTCCAATTTGGTTCACATTCTTTCACTGGCTTCCTCCTGGGTCTTGGTGCGCTGTCTCTGTACTCGCAGGAGATTCTCCTCGAGCTCAAGCCGTGGAGCAGACGTGATTTAAATTTTATCCTGTAGCACCAGTGGTGGGTTCAGGTGTTATGGTATCTGCAGCTTTTACAACTTGGGGTGAGTTCTTTCGAGAAAAAGAATGAGGGCTAAATTACATTCAAAATGAGTATTTAGAATGATAAAATAAACCACATTACAAGTCTTAAAACACTGTAGGGGGTGCTTTTAACTGTGTGTGTTGCACGGTCATGTGTATACCTGGCAAGAGAGAAATCCCTTAGGACCAGGCATCCGTAAGATCTGAGCCATCCACTGGTGGATTTACTCTCACGACGGTGGGGTGAGTTCCCTAGGTCAGCCTGTTTCTTCTGTGTCCCTGCACAGCTCCTGCACAAGGCGCTGGCTGACGTGTCCATACGTGTCCTATGTGGCTAGGGTAGCTACACCACTGTGGATAGTGGACGTGTGCTTCTGGGGTCATCCCAGTGAGGACAGCAATGCTCTCACTGCACAGGGAAGCACACGCGGGCACACAAACACGTCCTTACTAAATGAAGCCCCGTGTTCCTACTCCAGCCCCAGGTTTCAGGAAAGGGAAAGGAGTGTGAAGGAGCAGAGTCTGAAGGGAAAGAGACAGTGACTCCCTGGGTTGACATCTCCTATTTTACAAATTTTATCAACAGATGAGCATCTGAGCACGTTGCTAGGGCTCCTCGCCAGATCTCCAAAGGGTCTGGAAAGGAAGTGAGAGACAGAAGCATAGCTTCATGGCTTTACGGTCAATCGTGCCCTCCCTGAGGCACAGAGAGGTGATCTCCCAGAGAACTGCAGCCCTCTCAAGGCTGACCCCAAAATACGATGCCACAGAAGGGAAGGGAGCCCTGCAAGGAGAGGGCCCAGGAAGCAGGGTGGAGGGTCCCTGACTGACAGGCACTGGCTCTCTGGCCCGGGCGCGCCGTCCAGGAGGCGCGTGTTCTTCTGTCATGCAGACACTACCGCAGTCAGGACAGGTGGCCTTCCGCGTTTTCGTTTGGGGAGACAGAGAAATAGGTCATGCTCTGTGAGTGGCGAAGGCACATCCTGTGTGGTAAATGGCTTGTTTTCCTGTTCATATGTTTGGTTTTGGTTGGTGTTGGGGAGGGTATAAGTAACACTCTCCTCTTCTGAGTTCAGGATTCATTGAGAGACTGACGAGAACCTGAGGTCAATGTGTCAACGCTGCTCCAGACATGGGGGAGGGGTGTGACTGCGGTACAAAGGGCTTTCCCTTACTTCTCCCCGGTTTAAATTAACAATGTGGTCGCAGGCAGGCCTCTGTGCTGCAACCACGAGCAGACCAGGATGTCTGTGTGCTGCGGCCAGGCTGCTGCCAAGGAGAACCAGAAGGGGTGCATTTTCAGCCAGGCAGATTCCTGCTCACAAGCTCCCCTGGCAGGAGAACAGCTTCTTCCCCCAGGAGAAGTCAGGAAGAGATAGGGAGAGAGGCAAGCAGTCAGACACACTCAGAAATCCCTTTATATTGAAATAAAAAGCTAGAGAAATGTGTGTCTTCTCCTAAACACAGCTTCTATGAGTTGCCCCTCAACTTCTCCAGATGGTACAGATAGGCAGGGGCCAGGTTCTGCCAGTTGCTGCACAAATGAGCTTGAGCTCCGAGTGCAAGTTTCAGCCTGGTGTGTCCTCTCTCCACATGCACTCCAGGAAGGCTGTGGGTTAGCCCACACAGATGTCTCATGTGCGAAACCGTTTGGAACTAGAGTCATCTGGGGACAGCTACCTGCTTCTGCTCCCTGGATCCACCAAGGACCAGCAGAGAGAAGGCATAATCATGGCACAAAACTTATGCTGCTACTAAGTGTGCCGGTAAAATGCTTGCACTGGAAAGGGAAATATCTCATAACAAATAAATGAATGAGCCCTTTGGATTTTACATCAATCTCTGTGAGTTTAGCCCATGCGAGAGAGACTGCACAGCTCTGCATGCATTGGTAAAGTCATGTTTTGGCCTGATAGGATGGAAGACCAGGCCCTGAGCCACAGTCCATAGTCAAAACATCTGATGGCATCTGTACCCCAGGAGCTAGCCTGCCGGCCAAGACCTGGCCACAGCCCTCTCTCCCAAGTCGTTGTGGGCTACCTCCTGAGCAGCTCTAAAGGGCCTCCTATGGCCTGCCTCAGCTTTACTGACTACTTAGTGCAAGGAAAAGATAAATGATCATCCATTTTAAATTCCAAACTCATTTCTCCAAACATTCTTTTTAAAGTCTCTGGAAGAAGCTACTTGCAGTTAAAAACTGCATTTGCCAAAAAGAGGCTGTCAATTCAAAGTTCCTGATCAATCCAGGCATTTAAAAGTCTCCACTAGTTCACTGGTGTAGCTTTCAAAACCTCATCAGCATATATATATTTCTCTAATTGGCTCGCTATTTACCCGGGAATTTATTCTGGATGGAATTATGGAGAGATGATTTCTAAATGTCTATTTTATTGTCAGCTCTTCTTCCACAGCTAAAGACTGACCTAGGATCCAATTATTGAGAAAACTGGAAAGAAAATTAGCTGGAGATACAGTATAGTCAGTGGTGACCTATTTATAAAATTCTTCTTAAAATCACATAATAATATTATTACCTTGTGTACATAGACTATTTCATAACTACAATTCAACACATGCCTGTCATTTTTTTCCCTAATAGCTTTACATAGAGTTTTTTTTAACATAAGGCAAAATTACAACTTATAATTCTGGATAAACTAATTAAAATGATGCTCCTAGATAACTTAGCCAGCAATCATTTAAAATTAAATTTAAATTCTAAATCCCTCATACAGAATCCCCATTTCTTCTCTTGACATTATCTCACATGGATTGACATTTTAGGATATAAATATGGTTTGATTGCTCATTCATTCATTCATTCATTCATTCAACATTATGTGCCAGGGTGTTTATTCAATGCTGGAGACACAAAGCTGAGAAACGAACTTTGTCCAAGCCAACTGGAGTGTGTGTCTTGCAGGATAGTTAGTGTGAAGTGACGCACACTGTCATATTCATGTTTTGGATGTCTGCATGCTGAGGGGAGTTGGGAAACTTCATGGAGGAGGCCATGCTTCAGATAAGTCTTTACTTTGGCCAGCAGACAAGGAGGACAAGAAAACCACATGCAGAATCAGCAGACAGGATAAATGCTTGAAGCTCTGCGGAGGAACAGCCTGGTAAGGGGTCACAGCTGGCTAGGGACCAGCAAGGCATGTGAGGACAGGTGGCCCAGCAGCAAGGCGTGCTTTCGGGAAGAGGCAAGGACCTCAGATGCCATGTGAAGGGCTGCAAACTCATCTCTGGGAGCTGGGTACCCAGGCAGAATATTAAGCAGAGAAGTGTTACGATTCAGCTGCATTTTGAAAAGATTACTCTGGTGAGAGGAAGAAGGATAAATGCACGAGGGAAGTATGAGGGATGAAACAAGGAGGTCCACACCTGAGATGACTATAGGTAGTCTTAGCAAGTCTGTGGTTTGTGCAGTGGTGGGGTAGAAACCGGACTGCTGTTGACGAAGACTGAATAGGAAAATAAGAAGCAGAGGCAACAAAAATAGCCTCGGCTTTCAAGACATCTGGAAGTGAAGGAAAGGAGAGAGAGAAAGATCAGTGACTAAAAACAAGAACCTGTTTGAAACTATTTGGATTTCCTTTTAAGAGGGAGCTGTTTATGTGCTGAAACAAAGGGAATGTATTTTTTCTTTCCTTCCCTTTTTTTTTTTTTTTTTTTTTTTGAGATGGAGTCTTGCTCTGTTGCCCAGGCTGGAGTGCAGTGGAGTGATCTCGGCTCACTGCAAGCTCCACCTCCCAGCTTCATGCCATTCTCCTGCCTCAGCCTCCCGAGTAGCTGGGACTACAGACACCCACCATCATGCCTGGCTAATTTTTTGTATTTTTAGTAGAGATGGGGTTTCACAGTGTTAGCCAGGATGGTCTTGATCTCCTGACCTCATGATCCACCTGCCTCAGCCTCCCAAAGTGCTGGGATTACAGGCGTGAACCACCACGTCCGGCCTATTTTTTTTTTTCATACTTCTTTCTAACAGGTATCTAAACTCACACCACATCCATTTTATAAAGTTGTTTTTTAGAGGGGATGCAGGCTGGTGAAGAAGCTACCTGCATTTTTTAAAAATATGCTAATCTAAAATGGTTGATTCTTCTTCTTATAAAAACAAAAGGAAATGAAAAACTAAAGAGATAAGAACATGAGTTATTGCAATCAGCTAGCACTCTCCTTTTTCTGCACTCCAGGGAGAGCCACAGAAATGACAGCTGAGCTGGACAAGTTGTGATGGACAAAGGCAGCCTGTTCTCACATGTTAAGTCCACACTCAAGAAGTATGCAGTTTCTAGGGAGGAGCTCACTAGATTATTGGAACATCATCGTTAGTTGATATGCTTGGTTTTTATGGTAGCTATCTATCATGTCTCCTTATTATTTATCAAGAGGCATTAGCAGTAGGAGGGAGACCCGTGGGTCAACTGCCAGCCCTCCATGAACTGGGCAGGATCAAGTAGAAGAGGTCAGATCCTAAGTGAGAGGTCAGATCTCCCAGGCTGGCCCTTGCAGCGAAAGGTGAAGTTTTAACACGATTGCTTCAGTGTCACTAAAGTGTCATCTCACTTTATATGCTTTATCTTTATTCACACAAATTTCACACAGTACTCTCCATATCCTATGATTCAATGAAAAAGTATCAAGGGGACAGTGAGAGATGGAGGTTGATTGGAACAGACCAGTCTGACCCCAGAGATGATATTCTGGAGCTGCCTCTGCTCAGACACAGAAAATGGATCATTCTAGACCAAAAAGAGAACCTGATAATGCACTTTGCCTAGACAGAACCCAATATACAAAGTCCACTGAAGAAACAAGAGAACAAAGGGCCATGTGATTAGGAAATGGTTATTTATGTTTCAAGGGTATGTGCCACAGCATGCTTTTCATATAAAAAACAACCATAGCAGATTTAAGATACCCATTTACTCACCAAAACCGTATATTAATGCCAAGCTCCTCAATAGTATTTTTAAGCATTCATATGGTGTGTTCTTGCATAACTTCACACATTAGGTGAGGGGAAGCATTACAGCAGAGTGGGTAAGAGCATGGGCTTTGAGCCAAGCAGATTTGGGGTGATATCTGGGCTCTGCTATTTCCCACCACATAATATAGGTCGGTTAATCACTCCTTCTGAACCCCACAATATATACCTGCCTCTGAGGGTGACTGTAAAAAATAGAAGAGCCAGTTATGAAAAATAAACGCTTAGTGAAGAGTGTCATATGGTAAACATTCGGTAATTTTAGTGATTTTTTTTTAATGAAACGTATCATAGAATAATGTTTAGGAATTTTTACCTATATTTCATCCCCTATTAAATCCATCTGCTTTATCTTCCCTTCTCTCTCCTTTCTCTTTCTCATTGCCCACTTCCTGAGGCAGCAAAGCCATTCCAGGCCTATGCCCTCCAGGCACTGTTGTTAACTGCAGGCATGTGAAGAGAAATCACATACATTAATCTATGGGCTTAGAGTTTCTAAGGTGGACACAATTTATGAAATTATTTCTGGAAGTAGGATGGTCCTCTAGCCCTTTCCTTCTGCTCCAGGGAAAATGAAAAATCCCTTGGCTAGAGAGAAGGGGGTGGAAAATCTGCAGAGGAAGTTGGTTCCCAGGCCTTGAGGTGCATGGCAGAGATGGCCATGTGGGGTTCTTAAGCAAATAAAGCCTAAGACAGCCAGACACAGCTTTTCAAGAGAACTGCCCAGTTGTTCTGGTGTGAAATAGCTGAGCAGGGGTACATAGATGCCTGTCAGAGTGGCATAGGGAAATTGTGGGTCATTACTCAAGACCACACTAGCACAAGGGCATTTCAGAGGGCAACTCCAGGTCAGAGCATGTCCAGGAATGGGACAGAACCCACCTCCCACCACCCCTTCTTTAGCACAGTGCACTAAGCAAGCTTCCCCAAAACATAAAGGACACCCTGGAAGAGAGAGAGAAAATGCTGACCTGATCAAGTTCGTTCAGAATTGACTAAGAATAAATTCTTGCCCCCAGGTATAATGGAAATGAGACAAACATTAAGTTCTTCTATGTATTAGTCTGTTTTTGCACTGCTGTTAAAGAACCCTTATATAACCATGAGATCTCGTGAGACTTATTCACAATCACGAGAACAGCATGGGAAAGACCTGCCCCCATGATTCAATTACCTCCCACCTGGTTCCTCCCACAACAAGTTGGAATTTGAGAAGAGATTTGGGTGGGGACACAGCCAAACCATATTATTCCACCCCTGTCCTCCCCCCGCACCCCACAAATCTCATGTCTTCACATTTCAAAACCAATCATGCCTTCCCAAGAGTTTCTCAAAGTCTTAACCCATTTTAGTATTAACTCCATAGTACAAAGTCTCATCTGAGACAATGCAAGTTCCTTCTGCCTACAAGCCTGTAAAATCAAAAGCAAGTTAGTTACTTCCTAGATACAATGGGGGTACAGGCATTGGGTAAATACAGCCATTCCAAACGGAAGAAATTGGCCAAAACAAAGGGGCTACAGGCCCCATGCAAGTCTGAAATCCAGTAGGGCAGCCAAATCTTAAAGCTCCAAAATGATCTCCTTTGACTCCAGGTCTCACATCGAGGTCATGCTGATGCAAGAGTTAGGTTCCCATATCTTGGGCAACTCCGTGGTTTTGCAGGGTACAGCCTCCCTCCCAGCCACTTTCATGGGCTGACGTTGAGTGTCTGAGGCTTTTCCAGTGCAAGCTGTCAGTAGATCTACCATTCTGGGGTCTGAAGGATGGTGGCCCTATTCTCACAGGTCCATGAGGCAGTGCCCCAGTAGGGACTCTGTGTGTGGGCTCCAACTCCACATTTCTTTTCTGCACTGCCCTAGCAGAGGTTCTCCATGAGAGCCCCACCCCTGCAGCAAACTTCTGCCTGAATATCCAGGCGTTTTCATACATCCTCTGAAATATTGACTTCTGTGCACTGGCAGGCTCAACACCATGTGGAAGCTGCCAAGACTTGAGGCTTATAGTCTCTGAAATCACAGCCCAAACTCTACATTGGCCCCTTTTAGCCATGGCTAGAGTGGCTGGGATCCAGGGTACCAAGTCCTTAGGATGCACACAGCAGGGGGGGCCCTGGGCCTAGCCCAGGAAACCACTTTTTCCTCCTAGGCCTCTGGGACTGTAATGGGAGGGGCTACTGCGAAGATCTCTGACATGTGCTGGAGAACATTTTCCCCATTGTCTTGGGGATTAATATTCGACTCCTTGTTACTTATGCAAATTTCTGCAGTGGGCTTGAATTTCTCCTCAGAAAATGGGATTTTCTTTTCTATTGCATTGTTAGGCTGCAAATTTTCCAAACTTTTATTCTCTGCTTCACTTGTAAAACTGAATGCCTTTAACAGCACCCAAGTAACATCTTGAATGGTTTGCTGCTTAGAAATTTCTCTGCCAGAGTGAGCCGAGATCACGCCACTGCACTCCAGCCTGGGCAACAGCGAGACTCCATCTCAAAAAAAAAAAAAAAAAAGAAAGAAATTTCTCTGCCAGATACCATAAATCATCTCTCTCACGTTCAAAGTTCCACAAATCTCTTAGGCAGGGGCAAAATGCTACCAGTCTCTTTGCTAAAACATAACAAGAGTTACCTTTGCTCTAGTTTCCCCAAAATTCCTCATTTCCATCTGAGACCACCTCAGCCTGGACTTTATTGTCCATATTGCTATCAACATTTTGGGCAAAGCCATTCAACAAGTCTCTAGGAAGTTTTAAACTTTGCCACGTTTTCCTGTCTTCTCCTGAGCCCTCCAAACTGTTCCAACCTCTGCATGTTACCCAGTTCCAAAGTTGCTTATACATTTTTGGGTATCTTTTCAGCAGCGCCCCACTCTACTGTTTTTATGCTGCTGATAAAGACAGACATGAGACTGGGCAATTTACAAAAGGAAGAGTTTTAATCAATTTACAGTTCCACATGGCTGGGGAGGCTTCACAATCATGGTGGAAGGCAAGTAGGAACAAGTCACATCTTACATGGATGGCAGCAGGCAAAGGGAAAGCTTGTGCAGGGAATCTCCCCCTCATAGAACCACCAGATCTCATGAGACTTTTATTCACTATCATGTGAACAGCATGGGAAAGACCTGATCCCATGATTCAATTACCTTCCACTGGGTCCCTCCCACAACACATGGAAATTCAAGATGAGATTTAGGTAGGGACACAGCCAAACCATATCAACATTTTTTTTTTTTAAAGAAAACCTCATAATAATGAGGTTACAGTTTTGAAGACTTAGTCTAAGTTTGTAGCTTGAGAGATTATTTCCAGTTACAAAAGAAATATTGAACTGATTCCTTGTAGAACCAAAGAGTTGAGCGGGCAGCGTAAGTGTGTGTGTGGGCTGGCAGGATGGTGGCTAGGAAAACCAACCGCCATGGTCCAGAAGCAGGACCGTGGAAGAGGAAGCAGAGAGTTAGGATGGGGATTTATCTGCGTTAAAAAACTGCAAGGCCATTTGGGCCTGCTTCTATTACTTTAAGTTACCGCTCATCCAACAGACGTAAAGGACATGGTTCCATGTGCCTGAAATACCTCCCATCCCTCCGCACTTCCTACCAAACCCCTCCCTTTTTCTAGTTGTTCAGTATAAAATAATCCTACAGTAAAACTCCGTTTTAATGTCTTTTATCTATGGACCCTTCCCTGACCCCATGCGGAATGAGTCCAGCATTCTCTGTGCTCCTGAAGCTCCTCACACACACTGCACATTCATCAATGCTTAGCACTACGCTGATTGCTAACATTTATCGGGGACTCACTTGTGCCAGACACTGTCATGAGCACTATATATACGCATCAATCAACTAATTTTCTCATCCTTCTGGAGAAGGTGCTATGAAGAGTTCTGTTTTACAGAGAAGAAAACCAGCATAGAGAGGTAGGGTCGCTCTCCTGAGGTCACGTGGTTAGGTAAGTGGATTGCAAACCCAGGTATTCTGAGTCTAAAGCCCTGCTATTCAATACTAGGTGATCTGACGTTTCACCTGTGCCTAGAGATTTAGGTGAACCGAGGTTCCCATCCTCATTTCTCCCGGTAACTTGTGGGCTTCTCCATTTATCTGTCCATTCAGAAAACAAACAGGCGTGGAGGCCTCCTCTGTGCCAGCCAGGGCTCTCCTGGGGAGGAAAGAGCTCTGTTGTCACCCCTATAGCCATGGGCCTTTCCTGTGTGCTGCATAAACGGAAGCCCCAGCTGCTCTCCTGGCACACCCGGAGCCCTAGAGCCCAGCACAGTCATCCTCAACCTCAACTGCAGGCTGGAATCATCCAGGCGTCTTTAAAAACATACTGACATCGAGTCCCATGCCCATCAATTATGATTTAATTGGCCTAGGGTAGGTCCTAGGCATTGGGATTTTTAAAACCTCCCAGGGGCTGGCACTTCTGCTCTGGAATCTCCAGTCGGGAAAATACTCATGGAATAAAATATCCTCCTACAGCCCTATGAAATTATCTCCTGAGGAGGATTAGTTCCCTATTCTAAAAAATTTCACCCTTAAAAAGAAAGCTAGGTGTAATATGACAGCTCAGCAGTGGCAAGGCCGAGTGCAGGCCAAGATCCTGAGCCAGCCCTTGGTGCACGCAGCTCTGGGCTTCCCCAGCTCCTCTGCCGGGTAAGCTGGGACAGATCTGAAGGGCAGTGGGGTTTGTCCTTCAGAAGTTCCCTTCCACGGCTAAGAGGGAGGAAGAAACAGGTTTACCACACAGCTCACCAGGGAGCTTCAAGAACAGCATGGACGTTTGATTTACAGGGTAAACTGGTGAAAGACGAAAACGTGTGCCGCGCCTGTAACAAGCAGGGCTGCTCCATGGGAACACCTGTGCCGGCGCAGCCCGCCCACCCCGGACAGCGCCCGCACCCTGTCTCCCCTGGCCAGGCTCCTGTAGCCCCAGGCAGAAAGGGAGTTGCGAATTATTTGAGGATATGCTGAGAGTGTCCTGCCTGGGTGACAGGAGTCTCATAAATCATTCCTTCTCTGTATTTGATCTCTCTTTCAAGCGGAGTCATGTCAACTCACTGGGGAATCTGAGGCCCTGGAATCACTGTGAAGGCATCGTTTGGGTGTGCAGAGCTGCAAGAAGAGACAAAAGATGATGGAGCTAGGAAAATAGCAGAGGGGCCAGCCAGAAGATAACATACAATAATAAAATCAATAATAATAACAGTATATACTAATTGCTACTAATTACTTTTCTCTCTAGCATTTTTTTTAATCACCTGCTCACTTGTGATTTGTTTGGTTTTTGAAGTTCTCTCCCTACTTCAACACAGCCTCCATGGTGACAGGGTATAACTTGTTCCTGCTGTAACCTAAGTGCCTAAAATAGTACCAGGCATAGAGTAGCTGCTACTAAATATTTGCTGAATTAATTAAATATAACAGGATTTATGTGCTATGATGTAAATAGCCCATGTGAACTCATTTAATCATCATAATAATACTGAAAGGTAGACATTCCTGATGCCATGTGGAAACAAGGAAACAAACTCAGAAAAATTACAAAATTCCCCTGAATTAAATATGTAGCTGAGTAGATGCCCATTCAATTTTGACTACTGCCAGGTCTGTGCTCTTTCTACCACCCCAATGCTGGGCCCCAGTGAAAAAAAATTAAGAAAGTAGATGGAGGAGAAAGACAATAATGATGATGAGGAGATGGAGGAGAAGAACGAGGAGGAGATAAAATAAAAGCAGAAGGAAAAGGAAAGTGAACAAGTTCAATGTGAAAGAAAGGCTGGTTAGGGGGTCAAGAAGTAGCACTCTTCTCAAATGCCACCGATGGAAGAGAGAAGTGTAGCAGCCTCAGGGAAGATGAGAGTAAAAATGAACTTTCTGTGGACTCACTTGGACTCACTGTCACTTCACATTATGCACAATGATTTTATTTAACAACATCCTTGTAGAGCTCAAGTAA
Source organism: Homo sapiens (assembly GCF_000001405.40). Classification (NCBI taxonomy): domain Eukaryota; kingdom Metazoa; phylum Chordata; class Mammalia; order Primates; family Hominidae; genus Homo; species Homo sapiens. Next base: position 132,729,246 of record NC_000011.10, read on the forward strand.
AAGCAAGATACATTGTACATACCCAGGCAGCTTTTTTTAAAGCCCTCATGAATGGATGTTTAACTAATCTTAAAATGCACATTCAGCTGCACTATCTCATGATGTCCTGGATCTGTGAAAACCGAACACACCCATATTATAGATTTTACACACACACACACACTCTTCCAAGGTTGGACAAAGGTTAAACGGGCTGGTCAAACTTGAGCATAAGTCACACCTGTGTCAGGAACAGAATGCCAAAAGATCCTTAATGTTACTCCAGTAGCTGTGTATTCTGGAACTCCCAGACAGGTACATCGTCTGTCTCCTTTGCTCATCCAAGGTTCAGCAGCCACAGTTTAATCACACTTTCCCAATGGGAAAGACTTTGCAGCAATTGCATCTACTCAGTCAAAAGGGTTCCAGAATGAGAAAAGGCTGGTGTTAACGCCTTAAGATTACATTCTTAGTCCATGTGGTTTGCATTCAAATGCCTTCTGCAGGACAGCCGTGGAGTTTGTCAGAAAACATCAGACCGCCTTTGTTGGTTGATGAGTGAGAACAGTTGTCAGGAGACACAGGAAGGAAGAAGCCAGCCCAGGTACACATGAAGGGGATGAGCAGGATATTCTACCAAAGGCAAGTAGAACTTACTTAATATGGCACCAAAGGGATGCTTTTCCAGGACAGACTATTCTGAGTCATCACCACAAAGACAACAAACTGAGTTCCTTGAGAAAAGGGTTCGGATTTTGTTTACCAATGCAGTCTTCTATGTGACTTTTTTTTTTTTTTTTTTTTTTTGAGACAGAGTCTTGCTCTGTCACCCAGGCTGGAGTACAGTGGCACGATCTCAGCTCACTGAACCCTCCACCTCCTGGGTTCAAGGAATTATCTGCCTCAGCCTCCCGAGTAGCTGGGATTACAGGCACCCGCCACCACACCTAGCTAATTTTTTTTGTATTTTCAGTAGAGATTTCTATGCAGCCTAACTAAAGGTGTAACAGGTACCAAATGCAGTTGACTATTTAAAATAAAGATTAATAAATAACACAAATCAATCCATATACTAGACATTCTTTAAGACCATGGCATCATATTAATTAACTGTAGTGGAAACAACCACAAAATAAAGACACAACAAGTAATCTTCTCTTAATAAAAAGGCATAATTGGCTAAAATAATCTAAAAGGAAATGAAGAATAGCGGGTGTGGGAAAATAGCTCTGATCCTCCCTTGATAAATACGATGTCAATTATTTTCTTCTCTGTGTAATGTAATTTTGATAGTATAAAAATGTGGTGATGGAACTCAGGAAGATAACCCCCTGGAGAAGCACCTGAGTGATAAACTGTCAAAGGGACAATTCTCTGTGGAAGAGAGCAGTTCTGATAACCTGGACCAGGGGATGTTAGAATGTTTACTGGCCTCAAAAGAAGACGTAATCTCTGCTTCATAAATCAGCTGGAAATGTGAGTGTCCTTCAGCCCAAACTAAGACAGGCACAAGGTGTGGACAGAAAGTGGTTGAAATCTGCTTGACCACCAAGACCCCAGTTGGCCACCAAGAAGATTAAATTAAATCCAAAAGCTGGCTTATAACATCACATGAAGCCTGTATTTGTAGAAGGAAAATCAGCTGGTGAATATCAGTCTGGCAAACTGAACATGCGAAGAAAGGATTTGGAAGGATCAGCTCAGGATAGTCTTGAACCTAGAAAAACAGCTCTTGATGTAAGAAAAAGGTATGTTTTTTCATCTGTTTGTTGTTCTGTCTGCTTCGTTATTATTGTTGTTTGAATCTAGAGCTGTGCAGTTCAGGAGAACTTTCTGTGATAATGAAATGTTCCATCAACTGTCCTGTCCAGTGGGGTAACCACATATGGTTATTGGATTTTTGAACTATGGATAGGGTGATTAAGAAAGCAAATGTTTAATTTTAATTAATGTGTATTTAAATTTATTAGTCACTCATGTCTAGTGGCTACTGCATTGGCAGCACAAATCTAAAGACTCAAAAATCAGCATAGGACCCAAGAAAGTCAGGACAATGAGTGGTTTAGGAATGAATATGGACCCAAACCAAATAGACCCTCCAAATTTCTAGAAGGTTGTAACACTCCTAATAAATCTGATGGTGATGCCAATCCAAGTCAACCTTAGTCTAAAGAGTTATAAAGCTTGGTTCTCTTAGATAAGACTAAGACAAAGAAATGTGCCACAGTGTATTGCCTTACAGACTATGAAAGATAAGCCAGTCTATGATCAAAAGTTGAGTTATGTCTATATATGTTAACTCATCCACTAAAATTGGCACATTTATATAATTCACCCACTACATTCTGGGTGCATTTTGAGGCCATTGTAAGGTTATGGGTCTTCATGTTAGGCTTGCAATGATTTGAGTGTGTTGCGTTAGTCCACAGAGGGGCATCTAACTATGATGGGGAATTAAGAAAAGATTTTCCAGAAAATTAGACTGTTAACGATTTTTGAGTTGACTCTTGAAGATGAATAAGCAGCTAACAGGGTTGGGGATACTAAGGAAAGCCTTCTAGAAAGATAACACAATTTAAGTCATGGCAAAAAGAAATACAATTGTCAACTGCATGTAGGAAATGCAAAGCAAATAGGTGTATCAGGATTATTAAATAGAGGTAGAAGTAGTAGGATATGAAAGAGGTATGAAAGGTGAGGTTGGAAAAAATTACAGGGTGTGATCATATTATATACCATACGTACTAAGAGAATGGATTTGAGTTTGCTGACAGCATGAGGAATTATGCATGGATTTAATAAGTATTATTTTAAAGAGAACACTGTGTCCAAAGAGAATTATCAGTTCTATATGTTTTGGAGGAGATGGGGATGTATGGTGAGACAGAGCAAGTGTTGGTGGGAGAATGTTTATAGGCAGACATACTAGTTAGGAGAATATGTTTTTAAAGTTCGAACAAGAATAATAAGGACCTAAATTAAGTCACTACTACAGAAGTTGGAAGAGAGGTGAATGATTCAAAAAATATTTAAGACAAAAATCTACCTTCCCCAATGACAACTAAGTCATACACCTAAGTGGGGGATAAATGAAAGGAAAATTCGTGGACAAATCCCAGGTTTCTGACAAGACTTGCTAAGAGAGATTGTGGTGTTGTTAAGGGAGAAAGGGGTTATAGACAAAGTAGTAAATGGGGAGGTATTGATGGGTTTATCTTGAGGGTATTGAGTCTGAGGTTCCTGCTTCAGATATTTCCATGCGTACATCTTGAGAGAGTGGTCTTCACTGGAGATGTGGCTATAACAGTCATCATCATGAAACGGTAGTTAAAATGATGATGATAAAGATGAATTCTCAGGGAGGATGAAAGAGAACAGTGAGGAAAAAAGCTGGCACCCTACAACCCCAGTGTGTAAGGGGAGGCTTCAGGGAGAGAAATCCAGAAAGGAGACCTGAAAGAAAGGCCCCAAATGGACAGCAAACCAAGAGAGATTGTTAGGTTATAAGAAAGCAGGAGACAGAGAACAATTGAACTGCATGAAATAAAGCAGAAAAGTCTTGAATGACACAGGTTGAAATATGTCCATTGAATTCAGTATTTAGAGATTAATGGTGACCACTACGGAAGAAGCCTTGGTGGAATTTACCTGAAGAACAGAAGGCAAGTATCTGGGGCTTAGGAGGAAAGGACACAGAAGTAGTAGTATTATTGAGGGCAGAATGATTAAAAGGAGACACACTAAATATTGAAAGATAGTTTCTCTGGAAGATGAGATAGAGCAGTGGGAAGGTGGTGAGTGAAGGCTTTTTATTTGTTATAAATTTTCATTTCTTTTCACATTATCTCAATGATATGTTTTACTTTATTATTACAAACACACAAAAAGATAAAAATCATCACGAAGATGAAATAATTCTGGGAGCGAACATTTAACAAAGATGGGTGACTGAGAAAGAAAACAGAAGCCTTGGCTAAAGATTTCCTTGAGAATGATAGTTAAAGTCATGGAAGCCACATGACTCAGGGAAAGGAGAGAGCAGGCAGTAAGAAGGCGAAGGGAGGTATAGATACAAGACAAAGGAGATAATTCATATAGCAATGACCCATAGTAGATGAGCAAAAGAGGATTAAAAGAACAAGCAGAAGATTTCCGCTTGTCTGCTAAGAGGCACATAATATTTAGAAACAGGGGGAAATAAATTGGATATATGTGTGTAGCTGAGAGGTATTAGAAGATCATTCTACTTGCTGAGATTGAAAAGGGTAGGATGGGGTTCAAGATAGTGAAGGTTTGGAATGGTAATCCTAAGAATGGGAAAGAGATGTGGTCAAAGATAGAAATAATTGTGCGGCCTTTTGAGGTTCAGCTGGAGCTAGAGACCACACATTAGTAGTGGCACAAATCCAGAATGTGTGACATTTTCTTCACCTGAGCTCAGTAACCTGGGTATGAAACAAAGAATTTGAGTGTCACATTGATCCACCGTGGTAAGTGTTGTGGAAAACACAAAGGTTACAAAAGAGAGAAAAGTGTGCTGAGAAAGAGATGAGATGAGCTGGGTAAGAAAAGAAACTAGCCCACGGAGATGCTGACAGATTGGGAGAAAACAGGACTAGGAATCTCTAAAGTTGAAGGCAGGTGTACTGAGAGGGAACATATGAGACAGTCAAAAGCAGTATCAAGTCAGAGTTAAAATCTCAAGATTTTGAATTACATTGAATTAAAATTAAATTCCAGTCTTGCCATGCCTAGGTGTATGACATTGAGTAAATTACTTAAATTTTATGTGACTCAGTTTTCTTATGTGTACGATGGGATAATAACATTTATCTCAGAGTGTTTTTATGAAGACTAGATACAATAACCTATCTAAAGTACTTATCATAATTCTTGATATATGGTAAATATTCAGTAAATGATAGGAAACACATATACACACAATGGAGCTTCAGATTTTAAGATAAAGAATCTTTGTGATAGCCAGGCCCCCAGATGCCTCCCTTATTCTGCAGCAATCCCCACTTTCTTAAGTAGATCCCTCCTACACGGAATCCAGAGAGGCCTGTGCATCCAGTAACATGTGTCAGATGTGATGGTATCTGACTCCCACAGTAGCATCACAAAAGGCGTTGCAGTTTCCACCTTGGTATTTCTTGAATGACTCACTCTGGAGGAAGCCAGACACCACTTTATGAAATCATTCAAGCAGACCAATAAATCCACAATGTGGGGAACTGAGGCATCCTACAAATAGCCAGCAGCCAGTTGTTAGCCATATGAGTGAACCACATTGGAAGCTGATCCTCCAGTTCCACTCATACCTTCAGATGCAGACATCATGACAGCATCTTCATGAGAAACTCAAGCCTGAAACACTTATCTAACTTATTCTTGAATTTCTGGCCCACAAAACTTGTAGGAGATCAACATTATTGTGGTTTTAATCCACTATGGATTGGGAGTAATTTGCTACATAGCAATAAGTAATTAATACAAAATTTGGTGCCTAGAAAAGAGGTGTTGCCGACTGTAAAAACGTAAAGTACAGACAATGCAAAGGCTACAGGATATTGATGAATGTTACAGAAAGCCTAAATAAGTTTAAAGAGACTGGTAGCATAAGCCTAATGGTTCTTGAGAAGGTAATGAGTGATCTTTTATAGAAAAGTGAAAAAAATGTCACTGGAAACTGAAAGAAAGGTGATTGTTATTATGTGGGGCAGAAAGCTTAGCAAAACTATCGCCTGCAACATATAAAAGTACAAAATCTATCTAACTAGGTGATCTAGATAAGATTTCCAGGCAGAGTTGAAGGTGTACCTAAGTTTTTCATGCTTTTTATACTAAAATGAGAGATGAACTAGAGAAAACACTTTTAAATATAAAGGACCCAGAGCGTACTGGTTTTGAATACTCCCAGAATCTCTAGATGGTGCTTGATAGTAAAATTTTAAAAAATAGCTTCTGGGAAAAAATATAGCCTAGGAAACTATCAGGCAAACTTGGTATTAGACATTAAACCGAGAGTGTAGTTGTGAAATCTTTTGTTAAGATCTCAGAAAGATTTAGGTTGGCGCCTCAGAGAACCATTCAGTAAGACAACAGGGCTTCTTAGAAGTTTAAAAGTTTGTCTAAGGGCAGAAACCCAAGATAGACAAAGACTTCTCTGGAAGAGATCTTTGAATATTTTTTCTTCTAATAAAATGAACCTCAGTAATACTCACAAGGGACCTATACATCTCACAAAATAATTGTTGTTGTTGTTGTTTTTTTTCTTGAGACAGAGTCTCACTCTGTTGCCCAGGCTGGAGTGCAGTGGTGCAATCTTGGCTCACTGCAAGTTCCTCACGGGTTTACACCACTCTCCTACCTCAGCCTCCCGAGTAGCTGGGACTACAGGCACCCACCACTACGCCCGACTAATTTTTTGTATTTTTAGTAGAGACGCGGTTTCACTATGTTAGCCAGGATGGTCTCGATCTCCTGACCTTGTGATCCGCCTGCCTCGGCCTCCCAAAGTGCTGGGATTACAGGCGTGAGCCACCGCACCTGGCCACAAAAGGATTTTATTGACAGATATCCTGTCAGATTGGATTGAAAGAAAACAAAGATGGTACAAAATTAAAGAGATCTTTGGATGCCCAAACATCTACATCCAAGAAGCAGCTGGAAAAAGAAACACTCAGTTGTGAACAAGACTGCCTTTAAAGGGAAAGAAAAAATGACTGAGAAGGTAAAATCAAGAGCCCAGACGACAGAGCTAAGAACCATGGAGAAATAGCCCAGGCCTTGTGTCTGAATCAAGGAACTGTCAATATGTACTTTGCTGGATTTCAGAATTATTATGAACCAGCAACTCCTATGTATATCCTGTTGTCCTCTTTTTTGAATGGTACAATTGACAGTGATTATGCTATGCCTGTCCTTCTATGACATGTTGAATGTGTGTGAGAGTATGTGTGCCAGTGTGTGTGGTGGGGAGAGCAGGAAAAACTGTCTCTTCAGTTCTTAGGTTTTCTGATTGAGAGAAGCTACTCAAGGCTATATGGAAGGAAGCACACTGAAGGACCATCATCCTCACCTAGAACTGATGTAAATGATGAGATTCTGAATTCCAATCAGACACTGTAATGGGGTAAAACTTTTCAGTGCTTTGGGAGGGGGTAAGTGCATTTTACGTTTTGGAGGAATATGAATGGTTAAGGGACAGAGGGTGAACTGTGATGGCCAACTTCTAAAATGCCCCCAACCATCCTTGCCTCCTGGCAGTTATGCCCCACTACAGAACCCTTCCACACTGAATTATGGTTGATTTGTGTGTCCAGTGAACTACAGAAGAATTGACAGTGGGTAACTCCTGAAGTTACATCATAAAAGACATTGAAGTGTCTACCATGATCTCTTTCTTAGATCACTGCCATGTCATGGGGACATTCAAACAGCCTTATGGAGAGGGACACATGATATGAACTTAAAGCCTCCTGCCAGTGGTCAATGCCAAATTACCAAGGCACTAGTGAGCAGATCCTTCAGCCCCAGGTAAGCCCTTATGACCACTGCCCCATTGACATATTGACTACAACCTCCTGAGACTCAGAGCTGGGACCACCCGGTGGAACCACTCATGCATGCCTGACCCACAGAAACTGAGATGATGAGACTATTATGATTATTTTAAGATGATAATTTTCAAAGTCATTGGTATATAGCAATAGATAATTATTACAATTCCCTGATGATGAAATGTTCAGTTTGTTGTCGTGGAATAGGAATGATGAAAGTGAAGTGGATTTTGTTCCTTGGAGATGAAGAGAACATCTCAAATCAAGGTGTTGAATTATCTCCATGTGGACACTGTTGTCTCCTGGTTAGTAATGTGACTGGAAAAAAATAAAAAGAACAGACTGCCTAGTCTCCAAATTCTTCCGTAACTACAGGTTAGTGGTTTGCAAGGAGGTCAAAGTTTATAAAAATGAGAGTAGAAAGCGTAGTAAAATTAGATTCCAAACAGAGATCTCACACCTCTTTTATTTTTCAAGGGCAAAAGATTAATCCTTGGGTTGCAGTTTTTTGTCCCGTAGTACTTATTCCCCAGAGTTTTTGTTGTTTTACAAATATAATAGCAGTTATAAAGACAATAGAGATGAAAAATCACACGATCCCAACTTTTCGACACATCATATAGTCTATTAGATCTTGTATGTGCTAATATTTGTGGATACATGAATGAGAATGATTATATAACTAGAACATAAGAAAAATTTATAATTTCCATCCTAACAATTATTCTACTATAATCATTTATGTGATACTATATATTCTTCATAATTTCTATTTAAAATAGCTCTTTGAATGAATATAGGATAATTTGCTTAGCCATTCCCATGTTGCTGACCTTTACTTTTACTTTTTCTCCAATTAAAAATCATGCTGTGTAGAGAGCTTCCTTCTACTTTTGAACAATTTCTTCATGAAAATTTTTCTTGGGTAAAATTACTGGGTCAAAAAGGCCCTTGGACATTCTAAACAGCAACAAAACAAATTTATTCCTTATTCTGGTATAGTCTTAGAATAAACTATGAGATGCTACAGGATTCAGTGAAATGGGAAAGAAGAGAAAGAGAGTTGGGCAACCAGAGATCAAAAGTGGAAACAGTGGCATTTGTTGGAGCAAAGCCATTGGTATCTCTACGCTCAGAATGAAGTCAAGGGGTGTTCCTATCTTTCACCTCTATAAATCGCCCCCAGTCTTCCACTGTCTCCCTTCCCTCATCTAACTGCTCAATATTAATCAGACACTTAGCTCTCCCCCTGTAGGACACCTAGATAGCTCTGCTCTGGACAAAGCTAAGAGGTAGGGAGCATGCACTGAGATCAGGCAGGAATTGCGCTAGAGTGGGAAGCATTGCTATTCTCGCTTTAGAGAAGGAGACATGGGCTGAGAAGCTAAGCGCCTTACCTGTATTTGAATAATGAAGAACTAGTGAAGCCAGGATCCAAACCTCAAAACTCATGTCTATTCTTTTGCAGTACACCCTTTTAATTGTATAATGTCGCCTGTACTTCATGCTTAGGACCAGAAAATTCCTAAGTGCCAGAAAGTTTTACAAGCTTATCTGTTGAAGAGTAGATTACATTCTTTGGTCTAAGAAGTTTAAATACCCTCCCTGCTTCACTCATACACACAAGTGCATACATCTTCCACTAGTGTAAACTTGCTATTTTATTTTTCAGTTTGAGGTGATCAAGGAATATCTGAATGTCTAATTCTATAAAGAATGTCCTGTGACTTATAAAACTTGTAACATGAAAGTCTGACCTTCTTGGAGGAACATATAGCTTGTCCTCCACAAGCCTGATGGACTGCTCAGTTTGGGCTGTGCTCCCTTCTACAGTGTCCATGTGAGGAAGCAGCTCCCTGTGGTTCTGTAGAATCAGAGCTGTTTGTCATACTGTAGTTACTTACGGCTCCTGGTGTTTTGAAAACACAAGACTCATCCTTTATTGAAAGTTGTTTGTTTTAAGTCTCTTCATTATTTTGCAGTTAAATCAGCTATTTTACATTAATTAAAAACCAAACTAACCAAAGACTGTAGTAGCATGTGGTACCTTCAACCTTGTATTGAACTCTCAGAAAGGTGAGAATGTCAAGAAGGGTTACTAATGAAGAGGATCAAAATATGCTAACCCAAAATATGCCACGTGGCATAGAGATGATTTTGAGCTGAAAACAATTGAGCAACAGCAGATGGAAAAAAAAGCCTCCCACCCGCTAACCCCAGCACGTTTGCGTAAAAGCAGGCTTAGACCCTTAATAACCCGAGATAACTCGACTCCTATCAGCTCAGAAATGACGCCAAGCAGAATCTATATAACAAATCTTACTGAAATAACTTGTATCTTTAATTACTTTTCCCCACATATTTATCTCCTCACAGTTTGTCACCCCAAAAAGCCTGATCCTCTTTTCCTCTGTCTTGTCACTTCCCTATACATTTATTGTTCTTTGTTAAGATGTTATAGAAGCTCAAGTCCCAAGCACCCTTTTGTCCCTTATCACTGGGTTCCTTCCCACGTGTTTGCATGCTGCCTCTGTAAATACATTTTTATGGGTTTGTCCTCTTTGTCTTTATTTTGTCCGTATAATTTGCCAGGTCCCAGGCAATGAACCTAAGTGGGTAGAAGAAAAAGTTTTTTTCCTCCCTAACTAGTATTCTGGAACAAACTTTGTAAACAGCTGTGATGTCTGAAAAAGAACTACCCACAGGCACCAATCAACCAGCTATAGCCAAGAAAAGTACTGCTGCAGATGCAGAAAATTTCATGGGTGGGACATAATACCAACCTAATAATTATCTCCTGGAAAATCCCACCAGCTGATAGCCAGATGATCAAGATGTTGTGTATTTGTGTATGTTGGGGTGGAGGCAAGGGAAGACAGTGTGTGATAAGAAGATTGAAAAGGAAAGATGAGGATAAAAATTTGTGTTCATTATATTATTTTCTGAATTCCTGAATGATGTTATCTCTCAAATGTACCAGAGCCCAAAGCTAGCTTATCATCATTATAATCATAATTAAATATGCACTAAGTCTTAAAGTACAGTCAAAATCAATGCCTCTCTGGACCCCATCAGTGTTTTGGTACAGCTCAGTCACTTGGACTCGTTTTTGCTTATTCAACCTATTTCGACAAACAGATTGCACTTCCACTACAGGAGTACAATCTTAAAAAAAGGCAGGTGTTATTTGATTTGTGTCTATCTGTTTCCCCCACCCTGTGCAAAAAAGAAAAAAATATAACTTGATCAGTATTTGAATCTAACCTGTCACTTCTAAATGTGCATATTGCTTAGAAGAGTCAGAGGGTACAGAAAGAAAAGGGAGAAGCAGGTGTCGAAGGATAAATAGTCAGGAAAAGATGCTAAGAGTAGAGCTGACTTATTCTTACTACCTGCATTTTAACTGAAGGAGTGAAACTAACAATAACGTATCTGTGATGTATCTATTTATGTGCTCTTTTAATTAAGTCTGGTCCTCCCCTGCCCCTTGGCTATTGGCTCCATGGGAATGGGAAGACCAGGCAAGCTTGGTTCACTGTTACTTTCTCAGAGCCACATCTTCCGCCTGGCATATCATAAACATACACACTCCATTAGTGTATGTTTGTTCAATGAATGGGTTTTGTATTAAATAAAACAACGTGAAAATGGGTAGAAAAAGCAGCCCAAGGTGTTAAGTTATTCTGCCCTGAGACATTCTTCAATGTTTCTTCAGACTATTTCTGTACCATCTGCACTGGTAGGAGAGAAAGGTCTGGGGAGCCCTCTCAGTATAATTTATTATATTTATGTAGCACCTATCACCTCGCTACTCTATCTAGGTCAGTGATTCCCAAAGTCTGTTTCGTAATGTGCCAGAATATCTCTGTGGGGCCATAACTTCTTAAAATATTCTCAAAATTAATTTTCATATCATTGAATTTTTAAGAAATAAACAGAGGCCATGAAGGGGAGGCATTATGAAAGCAAGAACACAATTCTAAACTACAACATTTCCTGGGAAGTTGGCAACCAGAGATCTGTATTTATTCCAAAGTATTTATGGATTTACTTATGAGTTCAATTTCTCAACAAATATTTATTAAATGTTTACTTTGTGTCAGATGATATACCAGGTATTTGATATAACGGTATGCAGCACCGAATCCTTACTCTCAAGTTGCTTGCTTAAAGGGCAATGTGATGAAGGGACAGTATGACGTGAAGCTCAAAGTTCAAATCCAGCATCCACTGGGTGCCAGCATGGGTGACAGAGGGTGCAGTATCCTATTTGTCTTACCTTTCCTGATGTCTGTATTCCTCATAACTGATACTACCTAAGGAAGCCTCTGCTATTTGAAACCCAGTATATCCTGAGCCTGACAGAACTTATCCTGTCTCATGCACTCACTTCCAAAGACTCTCAAATTGAGGTGAGCACTCCCAGCCAGCCTTCAATTCAGTACCTCTGTCTTCTGAGACTTTGTATATCCCATCATCAGGTACCTCTGAAACAAACTAAACAGGCTCATTGGTAAACCAATTTCCCCACTCATATACCTGAATCTTTTCTTAGCACACCTAGGTTAAAAACCTGAAAACATTTTTGACACTTTAGGATATTAGAAAGAACTTGATCCTGAGAATCATACAGACATGAGCTCAACGTGGTGCAGGTCTGTGCTCGTGTCCATCAAGTGGCATGACTCGACTCTTCTTCCACAAAAGGATAGTTGTTCTAACCACTGAGAATTGTTATGAGAATTAAATGAGGCAATAAGTAAGGCTCTTTAAAAAAATGCCAAGGACTGTGAAACTATGCAATAATCGTTCTTTAATCCATATAACTTAAGTCCTTATAATATTACAATTTCAACTCTAATCACTAAAGGCATTTGGACATTGGCATTGTTCTAAATATATTTTCGATATTCATTCATTTAAAAAATCATATTAGGATAATTAAAAGCATTTCGGGCCAGGTGCAGTGGCTCATGCATGTAATCCCAGCACTTTGGGAGGCCGAGGCAAGCAGATCACCTGAGCTCCGGAGTTTGAGACCAGCCTGACCAACATGAAGAAACCCCGTCTCTACTAAAAAAAACACAAAATTAGCTGGGCATGGTGGTGCATGCCTGTAATCCCAGCTACTCGGGAGGCTGAGGCAGGAGAATCACTTGAACCCGGGAGGTGGAGGTTGTGGTGAGCCAAGATTGCACCGTTGTACTCCAGCCTGGGCAACAAGAGCAAAACTCTGTCTCAAAAAAAAAAAAATTAAAAAATAAATAAAAGCATTTTCATAATTCAAAAATGACTTCCTTTAGTAAATGGTGTGAGATAATGATGTGATTTTCTATGCTGTGAATACCCAGTCAGTGACGTAACCGCAGTCGTATCCACATGGCTACTATTCCAATGGATCACTGCTCCGACACAAGAGTGGTCTTACTAGTTATTATTAAAGACTACATGTTTGTGTCTCTCCAAAATTCATATGTTGAAACCCTAAGCACCAATGAGATGGCTTTAGGAAGTGGGGCTTTTGAGAAGTGATGTGGTTTAGATAAATTCACGAAGATGGAGTTCCAGTGATGGTATTAGTCTTCTTTTAAGAAGTGAAAGAGGCTGAGAGGTCCCACCCTCAATCATGCAAGCACATAGCCAAAAGACAACTGTCTACAAGCCAGGAAGTGGCTCTTCACCAGACACCAGATCTGCTGGCACCGTGATCTTGGAGTTCCCAGACACCAGATATGCTGGCACCATGATCTTGGAGTTCCCAGCCTCTAGAACTAGGAGAAATAAATGCCTGCTATCTAAGCCACTCTATCTCTGGTATTTTTGGTATAGCGCTCCATGCCAACCAAGACACTACTAATGCAAAAGTTGTGATGGCTCATAGTCATATATTTTATATACTTTTTATAATATATATTATATGTACCCTAAAACTTGAAGTATAATAAAAATATATATATATTATATACTTATACGTTATATATAATGTACAAGTATTATATATAATGTACAAGTACTCTATATAATGTAATTATATACTCATTATATATAATGTATACATATATAATAATTCCTTCAAAATACTGAAGTACAATTATGCTATAACATTAAATGTTAAGACACCTAGTTCCATCCAAAACAGGTTGAGTCGGAATTCCAGGTAAATTACAATACGTCCTACTAAACATTTTCTCTAAATGTGTTCTTTGCCCACTTTTCCTTCTGCTTCCTTCTCAAATTCTTACGTATTCCCAAGATCAATGGAGTCATCTATGTGACTGATCAGATGATAGGGCCATGTTCCTAACAGGCAGGGTTCTGGTGCATGACAACGTCATGCTCGTGAATGGACTTCCTCTTTCACATTATGCTCAGGAACTGGTGAGCAGAGCCAAGGTCTTTTTCCTGGGTTCCCCCTTTCTCCCTGCTTGATAATGTTGGTTATTACTTCATTATTCAACCATACAGAAAATGGTAAATACTTGAGACTTAGGTTCAAAAGGAAGTAGACTGCACACCGCATACCAGCTCTACTAGATTAGCACTGGGATATGTTGGAAACTGGAACTGCCAGTGATAAAGAGGCATTTCCCATCCCATCCCCAATGTCAATATTTTCACACCTCCCTCAGAAACCCTCCAGGAAGGAAGGATTATGGGAAGGACATCTGATTAGATCAGAGCAGAAGATCTTTTTGCCTGAAAATATTTTTAGAAATTGCACAAAAGTAATTAGTAGGATCATGAAATTTTCTTTCCTAAAATACTTTTCAAAAAGAAATGACCCTTCCCATCTCCTTGATCAGATTAGAAGAATATAACTACTTCTCTTCCTGGAATCCAAAGGAAAAGCCAAACTTCTGTATTAGAATCCAGATTAAAACATGGATTAATCAAGCCTGCTGGTGTCACATTTTACACCACATTCCTCAGAACAGGGGGATGTCTTCCTGAGGTTAAATCATAATTGCTTTCCGCTGAGGTCTCCCTCCATGTTCATGTGAAAAGCAGCCTTAAAAGTTTCCCATTATATCACAGTAGCATCTACGTGACACACAGGGGCCAAAAATGTCTCTATTCATTTCTGTCTTGCCACAAACTCAGATCGCATTCTAGCAGACAAGACAGCATTAGAAGATTGTTCTCCCAGGCAGAAAGTCTTTCCAGGACAGTGGACCTTATACATAGCATAATGCTTTGTGTCATGCGTACCTACTCTAATCATCTCATGCTAAGTGATCCTTGGCATTTGTGTCTACCCTGGTCTAGATAGCAAAGCTTCGTTAGCCTATTCTGCCCACAGTTAGTATTCACTATGTTTTAAAATATATTATGGCTCATGCAAAGGTAGTAGACATAAACAAAGAATTTGAAGACAGAAAATACGTGCCTATGTTGCAACTCCTCGAAAGATTTTAGGCAAGCCACTGAACCACTCTGTGCCAATTCAGGGGGGACTCCTGGCCCATTTTTTATGCACTCGCTTGTCCATAAAGACAATCCATTGACCCCAGCTGAAGTTTTTCCAGCCATCACTGTCTCCCCCTCATTACTTTTGTTTTGAAACTTTTGCCTCCCAACTTTGAACTTTTAGGACATCATTCCAGTGTCCACCTCTCTTAAACTGGTTCTTTCTAGTATTTCAACTCAGCGCTTTCCTGAGGATATGGTCTTAGCTCATTTCAAACTTTGTCTCCACCTCTAGCCATGACCCATGCTAGCCAGGCTGCTGTAAGCATTGATACAGAGAGCCAAATTGAAGGTCTCAATACTCATCTGTTCGGAAGACCCTTTTGCCTGTTATTGAGGAAAGAACAGTGTGTAGGCATTGAGCATGTGTTATGCATTGACTAAAAGTTAGCCTGCATTAGGCACTGCCACGGAGAGCCATACGTGAGACTCCACTAGGAAATATACAGAGATGTAAGAACCCAAGACAATATATAAGCATGTGCAAAGTAATACAGTACAAAGGGAGCAAATAAATGCTGAGGGGACACCCAAAATATAAAGTGGGGGAATGCTTCAGAGAGCCAAGGTTATAAATACTCTCTAGAGGCCACAGTGGTGAAACTAAGTTTGAATCAACATTCACGAGCAAGCTCGAGGAAGTGAACGAGCTCCTAAATATTCGGGATATGGCAGAGCAGGCAGCTCATCAAGGAAGTGAACGAGCTCCTAAATATTCGGGATATAGCAGAGCAGGCAGCTCATCCAGGAACCACACCCCTGGGAGAAATGTCTTTCGGCAGGCTCACTGCTGCACCAGTCTTTTTCACGCTCTCACACTCACACAGCCACACACATCTTCTCACACACAGTAGACTTCATGGTCTGTGGCTGCATTTCAGTCACTGTCCTCCTACTTCCAGGGAGAGGAAGCTAGAGATGATTTCTTCAGAGCCATGCTGCTTCATGCCAAGGCTTCTGAACCTGTGGTTCAGCATGCCAGCCGCTTCTTTCCAACTACCCAAAAAGAGCCGTCTCATAAGACCATGTTCCATGAAACTCACCAGCACAAGTCTTCAGTGGAGACAAACTATAGTGTACAAACGATTAAAATACTGTTAATGATGATATCAAGGTACTTGAGGCTCTATCAGGGAAACTTTGAGAATGAGACATTACCAGAAGCTCTGGAGCCTTAAGCACTTGTCAGTTGATGTTTTGAAAAATTGCATTAGCTTTATCCAGCATCCATGTAACCTTTCTCCTCTCCCTTGCTCTGTTTCCCTGGCAACCATTTAAAAGTGCTGCAAAAGGCATTGCTGTCTTGCAAAAAAAAAAAAAAAAAAAAGAAAGAAAGAAAGAAAGAAAGAAAAAAAAAGGACAATGGTCTTAAGCTTTCTCTCTTTCTTGAGGGTTTTTCTCCATCTTCCCAACCACTTCCCTGGCTCTTGGAGGTGGTGCAGCCTCCAGAGCTATTTCACGTTGAATGTGTGAGCGCAGTGTAATTAAGGAGGCGGGTGTCAGGCCAGGTGGAAGCAGTGTCTATGAGACCCTGGTTAGGCATTCAGGGTCAACTAAAGGGCTCCATGACTGGGATAGAGTGGCACTCAGAGCAGAAACATAGCAATAGAAGCTTTCAGAAAGGATCCTCCTGCCTCCCAGCCTCTAAGAGATGGGCCTGCATAGCGGGCAGGAACACTGGTGCCAACTGCCACTCCAAGGGAGCCACTCCTGAGATGGCAGATGAGGAAGCTCTGTCCCTGGGGACAGCTGGACAGGCCCAGCAGGGCTCTGCTCTGAGCAGCTGTGGAGGCCCAGCACCTCCAGTTTTGCCCTCCCCAAGCTCTTCACAAAGTTGTTGTTTTTTTTTTTTTTAACTAACAGAAAATTCCCTTGTCTCACCAATCCCAAATTTCCTGGCTCCAGGAAACAGACAAGGAGAGAAGTGATGTTTCACACTCAGGACAGAGCCACTGCTAACAACAGACAGAACTTGAGGCTTTTGTCACCATTCTTTGAACTGTTTGTAAAAGACCTCTGGTTATTTTTGTTTTTATTTTGTTTGTTTGTTTGTTGTTTGTTTTAACAAAAAGAAGGGAAAATATGGAACACCACCCTAGCCAAGTGCCATGTCACAGGACTTACACAAGCATCTCATTTATTCTCCCACAAAGCTCTGTGAGGAGACACCACTCTCATCGGCGTTTATACCCACTCCTCCCCCCACCTCTGTGTCTCAGGGGTAAGGTGTTTGCTCAGGGTCACTCAGCATCTCAGAGCTGGTTTCTGACTCAGGTCTGTCTAATCCCACCTATTATTTCCACTGCTGCCTCCCCGGCCTCACCCACGAGACAGTCAGAGGTCGGGATTAGGTTTTTCCTGCAAAATGGATTCAGACCAGCCTTTTGTAACTCACTCATCTCAGTGATACTGATCTGAAAAAGGGGGTCCTACAGGACCTCCTCTGGCAGGTATGATTTCATAACGTAGCATCACAGAGGTGGGTTTTTGTCATTTTTGACTCCCGGGTAGGTATTAAGGACTTCCAGGTGCTTGGCACTCTGAGAACTGAAGAGAAAAGCATGAGATAAAGAGCTGTCCTTCAAGGGCAAGAGTGGCTCAAGCCCTGTGGTAAGAGCAAGGCTTGCGAGGCTTCCCAGAGCTGAGAACGAGGACCTGCTCTGCTGCTTGCTGACTGTGTGGCCTTGAGCAAGTTCTCTAAGCCTCAGTTTTCCTACCTGTAAAATGGTAACAACATTAAGTCCTACCTCAGATTACTACAAGGATCAAATGAGATGATGTGAGCAAGATGCATGTAGGGTAATAATAGTAACTAGAATTACTATTATTAGTTGATTTTATAATTATAGTGATAATAATTAAATAGAAGGGTAAAACAGATTATGACAAAGTTCCAAAGTGAAAGACTTATTTTTAAGGACTATTAGCAACCAAAGAGATAACTAGGAGCTGGCATTCAGGAAAAATCAATACAGGAATTGAATTTGGCCTAGGGTTTTCAGAGGCAGAAAAGCAGCTAAGAGGTATTATAGGAAGCAGTGAAAGTCATGAACAACCGTGTAAAATTGGGAATAAGTAGGCTCAGGTGAAGCACAGTGACAAAGAAGAGTGGCAGATTCTTTTGGGACCATGAAAAAGGAAACAGATGTGAACGAAAGATGGACCTGGTTCTGGAAGACCTTAAAGTTGGCCTTGTTCTCAAGATCATTGCAGCTTTTTGTCAAATAGGATCCCAACACAGAGAAATTTTGGTGACTCCAGGAACTGGAGGAATCACTTCCAGTACCAGCCAACCTTGCAACCAAAAGGGGCCCACTGGGAGACGGCATCGTGAAGTGAAATCAGCCCAGAGCCTCTTCCTCAGTCCTCAGACACTGCGATTGACTGCATCTTTTACTCAGTGACTCCGGTGAAAGAGCAACAGAACCTCAGAAGACGGAACTCAGAAGGGAGAAGTTTATATTAGACAATGACATCAACCTAAATAAGAAAGAGTTGCTGGTTTTGTTGAGAAGAAATTACAGATTCCAGGCAAGTTAATGGCAGATGCAATATGCTGTTTTGGCGACGTAGTGTATATATACTTAGAGATGGGGGAGCGGGTCTCACTATGTTGTCCAGGCTGGCCTCGAACTGCTGAGCTCAAGCCATCCTCCTGCCTCACCTGGCTTCATAATATTTTAACGGATTGAGTAAGCAAGTGCTTAAAAGAGTTTGTGTCATCCTACACCAAATCCTGATCTTACTCCAATAGATTCTTTTATTTTAGCCATTCTATTATGTTATTTTATCCTCCAGCTGCTTGTCTTTTTTTTTTTTTTTTAGAGAAAAATAGGTTGAAAGCAAAAGTGAGCCTGAGATTATTCAATATTGATTCTTCCGAAAAGTTATCATAACAGATTGGTTTTAGGATGGGTTTGATACTTGAGGGGATTTGTTAAGACACTAAAACACGAACTAGCACAAGTTTTGGAAGCCAGTTGATTTCATTTAGCCATATCGACCCTGCTTCCTGCTGGGTTTATGGAATCCTGTTTGGTTCACTGCATCTTCCTCTCTTTCTACACTCTCACTCATTCACAGATATGTATCGAATGCCCGCTTTCTGTAAGCTCCTGTTCTAGGGGCTAGAGACACAGCCGTGACTACAAAAGAGTGCCCAGCATCATGCAGCTTATCTTCTAGTGGGAGAGTTAGATTTAAAAATCAAAACCAAATAGAACCACGTTGATGTTGTTCTCAAGAAAAGTAACGTAGGAAAATAGAATAGAGAGTGAAGCAAGGAGCCTGAGTGTGGCCTGTGCTTGGACAGAAGCAAAGCCTGGGGAGGCTGGAAGGTGAGCGCTGGCTGGAGAGGAAGGAGAGAGCGGTGCGAGGGAGGGGCCTGCAGGGGGGCAGCCTGTTCATAGAGCCTTAGCTTTGACTCTGAAGAAGACGGAAAGGCATTGGAGGATGGCGAGCGGAGAAGAAACACAAGCTGCCCTAGGTCCTAACAAGATTGCTCTTCCTGTTCTGCGGAGAGGATCTGTGCTGGAGGGGATGTGAGTGAAAGACCAGATGGGAGGTGAGCACAGCTTCAGGAGAGAGACTGTGTGAACTTCCACAGGGCGGCTGAGGTGAAGGAGCTCCATGTGCAGATTCTGGATATATTTTTAAGGTAGAATTGGTGGGACATGTTGATGTGTTAAATATTGAGTGTTTTATGGATTGAATGTTTGTGCCTTCTCCTCCCTAAAAAAATCCTCTATACTGAAATCCCAATACACACTGTGATGTTTCTAGGAGGGGGTTGCTTTGAGAAGTGATCAGGCTATGAGGGTGGAGCCCTCATGAATGGGACCTGTGTCCTTATAAAAGAGACCCCAGACAGCTCTCTCTTTCCACCATGTGAGGTTATAACGAGAAGATAGCTGTCAGTGCCCAGAAGCAAGCCCTCACTATGCTGGCACCCTGATAGTGGACTTCCAGCTTCCAGGGCTGTGAGAAATAAGTTCTTATTGTTTTATTAGCCACTCAGGCTATGGCACTTTCTTACAGTAGCAGGAACAAACTATGACAGGCTGTAAGATATAAAAGGAAAGTCAAAGATAAAACTAGGAATTTTGGCCTAAGCAACAAGAAGAATGAACTTGTCATCCAAGACGATAGGAAAGACTGAAGGAGGAAAAGGTTGGCAGGGAGTTTGAGTGGGTGGTAGAGGTATGACAATCTAGAGACCCTGGAGGTTAGTTTTTGACAAGTTAAGTTTGGAAAACCTGTTAGACATTCAAACAGAGATGTCATGTAGGCAGTTGAATGCACAAGTTTGGATTTCAGGAGATTGTTCAGGGCTAAATGTATATTTGTGGTTGTCCTCAGCATATATATGGTATTAAAATATCCTGAAGCTGGATGAGGCCACCCAGGGGTACAGTAAAGACAGAGAACTAAGAGATTCAGAACTGAGCTCTGAGAAATCCGGTATTTAGGTATTGGACGATGAGAATTCAGCGAAATAAAAATATTAGGGAAAAATGCAGGGATTGTGGTAGATGCCCCTGGGTCCAAGTGAAGAAACAGTTTTTAAAAAGGATAGTGAAACCTACTTTAACCATTGAATTTGTTTATTTATTTATTTATTTGTATTTATTTATTTATTTTTATGTGGAGACAGAGTCTCACTCTTGCCCAGGCTGGAGTGCCATGGTGCGATCTCAGCTCACTGTAACCTCTGCCTCCAGGGTTCAAGTGATTCTCCTGCCTCAGCCTCCCGAGTAGCTGGGATTACAGGTGCCTGCCACCATGCCTGGTTAATTTTTGTATTTTTAGTAAAGACGGGGTTTTGCCCCAACACTTTGGCAAGCCGAGGTGGGCAGATCACCTGAGGTCAGGGGTTCAAGACCAGCCTAACCATTGAATGTATTATGGTAGAAGTCATCAGTGTCATTGTTAAGGGAATTTTGGTAAAATAATAGATATGTGTCATGGACTAAATACTTATATTTTCTAAAATTTATATATTGAAAACTTAACCACCAATGGGCTGGAATGGAAGTAAATTATATAATATAAAGCTATTAGCATGTGTATGTCTGCTGATAGAAATAGTCCAATAGAAAAAGACAGCTGAGGAAGTAGGAAGGGACAACCACAGGAGGCAGGAAACAGGATCCAGAGCACAGGTGGAGGCTCAATCTATACAAACCAAGGTGGCTGTCCATTCCAAATAAAGGAAGGAAACATACTTGTCTTGGTAGGTATGGTGGCATGGGTGCGTGCACACTCTCTTTTGATGGCAACCACATTCTTAGCAAAATAGCAGCAAGTCAAGAACGAGGAGAGACAGGAAAGATAGGAGATCTGAAGATCATTTTATTGAATTTTGCTTATGCATACATAACTATTTGTCTAGCAATGGATTTGAATATTCTGTACAAATCCACGTACGATATTTTAATGAAAAAAGAAAATAAGAGATGATAACCTACTGAAACAAAAATCCTGACCTACTGACAAATACTTGCCTTGGCAATACAGAACATTCTTTGTAAAGAAAACCTTTTTTTTTTTTTGAGACAGAGTCTCACTCTGTCGCCCAGGCTGGTGTGCAATGTGTGCAATGGCATTTACCCCACCCTTCCACCAAAGGCATTCCAGGTCTGCCTTCTGGGTATTAACACGGTATATTTTCTATGTTTCTGAATGGATAATCTACATTAATTTTATGGGTAACATAATCTACCCAGAGGCTGCAGCAACTCACAAGTTGTTCGGAGGATAGAAGATAAAATATTATCAAGTGGTGTCTCTTCAAAATGTGATCATGAACAAACCGGAACAAGAACAGGTTTGTTCAAGATCAAGAACAAAAGCTGATCATGGCTAAGTCTCTCATTTGGGTCAAAATCCAACCTCCCCTGTCCCTTTCTTTACCAAACACAGTTCCTCTATCTTCCATCATTCTATATCTCCTTATTTTATTCTTTGTGGCCTCTGGCTGTATTTTTGGTTTACTCCTTTCCTGCCCGGGGTGTCCACTCCTCCAGCGGTGGTGAGACTCTGCTCCTGAGATGCTCTGAATGCTTCTAAGTCTCTCTAAACACTGCCACCAGCCCCAGATCCATCTACAGCAGGGTGCTGCAGTGTGGGTGAGAGTCAGAAACTTGATTATAAGTGCTTAGAGACCACTAGATAAAATCCACAAACCTTGAGGAGATTTCAGTCAAATACTAAATTCATTGTCTTTGTACTGGTGGACCAGAGGCAGAGGATCTGCATATGGTAAGAGTCTCCATTTACTTAGCACCTTTTTGTTGTTTTTAGTCCAGGAAAGCATTTTACATCAGTGATCTCATGTAATCTTCACTCCAATTTCAAGAAATAGGAATTATTAGCCCCATTTTCCAAATGAGGAAACTGAAATTCTGAGAACTTGGCCAAGGTCAGGGAGCTATTGAGTGGCAGAACTGGAATTTAACCAAGTTCCGTCGGCATCCAAAGCCCTATGCTCATAATCACAGCTTATTTTCTGCATCTATGAGACCTCCACTGAACTGCTGTTTATTCAGGCTATGTGTGTGAAAGAAAAGTGCCAGTCAATACTTGAATTGCTTAAGGTGGAGAGTCCACCATTTCTGTTTCTCAGCACATGTGCTTATAACTGTTAGTGAGGAGAAACCAGTCTTCACAAAAGCAAAGCCCAATAACACTATCTCTGCATTTCAGTGGGCAGATTGGGAATTAGACACATGGTCTAATCAACCCACATGCACACACAGTATTTAAAAGGCATGCGATACTACAGAACAATGCTTCTCTAGAGACAGGATGTTGGCAACAAACAAGATGCTAAATAGTTGAACCAAAGGACCCACAGACACAAAAGCAGGCTTGGGTGTGATCAAGCATGACATGTGCATGGGGAGGAGTGTTTTTGTGCAGTTTGGATGATAGATTGGTTGTGCTAATTAATTGTGTATTTTGAAGTTTGTTGCCACTTCACACCAAGCATCCCCTTAAAATAAATAAAAAAAAAAAATTAAAAGAGAGAGAGAGAGAAGCAAAACAAAAAACCTAATCTAATATTCAACAAACATTCTGCACCCAAACAGCACATCTTTGTCTGAAACCTTAGTTCCAGGAACCACTTACAGGCTTTCATCAACACATTATAATATTAATCAAGACTCATAATGCAGAGTGATTTGCATGCCAACAAATATATTTACACTGTAAATTGTTTGTTGAGGAGCCTTGGAGAGAAATGCAATTCACTGCCATAGAACTGAATCATAAGGAAAATCCCCCACTAAAATCCAGAGAAAATAAAGAATCTGTAGAAGTTGATCCTCTAGAGCCTTGAGTAAAAGATTTGTTAGCATGCCATCCAAATCCTTACAAAGAATTTAGCTCCCAACCTACTCAATGTTGTTTTTTTTTTTTAATTAGTTTCACTATAAGTTTGGATGGCCTTTTCTCTTTCTCCTTTTACTGGCATAGCTTTTAGAATTGGTGCCACAATTACAGCTTTAACTGGGAGAAGATAGATTGAAGGATAGATAGATGATATATAAAAGACAGGCCTCCTTCCTGATAAGCGCCTGAGGAATTTTAGGTCTCTCAGTTGGCTCTTGTTGAGTCCACCTTCTAAACAATTTGTCCACTTCTTCATTCCCATCTCCACTATTGTAATCATAGCCACTAATCTTATCCTTCCTGGATTACTGCAATAGCTGCCTTACTGGCTCTTTACATCCAATCTTGATTTGTTTTTTTTGGTGTAATAATTTATAGCACCCAAATTCAGTATAGTTGATAGGAGATGAGTTTGTGTGATAAATTCCATGGTCACCTTCCTCAGGAGGCTTTGCACTCTGGCCCCACAAGCCCTCCATTCACTACTCCCCCTCCCTATCTGACTTTCTGACATCACTCACAGAGGCCATACTCCTTCCTGGCTCCCAGTCTATCTTAGAGACCCTACTGATACATTCTCCCAGCACTCTGTACTTCCATTTCAGAGCACTTATCCCAGTAAGCAATTAAATAATAATTTAATTCATTTAATTTGAAGTGTATCTCCCTCATTCTGATTCATTTTCATAATGTATTCCTGAATTATGAGAGTTGCGAAGTCCAAGAACAATATACTAGGAGAGTGCTGATGAAAATATAATTGTCTTCCTTTATTTTGGCAAATATAAATTTAGTGTCCATTGTATGCAAGTACTGTTTAGCTAGTTAGCCAGCTAGCTGGCTACATACCTACATACATACATATCTGGATCTAAATCTAAATCTAAATAGATGTGTACCCATTATTGCACATATATAGATAGATATGGATAATAGGTAGACAGACAGATAATAGACAGACTTACATATACATATCTGCCTGTCAATCTGCATAGTGCAGTGATGGGTATACATAGGAACTGTGGGTCTCAGTTGAGGAAGAGGTCATTTCAGGTGGTAAGATCAGTGAAAACTTCCTCTGGAGGAAGTGAAACTGGAAAGAGGACTCAAATAATCTATTGTTTAACCACCAGCCCATCAAGATTATTTCCACTGAGCCAAAATATATTACAGGCACAATGGGGGAAAATGATCCTTTAGCTCCCAGGTGTCTTTGGTTTTGCATTTACCTCTCTCTTCCTGGGATCTGTTACCATCATGCACATCAACTTTAATTTTATCTCCTAGCAGGCAAAGAAAGAGGCATGTTAAGTGGTAAGTGGAAAGAAGACCTAGTCAGAGTTACAACCAACTTCTGCATATGCATTCAACCAGCAGGCATCCATTAAGGTCTACTGTGCCTGGGCTGAGAGTGCCAGCTCCACTAAGGGAAGGGAAGCCAGCAGGGTGCAGCTGCAGGGCACAGAGCAGGTAGAAAGTCAGCCCTTCAGCATCAGCCTCCAACAGTAAGAGGTGTTTCAGAAGCCACAAAGACTAATAAGGTACTGCTCTTGTATTTAAGCGACTTACTCCATGATATGGTTTGGCTGTGTCCCCACCCAAATCTCATCTTGAATTCTGATGTGTTGTGGAGGGACCCGATGGGAGTTTATTGAATCATGGGGATAAGTCTTTCCTGTGCTATTCTCATGATAATGAATAAGTCTCACAAGATCTGACGGTTTTTAAAAGAGGAGCTCCCCTGCAGAAGCTCTCTCTCTCTTTGCTTGCTGCCATCTATGTAAGATGTGACTTGCTCTTACTTACCTTCCACCATGATTGTGAGGCTTCCCAGCCACATGGAACTGTAAGTCCAATTAAACATCTTTTTTTTTAATTGCCCAGTCTCAGATACATCTTTATCAGCAGAATGAAAACAGACTAATACATTCCATCACAAAGAAACAGCCTAAAGAAGTAGGCACCATGTCACATAATGAGAACTGGGAGATTCTCCTGAGAAAGAGGATAAGGGGTGATAGGGGGACCACAGAGTAAGTGACTAAGGGAGGGGCAGGCTCAGAAATGGCTTCAAAATTAATGTGACCATGAGCTGAGTTTGGAATGTCAGTGGCTGTCAGAGTGATGCTAGAAAGGGTGATGTGCTGGGTGAAAGGAAGACCTCAAGCAAAGACATTGGAAATGACTTGGCTAGTTTCTGGAAATCAAGCAGTTCAGAATAAGGAAGTTCAACTAAAGATTCATCCACAGTGTTCTAGGGGTGGGATGCATGGGAGGGAAAGAAATCTGCTGAAGAAGTGGGGCTGAAGACCAAGCCTTGACAAGCTTTGTACCACACTAATGTGTATTCGAAAGTTTCCTTACAGACAAATGTATGTTTAGAAAATTTGTAATTAAAAACTCAAATATATAGAAAATTTGAAATCAGTGTAAGATTGAACCATAGAAAACTACTGTTTTTAGGTCAAAATGGTCTAATATTGACAATTTCCTATGGTTCAACCTAAATATAAGAAAGACTCCTGTATCTTCATGTAGATTGAGCAATTGCTAATATTTTGCCATATTTGCTTCATCTTTCTTCTTGCAATATTTTAAAGTTAATTACACCCACTATGGCATCTCTTTCATAAATATTTAATATATACCTTTACAAATTATATATGTTTCTACAGAAACACAATATGGTCCTCATGCTTAATATAATCAACAAACATTCCTTTACATCACCCAATACTCAGCTGACAGATATTCAAATTTCTCCAGTTTTTTAAAACATGTATTTTACACCTGATTTATTCAAACTTGGATCCTATCAAGAACCATATATTGCACGTGGTTGCTATATTTCTTACATAAAAGATGTCTTTAAAAGAGTAGTTGCAGGCAAAGCCATTCGGGCTATGTTTTACCTATAAAATTATGACCTTAATATATTCTAAGTGAAAAAATAATTTGTGTGGTTCATGGATTCATTTCTGTAATAAGAATCATATATAGTCAAAGTCTGCTCATATTTTTAGTTAGGTAAACTGAGGTATGGAACGGTTACTTGCTTTGCTATAGCTCACACAGTTTGTCATTAATATGTCACCATTTTATAAGTCCTTTACAGTCAAAATAA
Organism: Homo sapiens; assembly: GCF_000001405.40. NCBI lineage: Eukaryota > Metazoa > Chordata > Mammalia > Primates > Hominidae > Homo > Homo sapiens. Next base: position 132,755,775 of record NC_000011.10, read on the forward strand.
AGCCACAACCACCAACAAAGCAACAACACAGGTATATATTACTGAGTTACAGTTTTCTACACATCTCCAGAGTGTGGCTAATGCTGGTGAGGAGCACACCACCCCTTGACAAGAGTGATGTGGCCTCGGAACAGGTGTGCCACACAGCAAGTGGCTGACAGCTTATCTTGCAAAAGGAAGTCTGTCCAGCTGCTAGGAAAATGCAGGAAACACCATGTCCCCTGTCTACTCTGTCCTCAGGATCATAGAAATGGGCTGTAAGAAACCCTGCTAGGGGCAGCCTACTTGCAGTCAGTTGCTGTGCTCCAAACTCAACTCATGACCTCCTGACCAGGGTGGTGACGGCTGTGCAGTTGAATCATGAGTTGTATAAGTCAATTAAATGCATGTTATAAGAGTACTAATTTTATGTATACGCCTACAAGAGGGTGTGCCTTCTTCCCGAGTTCTTGAAATACTCGGATGCTAGTGATGCTCCCAACACTAAACACTCTGAGTAGAATCATTAGTGGGGCACCAAGGGAGAAGTGATTAGAAGATGAGAAATAACTGAAGACGTGGAACTAAGAGATGGTATTTCTGAATGCTAAGGTAACAGGGTTTCTTGGCAGCAAAAACAAACAGAGACATATGATGAGCATGTAAATTATCAGGCGTACATTTCCTTTCATAATACATTGTCAAAATCATCATCATCAACATCTTTGCCATGTTGCTCCTAGGTGCGACTGTGTTAACATTTAGCACTAAGGAGAGCTCCTAAAAGAGTAACTCATTTACTTCATAACCTGTTTATTGTGTTTCATGCATATAATATTGTGTTTGGTAGCATGAGAAATATAATGATAAACATATTTATGGCTCATGTAGAAATCAAAACTATACCTCCGAAATGAGGCTCCAAAATATTGGAAATTGGCTAAGTAACTTCTATGTTAATTAACTCGAATATAATTTATAGAATGCCGTACTAAGAACCAGAATCTGTTCAAGGTCTTCTTTTTTCTTTTTCTTTTTTTATTATACTTTAAGTTCTGGGATACATGTGCAGAACGTGCAGGTTTGTTACATAGGCAAACATGTGCCATGGTGGTTTGCTGCACCCATCAACCCATCATCTACATTGGGTATTTCTCCTAATGCTATTCCTACCCTTGCTCCCCACCCCCTGACAGGCCCTGATGTGTGATGTTCCCCTCCCATATGTTCTCATTGTTCATATGTGCCCATATGTTCTCATTGTTCAACTCCCACTTATGAGTGAGAACATGCGGTGTTTGGTTTTCTGTTCCTGTGTTAGTTTGCTGAGAATAATGGTTTCCAGCTTCATCCATGTCCCTCCAAAGGACATGAACTCATCCTTTTTCATGGCTACATAGTATTCCATGGTGCATATGTGCCACATGTTCTTTATCCAGTCTATCATTGATGGGCATTTGGGTTGGTTCCAACTCTTTGCTATTGTGAACAGTGCTACAATAAACATATGTGTGCATGTGTCTTTATAGTAGAATGATACATAATACTTTGGGTATATACCCAGTAATTGGATTGCTGGGTCAAATGGTACTTCTGGTTCTAGATCCTTGAGGAATCACCACACTGCCTTCCACAATGGCTGAACTAATTTACAGTCCCACCAACATTGTAAAAGCGTTCCTATTTCTCCACATCCTCTCCAGCATCCGTTGTTTCCTGACTTTTTAATGATTGCCATTCTAACTGGTGTGAGATGGTATCTCATTGTGGTTTTGATTTGCGTTTCTCTAATGACCAGTGATGATGAGCTTTTTTTCATATGTTTTTTAGCCGCATAAATGTCTTCTTTTGAGAAGTGTCTGTTCATATCCTTTGCCCACTTTTTGATGTTGTTGTTTTTTTCTTGTAAAATTGTTTAAGTTCCTTGTAGATTCGGGATATTAGCCTGTTGTCAGATAAATAGATTGCAAAAATTTTCTCCCATTCTGTAGGTTGCCTGTTCACTCTGATGACAGTTTCTTTTGCTGTGCAGAAACTCTTTAGTTTAATTAGATTCCATTTGTCAATTTTGACTTTTGTTGCCACTGCTTTTGGTGTTTTAGTCATGAAGTCTTTGTCCATGCCTATGTCCTGAATGGTATTGCCTAGTTTTTCTTCTAGGTTTTTTTATGGTTTTAGTTCTTACATTTGAGTCTTTAATTCGTCTTGAGTTAATCTTTGTATAAGGTATAAAGAAGGAGTCCAGTTTCAATTTTCTGCATATGGCTAGCCAGTTTTCCCAACACCATTTATTAAATAGGGAATCCTTTCCCCATTGCTTGTTTTTGTCAGGTTTGTCAAAGATCAGATGGTTATGGCTGTGTGGTGTTATTTCTGAGGGCTCTGTTCTGTTCTGTTCCATTGGTCTATATATCTGTTTTGGTGCCAGTACCATGCTATTTTGGTTACTGTAGCCTTCTAGTATAGTTTGAAGTCAGGTAACGTGATGCCTCCAACTTTGTTCTTTTTGCTTAGGATTGTCTTGGCTGTACGGCCTCTTCTTTGGTTCCATATGAAATTTAAAGTAGTTTTTTCTAATTCTGTGAAGAAAGTCAATGGTAGCTTAAGGAGAATAGTATTGAATCTATAAATTACTTTGGGCAGTATGGCCATTTTCACAATATTGATTCTTCCTATCCATGAGCATGGAATGATTTTCCGTTTGTGTCCTCTCTTATTTCCTTGAGCAGTGGTTTGTAGTTCTTCTTGAAGAAGTCCTTCATATCCCCTGTAAGTTGGATTCCTAGGTATTTTATTCTCTTTGTAGCTATTGTGAATGGGAGTTCACTCGTGATTTGGCTCTCTGTTTATCTGTTATTGGTGTATAGGAATGCTTGTGGTTTTTGCACATTGATTTTGTATCCTGAGACTTTGCTGAAGTTGCTTATCAGCTTAAGGAGTTTTTGGGCTTAAACAATGGTGTTTTCTAAATACACAATCATGTCATCTGCAAACGGAGACATTTTGACTTCTTCTCTTCCTATTTGAATACCCTTTATTTCTTGCTCTTGCCTGATTGTCCTGGCCAGAACTTCCAATACTATGTTAAATAGGAGTGATGAGAGAGGGCATCCTTGTCTTGTGCCAGTTTTCAAAGGGAATGTTTCCATCTTTTGCCCATTCAGTATGATATTGGTTGTGGGTTTGTCATAAACCGCTTTTATTATTTTGAGATACACTTCATCAATACCTAGTTTATTGAGTGTTTTTAGCATGAAAGGGGGTTGAATTTTGTCAAAGGCCTTTTCTGCATCTATTGAAATAATCATGTGGTTTTGTCATTGGTTCTGTTTATGTGATGGGTTACATTTATTGATTTGTGTATGTTGAACCAGCCTTGCATACCAGGGATGAAACCGACTTGATCATGGTGGGTAAGCTTTTTGATGTGCTGCTGGATTCAGTTTGCCAGTATTTTATTGAGGATTTTCGCATCGATGTTCATCAGGGATATTGGCCTGAAATTTTCTTTTTTTGTTGCGTCTCTGCCAGGTTTTGGTATCAGGATGATGCTGGCCTCATAAAATGAGTTAGTGAGGAGTCTCTCTTTTTCTATTGTTTGGAATAGTTTTAGAAGAAATTGTACCAGCTCCTCTTTGCACCTCTGGTAGAATTTGGCTGATAATCTGTCTGGTCCTGGGCTTTTTTTGGTTAGTAGGCTATTAATTAGTGTCTCAATTTCAGAACTTGTTATTGGCCTATTCAGGGATTTGATTACTTCCGGGATTAGTCTTGGGAGGGTGTATGTGTCCAAGAATTTATCCATTTCTTCTAGATTTTCTAGTTTATTTGTGTAGAGGTGTTTATAATATTTTCTGATGGTAGTTTGTGTTTCTTTGGGATCAGTGGTGATATCCCCTTTATCATTTTTATTGTCTTTTTGATTCTTCTCTCTTTTCTTCCTTATTAGTCTGGCTAGCAATCTATCTATTTTGTTAATCTTTTCTAAAAGGCAGTTCCTGGATTCATTGATTTTTTGAAGGGTTTTTCGTGTCTCTATTTTCTTCAGTTCTACTCTGATCTTAGTCATTTCTTGCCTTCTGCTAGCTTTGGAATTTGTTTGCTCTTGCTTCCCTAGTTCTTTTAATTGTGATATGAGGGTGCCAATTTTAGATCTTTCCCGCTTTCTCATGTGGGAATTTAATGCTATAAATTTCCCTCTAAACACTGCTTTAGCTGTGTCCCAGAGATTCTGGTATCTTGTGTCTTTGTTCTCATTGGTTTCAAAGAACTTACTTATTTCTTCCTTAATTTTTTTATCTACCCAGTAGTCATTCAGGAGCAGGTTGTTCAGTTTCTATGTAGTTGTGCAGTTTTGAGTGAGTTTCTTAATCCTGAGTTCTAATTTGATTGCACTGTGGTCTGAGAGACTGTTGATTATGATTTCCATTCTTTCACATTTGCTGAGGAGTGTTTTACTTCCAATTATGAGGTGAATTTTAGAAGAAGTGCTATGTGGTGCTGAGAAGAATGTATATTCTGTTGATTTGGGGTGGAGAGTTCTATAGATGTCTATGAGGTCCACTTAGTCCAGAGCTGAGTTCAAGTCCTGAATATTTTTGTTAATTTTCTGTCTCATTGATCTGTCTAATATTGACAGTCGAGTGTTAAAGTCTCCCCCTCTTATTGTGTGGGAGTCTGAGTCTCTTTGGAGGTCTCTAAGAACTTGCTTTATTAATTTGAGTGCTCCTGTATTGGGTGCATATATATTTAGGATAGTTAGCTCTTCTTGTTGCATTGATTCCTTTACCATTATGTAATGCCCTTCTTTTTTTTTTTTTTTATCTTTGTTGGTTTAAAGTCTTTTTTATCAGAGACTAGGATTGCAACATTTGCTTTTTTTTTTCTTTTCATTTTCTTGGCGATATTCCTCCATCCCTATATTTTGAGCCTATGTGTGTCTTTGCACGTGAGTTGGGTCTCTTGAATACAGCACACTGATGGGTCTTGACTCTATCCAATTTGCCAGTCTGTGTCTTTTAATTGGGGCATTTATCCTGTTTACATTTAAGATTAATATTGTTATGTGTGAATTTGATCCTGTCATTATGATGCTAACTGGTTATTTTGCCCATTAGTTGATGCAGTTTCTTTACAGTGTCGATGGCCTTTATATTTTGGTATGTTTGTGCAGTGGCTGGTACCAGTTTTTCCTTTCCATATTTAGTGCTTCCTTCAGGAGCTCTTGTAAGGCAGGCCTGGTGGTGACAAAATCCCTAGCATTTGCTTGTCTGTAAAGGATTTTATTTGTCCTTTGCTTATGAAGCTTAGTTTGGTGGGATATGAAATTCTGGGTTGAAAATTCTTTTCTTTAAGAATGTTGAATATTGGCCCCCACTCTCTTCTGGCTTGTAGGGTTTCTCCAGAGAGATCTGCTGTTAGTCTGATGAGCTTCCCTTTGTGAGTAACCTGGCCTTTCTCTCTGGCTGCGCTTAACTTTTTTTTTTTTTTTTTTTCATTTCAACCTTGGTAAATCTGGTGATTATGTGTCTTAGGGTTGCTCTCCTCAAGGAGTATCTTTGTGGTGTTCTCTGTATTTCCTTAATGTGAATGTTGGCCTGTCTTGCTAGGTTGGGGAAGTTCTACTGGATGATATCACGAAGTGTGTTTTCCAACTTGGTTCCATTTTCCCCGTCAGTTTCATATACACCTATCAAACGTAGGTTTACTGTTTTCACATAGTCCCTTATTTCTTGGAGGCTTTGTTCATTCCTTTTTATTCTTTTTTCTCTAATCTTGTCTTAACGCTTTATTTCATTAAGTTGATCTTTGGTCTCTGATATCTTTTCTTCTGCTTGATCGATTCAGCTATCGATACTTGTGTATGCTTCACGAAGTTCTCGTACTGTGTTTTTCGGCTCCATCACATCATTTATCTTCTTCTCTTAACTGGTTATTCTAGTTAGCAGTTCCCGTAACCTTTTATCAAGGTTCTTAGCTTCCTTGCATTGGGTTAGAACATGCTCCTTTAGCTCGGAAGAGTTTGTTATTACCCACCTTCTGAAGCCTACTTCTGTCAATTGATCAAACTCATTCTCCATCCAGTTTTGTTCCATTGCTGGTGAGGAGTTGTGGGCCTTTGGAGGAGAAGAGGCATTCTGGTTTTTGGAATATTCAGCCTTTTTGCACTGGTTTTTCCTCATCTTCATGGATTTATCTACCTCTGGTCTTTGATGTTGGTGACCTTTGGATGGGTTTTTGCGTGGGTGTCTTTTTTGTTGATGTTGATGCTCTCGCTTTCTGTTTGTTAGTTTTCCTTCTAACAGTCAGGCCCCTCTTCTGCAGGTCTGCTGGAGTTTGCTGGAGGTCCACTCCAGACCCTGTTTCCCTGGGTATCATCAGCGGGAGCTGCAGAACAGCGAAGATTGCTGCCTGCTCCTTCCTCTGGAAGCTTCATCCCAAAGGGGCACCTGCCAAGATGCCAGCTGGAGCTCTCCTGTATGAGGTGTCTTTCAACCCCTGCTGGGAGTTGTCTCCCAGACAGGAGGCATGGGGGTCAGGGACCCACTTGAGGGGCAGTCTGTCCCTTAGCAGAGCCTGAGCCCTGTCCTGGGACATCCGCCTCTCTCCTCAGACCTGGCAGGCAGGAACGTTTAAGTCTGATGAAGCTGCACCCATAGCTGCTCTTTCCCCCAGGTGCTCTGTCCCAGGGAGATGGGAGTTTTATCTGTAAGACCCTGACTGGGGCTGCTGCCTTTCTTTCAGAAATGCCCTGCCCAGAGAGGAGGAATCTAGAGAGGCAGTCTGGCTACAGCGACTTTGCCACATTGCAGTGGGTTCCACACCAAGTTCGAACTTCCTGGTGGCTTTGTTTACACTGTGAGGGGAAAACCACCTATTCAAGCCTCAGTAATGGTGGATGCCCGTCCCCCCACCAAGCTCGAGAGTCCTAGGTCAACTTCAGACTACTGTGCTGGCAGCGAAAATTTCAACCCAGTGAATCATAGCTTTTTGGGCTCCGTGGGGGTGGGATCTGCTGAGCAAGCCCACTCGGCTCCCTGGCTTCAGCCCCCTTTCCAGGGGAGTTAATGGTTCTGTCTCACTGGTGTTCCACGTGCCACTGAGGTACAAAAAAATACACCTGCAGCTAGCTCGGTGCCTGCCCAAAGAGCCGCCCAGTTTTGTCCTTGAAACCCAGGGCCCTGGTGGTGTAGGCACCTGAAAGAATCTCCTGGTCTGTGGGTTGCGAAGAACATGGGAAAAGCGTAGTATCTGGGCCAGATAGCACCATCCCTCATGTCACAGTCCCTCATGGCTTCCCTTGGCTAGGGGAGGGAGTTCCCTGAACCCTTGTGCTTCCCGGGTGAGGCGACACCCTACCCTGCTTCTGCTCACCCTCCATGGGCTGCACCCATTGTCTAACCAGTCCCAATGAGATGAACTGGGTACCTCAGTTGGAAATGCAGAAATGACCTGCGTTCTGTGTTGGTCTTGCTGGCAGCTGCAGACCAAAGCTGTTTCTATTCGGCCATCTTGCCAGGCCCCCATTATTCAAGGCCTTTACATTGATTAAGTCATTTAATCTACTCAATACTAATTTCATTTTAGTAATAGTACTAATTATACATATTAATATATTACAGGAGGAATTTGAGATCCAGAGCAATTGGGACAATTTCTTGAGGTTAACAGCTAGTAAGTGGGGGAGTTAAGATTGCACCCACATTTGCCTAATTTGAAAAGTGACGCTCTTTCCACTATGCGTTGTGGCTTCTTATGATCAAAATGTTCTTTTAAATGAGAAGTCCAGGAAAAGCTATCTGGGGGCATCTTCAGGGAGATACTATTAGTGATGCATAGAATGACTACATCTGATGTAATGAGTTGTAAACATCTGAAAGGAGCTACTGATTAATACAGAAGAAGAGGGGTAGAAAAAGAACGCAGACAGACACAGTGCTGCTGGAATGTCCCAGGTTTCTGTGTGGCAGAGCCCTGGAGAGTGCTCTTGGTGTTGTCCATGCGGCCCTGCCTAGCTAAGCACAGGAGCTGTCACTCCTCGGAAGGTGGCCACACCAAGCTGCTCTCTCACTGGCTCCTGCTGAGCCATGCCTTCCCCGCTTTCATTCCGCATCTTACCACAAAGAGAACTCATTTTGCTCACAAACACTAGAACTCAATGATAAATAAATCAACTTGTGAATATGAAGGCAACCACGTTCTGGCCTCAGAAGCCTTGCTTTGCCTGACGACTACCAGGGCTCCCTCTAGGCCTCAAAGGCATTATGCCAGTCACCTTATGGAAATTTAAGTGAGTATGTTGAGATGTTCTTTAAGCTGCTGGGTAGCTGATCAGCAGGAGGCATTGATCTCCCAGCACAGAGATGTTCCAAAGAGGAAAAAGGAAAATAATTAGAAAATCAAAGAAATGCCTATTACCAGCTCCGCTGTGGTCATAAGCTTTGAAATAAGGAGTTAGCACTAAGATGCCTGTGGCTCAGGGCTGGCCAGAAAGTGGAAGTATAGAGTGGGTGAGGTTTTGTGTTCATCCTTCCTCCCACCCCACCATTGCTGCTCACCGCCCAACCCAACAAGTGCATGCACAGCCTGTGAGCCTTTCCTCATGGGCCTACTCATCCTACCTGCTGGGGAAGTAATCTTCCCTAAGATTGGTGGCATTCCCTGAAACTGGTGACTAACTGCATGACTGCAGAGAGAAGACCTGGTTTTAGACGTTATTTTCCATGTATGAGCTGTGGGATATGGCTTAACCTCCGGGGATCAGGTTCCCCACTCATAACATGTTGATACCAATACCTACTTTATAAGGTTATCATGAGAATCAAACTAGATAATGCATGTAAATCCCTCATCATAAAACCCAGCACATAGTAAGAATTCAGGAGATAGAAGTATTTTCTCACTCCTCCCTGTGTTTCCATGGAGGACCTCTGTTCCACTGAGCAGAAGAAAGCCAGATTGGATGAGCACATCTGTTAGCTCTTTGAGCCTCTCATTCACTCCTCTCCAATGCAGGGGAAGTGGCTTTGCTGACTAGTAAGAGTCTGCCTTTCCTCAGGCTCCATGTAAGGACAATTAAGCTCAAATATGATCTGGTATTTTCCCTGTGCTCTGCAAAATTCACATTCTAGCAAGGTAACCTGTTTCATTGCTCTACCAGGGCTTGTGCACAGCCGGCATAGCTCAGGCAGAGCCTCACGCCTGCCTCTGACACTGTCCTCAAAGCCTCTTTGATTTCCCCCTTGCATTTGATTGGGTAAGACACATTCCTCCCCTCAGAAGGTAGGCATGAGGGAGCTAGCGTTCGTTTTGCTGACCCAGCCTCTCCCCAAGAAAGGCCACAGGATCTAGATATGATGATGGTGGTGGCAGGAGGCCTAAGATGCATCTGACAAGACTGTACGGCTCTAGAGCCCTGGGTTTCAGGGTAGTAAAGTCCTTACTGGACTTTGACCTCATCCACAGTCTTGTTTCTGTTCTTAGTTGCCACAGGGCTTCAAGAGGAGGGCTAATGTGAGTAATAAGTAAACAAGACGTCGTCAGTGAGTACAATCTGTAACATAATTACAAGTATTAAAATCTCATATTTTTATTATCCGAAACATTCCCTAAAGGAGAAGTTCTCCCAGGAACTTTGGAAATTTAATGCGAGATTTCTAGACCTGTGACATTATCAACCACGAGGCATGAGAATCTATGGTGGCTCTCCATGTAAATACCGATGGCACGGCTTCCTGTTATTTCCATCTCTTAATTCCTGATATGAGCAGATTCTTACCTGTTTGCTCCTGAATTTAGCCCTGAGGACAATCTTTTCTTCTTAGCTATCAGAACAAGAACACTGGAGTTGATTATCTTTCTAAGCTCAGATAGAAGCAGAGTCCAAATCTATAACAGTCTTTTTCATCAATGAGGAATATGAGTGTGATGGTGATGGCAGGAAGGTAAAAGAAGGAAAATATCCCAGAAATAGATTTGGAAAAATATCTTGTGTCTCCCTATTTCTGCTTTCTAGAGACAGTGATGCCCTAGCAGTATTGAAAACAGCTAGCACCTTGATCTTGGTTCCTAAATACCATCCACTACTCAAGAGAACTAGGTTTTCTTGGAGACAGGCTTGACTTCAGGACTGGAAAGAGAAGGCAGAAGTGCGTCTAAAATGTTCTGTCATGCCAGAGAGAAAGAAAATGTGCAAAAAATAATGAGCACACATCAAAATAGCACAGGGCCAGCTTGATGGGACACTATCTGGCCAAATCTAGGACAAATGAAATCAAAACAAATAACATAAATTGATTATAATCTGTTGAATAGAATAAAATGTCATGGTCCCATGCTTATAATTTAAAAAAAAAAAACTAAATAAATGTTGTAAAGGGGAAAGTTCTTCCTTACATAAATATGTCAACTAATAACTATATAAGGAATGATGGCATCAGGGAAAAAAAGCCAGCATCATGCATCCGTACCAGTGACAACCAGCTCAGGTGAGAATTATCAAAGGCTGCTACACAGAAATTCAATGAAGGAAAGTTATTTACATAGTCTCAAAATGTCTTTCCAGCAATTACTTACTAATCTCAGAAAAATGGTAACATTAAAGTGGAGAATCCTGGCAGATACTTCCTTAACCAAGTGATCATTGCTAGCATCACCAATACTGAGACATGCCAACAGCATGCCCTCCTACCATGAACTTTCATGTATATGGTATTCCTGCCCATAAATGTATAACCTGAGTCCAGGACATATCAGACAAACTCTTCTCCTGGAACCTCACATAGTAGAAGGGGCAGAAGTCTCTGTTGAGACCCTTTTATAAGGGTACTAACCCCATCATCAATTGTCCACCCTCATGACCTGATCACCTCCCAAAGCCACCACCTCCTGACCCCTCACACTGAGGATTAGGATTTTAGTATGTATTTTGGGGTATACAAACATTTCAGACCATGGCAGGGACAATGCCTTGACAGAAGAAGGCTAAAACCATTAAAAAAAAATGACAACCAGATGCATTGTGTGATCTGGTACCAGATCCAAGATGGAAGAAAAATAAAAGATATTACTAGCAAAAATGGAAAATTCTGAATAATAACTGCATATTATATGATGTTGTATAAACGTTAAATATCCTTTCGTAATTGTAAGAGAATATCTTGTTCTTAACATAAACACATGGAAGTGTTGGAGAAAAGGGTTATGATGTTTGCAGCTATATCTGAAATGGTCAGAAAAATATTGATTCACACAGATATGTACATTATCTATGTTTATCTATCTATCTATCTACCCATCTCTCCATTCCTAGAAATGATGATAAAACAAATGTGATGAAATATTAACAGTAGGCAAATCTTTCAGGGGGTTAGTGAGTGCTTTTGTACTATTCTGGAAATTTTTCTATAAGTGTGAAATTATTTTAAGGTAAAAAGCTAAAAAGGAGTTTATATATGTAGACTATTTACAGTTACAAGAGCAGCCAAACATATTAGTTTATTCGACCTTCATTAAGGAGCCCTGGGTGGTGTGTGTGTGCACGCACACATGTGTATATGCATGCTCACGTGTGTTAGTAATAGCCTTATTTTACACATGAGTAAACTGAAGCTCTGAGAGGTTATGGGATTTCTTTGAGGTCAATAACTAATATTAGCACAGAAATTCAGAAACCATGAGTCCACCTGAAGCCGGCACCAAAAGTTCTTCACTAATTCCTTCTGAACTTCCATTTAGCCGACATACTGCATTACCCAGACTTCTCCACTCTCTGGCAGTCATGGGGACTGACTTCCATAGTGTGCTGAATTCCCAGTCTATGCCATTTGCTCCCTCTGGCTTACCCAGGTGCTCATGCGTTTACTAGTTGAGCCATATGCTTACCAAGAGTCAGCTGCATCATTTCCAAACTCTGTGCTTACCAGGTGTACTTGTTCACTTAATTACATAATTTACCTAAAACCCTCACAAACTGGTACAATCTGAGTGTAAAAAGAGAATTGTCATTTCTATGAAAACTAAGTAGAATATTTTAGAAATATTCAATATAATAGCTTGGAAAAAAAAAACCCTCCTGCAGTTGAATTAAATATGGGGGAAAAACCTAGTAGGGATGGGGAGAAATCATAGAGTCTAGAAATATTTTATACTCAGATAGGTTCACATTAGGAACCTTCACCCTCATGCTCGACTTTAAAGAAATTCAAAGTAGAAATCAAGAGTGATACTGTCAGAATATTGTCTATTCAAGGAGACACCAGTTTCCAGTCAGCAGACACAGTCTCAAAGAGATGGTGTTGACCCAGTGTCAGAAGTCAAACAAAGGTACACGTACACGCTGTGGTATATTTACAAGTCTTCTCCATGGCTGCTTTTGAAACACCAGTGTACTCAGCTTTTTCTTGTAACAAGGTACCTGCTTATTCTATTGGAGACGCGTAAAGGGCTTCTATTCATTGTTCTGATTTTAGACTATTCCCAGTTCCCTACAGCTCCACCCTGCCCAGTTTAGATTCTATAACCATCCAAAAGACCATCTATGATTCAGAACTGGTGAATGGCTTGCCCCCATTCCGTCGATCTCTACATGACACTATCAACTGATATGCAGTAGGACATGGAGTGATTCATTTAACTCCTCCCCCTGCCTCCAGACCACTGAACTATCCATCGTCCAAAATATGAGCTCAGTTAAAGCAACATGGGAAGCATTGAGGCTTCTACAATTTGGGTACTGTCCATTAAAATAATACATCTACATATATCTACACTGAGTGCTCTCATTATTTAAACTGGGAAACAATTAATGTGTGTAGCTATCATTTACAAACCATTCGGTCTCCGAATGCTTGCAATAGATTTACTCTCAGTGTTACTCTGACCTGGTGACCTAGAAAATGTCCAAGAGAAGGTAAGTCATTTAAAGGAGGAAACAATGCCACTATCTCCTTTCACACTCATTGCTGCTTGAATAAAAGAAGGAAAACGAAGCATACACCCTCTGCTCTGAGTGCCAGCCAGGCCCCCAGCAAGGAGACCCGGGCTCCCCAGGTGAAGTTCCTTAAATCTTACATTGCTGCCCCTCGCCAAGCCCACAGGTAGGTGAAAGCAGTGGGTGGTGGGAAGAAGCGGGAGGAGAAAGTGGGACACAGATGAAAGGAGCACTTTATTTGATAAAATCGTAAAGAGCAGCTTGTACTGTAGAGCAAGAATCTCCAAGTAATAAATGTCAGGTTTATGAACAATTGAGCCTCTCCTTTCCTGACTGAAATTGCTCTTTGAGGTCAGCTCTGTAAGTGCTCTGTGAGGTGAGGAGGCTGCGCTGCTGAGGGGGTTTGAGGTCGCTGATGCACCACTGGGAACGGGAAAGGGGGTGTGGGGGTGTGGGGGTATTGGGTTTGCCCATTGTGTTATTAGGGTCTACACTGAAAGAAGTGATAACTATGCTGAGTAGTTTTTTTGTATTTTTTTGTTTTTTGGTTTGTTTGTTGTTTTTTTTTTTTGAGACGGAGTCTCGCTCTGTTGCCCAGGCTGGAGTGCAGTGGTGCGATCTTGGCTCACTCCAAGTTCCACCTTCCAGGTTCACGCCATTCTCCTGCCTCATATGCTGAGTAGTTTTAATAAAGAAAAGCATCCAGACATCCCCACAAACAAGACTTTGTGACTGGAGCCTCAGTAAGGGGTCACTGAACTCCAGAACCACACTCACTCAACAAGACAAAGTACCTTCCTCAACACCAGGCTGCTGAACCCTCCCATAGCTCACACACAGCTGCCCATTGTCAAAAACAAAAGCAATGAGTGAGATGGAATTCTCTTTTCAATATCTGCTCCTACCCTCAAAGTAGACGCTGCCTTTGGGTGGGCCAGTCCAGTAGCATAACCAAGGAATGTAAATCCTCAGCATGTAAAGGCGGGGTGGAAAGAAGCCACAGACACGCATGTGGGAGACTCGCGCACCCACACCAAAGCTGACTTCGATGCTTAAAGGTCGAAGCACCGGACCCCTCTTCTTTTATCTCTGTGGTAGAGACAAACACAACTTACATCTCATTTCCTCATGATCTACAGTGAAAGAAAGTGAGTGGAATACAGGTTATAGGCATTTACAAGATTCCAGTCCATTGAGACCTTGCACATGGGAACACAACAGCATCTCTTCAAATGCAATTTTGAAGATGTTCACACAGGCATCATGGGGAGAAGACTGGAAGGAATGCTCTGCACCCTGGGGTTGTGTGCTGAGTGCGACTCTGGGGAAGGTAAGGAAATGACAGCCAGTGTTAAATGATTCTGAAGCAAGATCCTTCAGATTTCATATAGGGAGGTATTATTAGAGGAAAGAAAAAAAATAAGAATTTCAGCTTTTATTATCAAATATCGCATAATTATTCAGAAGTCAACAAATAACTTGTTGAACACTTACTGGGTCCCAAACACTTGTCTTAAATGCTGGGGATACCGCACTACCAAACAGACACGAATTCCTGCTCTCATGGAACTTGTGTTTTTGTTGAGTGTGTTTAGTTTTGTTATATCCTTGCTGAAAAGATAGCAAATATTTGAAGTTAGTTAGTTAGTTTTGTGCTGGAGCAATTGTCTCCAGAATAAGGAAGGAAGGACAGAGGGGAGGAAGGGAGAGAGGAGGAAAGACACGGAGGGAGGGAAAAAGCAAGGGATGGAGGAAAAACAAGAAATAGATACTGAGGTACATTTTGACTTTCTCAAATGGTCTCTTCCCAACTTCCCCAGGTTTACTTCCTTGGAAGCACACAGAAATAATAAGCCTTTCATGGGAGAACTAATTTCCCACCTGATTTTCCTACCAGGTGGCTAAGTCACAGGTGTTTAAGTCACATGCTTTCAGGTTAGGCTTAAAAAAAATACCTCCCCCTGGAGCTGCTAAGCCAAGGAGTCCTCTGCTCCTCATTGTGCCATTCGACTCTGTGGCCATTAGAAACACGTTTCTGAGGAGCCTACTGGAAGCACGGGCAGCTGGAATTGAACTGGCAACTGCAGAAAGAAGCCTGTGGCAAAAATTAGGGCAAGAAAGAATTGGAGAAGGGGGGACTCAGGGGGCCCAGTGACTGACGCAATAGGAAGCAGGGATGATGAGCGGTTCTGTGAGTTGATTTGTATTTCCCGGGGTTAAGGCAGCAGGGCCTTGATAGACCATATGGTCTGGCCTTGACCCTTAAATCTCTGCCTGCCCAGAGAGCAGCAGCCCTCACTGTAGCTGGCTTCCACCTCTTGTTATTCTTGGCACTAGGAGTCCTGATCGCAGGGTAGTTCAGTATCATAATCCAAAGAATTAGATAGAAACCATCTGGAAGAGCAACCAACTTTAACCTTGAGGGCTATGTGAAAATAACCTTCATCCACTGAGCCCTTTGTTCACATGGAAAAATAGGTTAGTTAGAGCATATTTCAAAAAGCACCAGGGTCTTGGGAGCCATCCACCTCAGAAGAGAACAACATTTAACCACTATGCTTTGATATCTATACAATGCATTTTTTCCCATCTGCTTAGTGCCAAATTTCCTGTTTCTTGCACGATGGGGATTCAATAAACAGGGCCAAGAAGGTAACAAAGCTCACTGCAGGATGCTAAGCAATAGAAAGCAGAGAGGCCACGCCTGTAATAAATCAATTAGCCGATTATTCAGCAGAGGAAATGCAGTTAAATAGACCAGTGACTTACTATGGACTCTGAAGGCACAAAAAGGAATAGGTGAGAATGCAAGACAAGCAATTAATCCTATTATCCTTGTTTATTTGTTATGTTTAGGCTCCTGAGAGCCCCCACGAGGCTCCCACCACACTCATTTATATCTAAGGAAGTCTGCATGGCACGGTTCACACACACAGCTCTTGTCAGCATAAGTTTATTCCCTAGTGAAGTTGTGAGACTTCATCAATTAACAATATCAGAGAGGAAATGTAATTCTCCAAAAAGCCACAGAGTCAGTCAATGAAAACGCACAGCATATAAACTCAGAGTTCTCTGACTTAATTGCCCAGACTGCGATTCTGCACAAGAAACCATCTCTCTTCAAGGTGACTCTTCAGGAAGGAGTTTTGTGCTGTTAGAAAAAAAGTGTTACATCTCATCTCTATTTAACTCCACATGAGCCAGGAGCTAACGCGGCCTCTTCTTGTAAATGAAGCATAACTGGGCTCAGTCGGGCAGGATGTTAGAGCAGCTCAGGAAGGAGCCAGGAATAGTCCCTCTGTTCTCTGGATTGGGGCCATGCAGCCCAAAGCCCAGAGTTTACCTTGGGCACGGCCATTGTAGGGTAAATGCCATCTTCTGAAACACTGGTTCTTAGGTCCAAAATGCCTCCACTGTCTTCAGTATTGGGAAATGAAATACTGGGGAAGATAAGATAGTAAGACAATAACTCATCTTTTCTGCCACCTGATCTAGCAAAAAGAGGAAGAGTAAATAACTAGCAACTACTATTTTTTGCCAAAATCCTTCTCTGGGATGGTCAGGACCTTGCTACCAAAGCTCTCATTTCTAAAATTGCACCCTAGTCATAAACACCCTGGAAAGTATATGAAAAAATCACACACCAAAATGGTCCCGTGCACATGCTGGCGACGAATAGTCACATATACACTGGGAAAGTGTGCAGCTCCTTGGTGAAAATGTAGGACCCTATTTGAGAACCTGGGATTTCAGGATCCTGGTGGAAACAGCATGCCTTCCAGGGACTGGCCATAGCCTTTGGTAGCCAGTTGGGAACCTTTGTATGAATGGAAGGAGGGCACTTATTCCTCCAGGACATCACAGTCACGGTGGGTCCGGGAGCAGGGCTGCACAAGGGCCTGTGCTCAGTGGCCTCAGGGTCCTGGGAAGTGGAGGGCTCAGTGGGCTAACTTCAGGCCTCCTCTATCCTCTTCTCACCCCTGTACAATAAGAGCACGCTATCCATTTCACATAGTGAGGTTGTCAATGATATTTTATTTTCCAGAAAATGACTCCACAGCTTAAATAAAAATGTTGAAGGCCACTGTGAGCTACATCTCAAATGGCCCCCGAGGGATCTTTTCCATGGCCTTAGCTCACTTGCAGAAGACATCTGCATGGCCCAGCAAGCTCCGCGGATGCAGAGGCAGAGTGTGATCAAAGCCCAGCTCAGCTCTCCTCTGGTCGCCGAATACCTGTCTGGGGCACATTGGAGAGGAGCAGGGGACCTGGTAATAGAGCTGTTGTTGTCTTCCTCTGGTACGAAATCAGAATTCGAGCCACAGAAATAAAACTCTGAGGAGTGAAAGGAAGGTAGAACTGATTGGCAGGGAGGGGCAGAGACCTAGGGAGGGGCAGAGCGACAGACAGATAGCAACAGAGGCACCCTGAGAGGTGACATCTGATGACACATCCTCTTTTCTGAGCCTGCAGCTTCCTTCTAGGAAGGAGGCCAACATAAATTCTTCCACTCAGCAGTGCTGAGATAGACCCGAAAGAAAACAAAAAGGGGATTAATCTCCGCATTGCAGGTGCCCCTCAGCCACCCTGCTAATACCCGCCTTCCATGGAGGGTTTGATTTGAGGAGGGCTTTGCCGGTAGCTGAAATACCAACCACAGGCTCTGCCCTCCCCCACTCCCCCTTTCATTTTATTTCAATCAAGCCGTGTGTCTGATTGCTTCACTCTGGAGGGCTGGCAGCGGTACATTAACCTGCCGGCTCGCGGTGAGCAACGTGGGCTGCAAATGTGGCTATCAAAGGACCTCTTCTGTCTCTGCAGGTTCCTGGTGAGGCCGACAAAAAGCAGCAATAGAAAAGTCTCAGCATCATGGTGGCATTTTCTTACCTCCCAATTAACCTTCACATTGGTAAACACGCAATGAGCTTTGTATCGAAAACTGTGCCTCACCCATATTCTAGAAGTTTCTTCACTTTGAAAATGGGCACAATGAACAATTCATAGAGGATGCATTTCCATCCCTTCTCATTCTTATATGTCATGTGTTCAATTCTCTTTCTGTATCTCCTTTCTTCTGGATATTATCAGCCTCCTCTGGCTGTATAATTTTTATGGCCTCTTTTTCTTTGCCCATTTCTGCATGTCCCACAATGGGTTAAGTGATTCCACTGAGCCTAAACATACTTAGAAACAACTCTATCAATCACCACAGGCGCTCTGAAAGGGAAGATTACTGCACATGCACATTTTAATTGAGTTTTGTAAAGAGAGAGAGAGAAAAGGCTCTGTACTTAGCACCCACTAGTCTGCAGTCATAGCAGAATAGCAAGGATTTGACTTTCAAAAATTTCCTGGTCCAAAATTATGTCCTACAACACAGCCTGTCTGGGAAGATCGTGTGTCATGCTGTCAAATTTTACCTATAGTCTGGCTCATTTTGAACAGACTGTACTCTATGTGTTAAGCTTCATTGGGGTCCATTTTAAATGAGGCAGCTCCTAGAAGGTTATCTGACACATACAAATGCAGTGCTGATGGGTTCAAAACACGCAGCCTGGTCTACCCTGCCCTGCTGTTCTCATCCACACACTGAAATAATTCCCACTTCTTCTTAACTCTATTAATTTATTGCTAATGCATTAAATCATATTCTAATGGCTTAGAAGCAGTAAATTACTTCCCCAGATACCCTACATCAACGTACAAAGTGTTTTTTTTCATCGTACAGGCTCCGACCAATAAGAATGGTCAGTGTTACAAATGATGAAGTGGGACATAGTGCTGGAAAGCCACAAGCCTCGCTCTCTTTTCATCTCCTGTTTTACCCCAGTCCACACCCAAGCCCTTGGAGATTCTTATTCTGTGCTTGCAAAGTGGTGCTAAGATTCACCATCTCAATCTCAAAGGGGCTGCATGAGCATGTTGCACAAAATTTTAGCTGCCTGAAGGTTTATTTCCAGAAATTAGAATAACTGGCTCCCCTCTTTCCTAGACATCCTCCTATCATTCCCTGTCCCCCTTGCAACCTCACCATGTTCCTCACTGTCTCCAGCAGACTGTGCCCATCAAGACAGCGACTGCCATTTTCTGTGCCTCCAGGACTGGGGTCATCATCAGGGCTGTGCATACAGTAGGTGATTAATACATTCTTATTGATTAATACAAATAGCATCACACTGACCACACTGTATTTTTATTTGTTGTGTATATACCATTTATCCCAATTCACTTTGGAGGGTGAGAGCCATATCATGTATTTCTCGTGTTTTCCCCCATTCAGTCCCACCAACCTGGCACAGGTGAGCATCCAGGAGGGACTGCCGTCAGAATGAATATGAGAGCAGTTGCCTTTGTATATTACAATTGATATTTTTTCTTCTAACTCATGGATGATCTTGGGATATTAATAAGTTCTTAATTTAATCAGCTGACTTGCTAAGTGAAGATAAATTGTTAACTGGAGCAGCATCTTTCTGGATGCTACATTACCCAGCTAGGCTTGGGAAGCACATCGATGACTATGGTAGCTGGAGCATAAGAGTTAAAGAGCTGATTTAAAGCTATCAGAGCTACTTGTAGTTGGAGCTTTGCTTGATGACACTGAAGGTTTGCTTGCTTATTGAGTTTGATTATTTGCATTGCGTGATTATAAGGTATATCACTCCCAGAATTGATTTGATGTGTTGTGATTGCAACAGCTTTTTGTTATGTGACCTGATAGCTGATTGGTTCAAGTGAACTTCTCTACAGAATTATCTATTCCTCTTCCTTCAATAACCACCAAACACACACACACCAACTCACTGAGAGGAACAGTGACAAACTGCATGCATGTGGCATCTGACACCTGAGCCTCCCTGGCACTCTGAGATAACCTTACCCCTCTCCAGAGCAGGCTGCCTGTCGATTGCCACTGTGGAGCCTCCTCCAGTGACGCAATGATGTCCTCCCACTGAAGTTTCTTTCACCATCCATGTTGCTGCTCCTTAGCACCCACTAAAGTACCTCGGGTGCCTGGCCCTGGGCATCCTGCAGAGGCTCCTAGAAAACAGCAGAGCTCCTCAGCCTCTTTCAAAGAATGCCAGCCCAAGGTTCCATCGACAGGTGTCATATGGGACACTAGCTATACTTCATGGCAGAAATGCTACCTGCCACCTATGAACCACAGAATGCTGCCCCTTAGATATATAAGTTAAAGTACAAAGTGACAATATCCAGAACAGTAGAGGCTGTCACATGACCCCAGTGCTTTCTGTTTCTTTTTTTAGACAGCGTCTTGTTCTGTCACCCAGGCTGGAGTGCAGTGGTGCGATCTCATCACTGCAAGCTTTGCCTCCTGGGTTCCAGTGATTCTCCCACCTCAGCCTCCCAAGTAGCTGGGACTACAGGCATGCCTCACCATGCCTGGCTAAGTTTTGTATTTTTATTAAAGACAGGGTTTCACATGTTGGCCAGGCTGGCCTAGAACTCCTGTCCTCAGGTGATCCGCCAGCCTCAGCCTCCCAAACTGCTGTGATTATAGGTGTTGAGTCACCGCGCCCAGCTGCATCCTGTTTCTTTCAGGAACATCACCCATGGTGGTTTTACAGCATAGCTATTAACTTCATGCTAATGCACCTTATGTATACATAACATAACAAACCCTGGTGGTGTTATCTTTTCATTTCACAAACGAAGACTGTAGCTGTGATATGGTTTGGATGTTTGTCCTCTCCAAGTCTCACCTTGAAATGTGATTCCCAGTGTTGGAGGTGGGGCCTTTTGTGGGGGCTGATTGGATCATGGTGCAGATCCCTTGTGAATGGTTCAGTACTATCCCCCTGGTGATAAGTGAGTTCTTACTCAGTTCATGCAAGATCTGTTTTTTCAAAGAATGTAGCACTTCCCCCTCTCTCTCTCTCGCCCCTGCTTGGGCCACATGACATGCTGGTCCCCCATTGCTTTCCACCATGAGTGGAAGCTCCCTGAGGCCTCACCAGAAGCAGATGCCAGCACCACACTTCTTGTACAGCCTGCAGAACCATAAGCCAATGAAACCTCTTTTCTTTATAAATTATCCAGCATCACATATTCCTTTACAGAGACACAAGAATGGACTGACACAGGCTTAGAGCAGTTAGTTAGGTAACGTGCCCAGGACCAAGCAGCTATGGAGCCAGCCTGGATCCCAGGTCAGTGCGAGCAGTTGTTGCTCATCGCTCTCTGTTGCTTCCTGGAGAATTTCCCTCTATCAAAGGCCAGAGGGATCACTGCATTAGCCCCATCATCACCAAAGGAACTTGGGGTCCACAGAGGCAAAGTAACAAGAGAGAGTAATCTTTAGCTACAAAGCTGGGAAGGCTTCCCACACTACCCTTCTCCATGCACCATCACCAAAGGAGACCTTACTTCTCCAACTAAATTATAAGCTCCTTAAGGACTGGGGCTCCACTTTCTTAACTTTGTGGTACTCTCTAAGAACTAGCAGAGCATGACATGCAAAGATACTCACCAGCAACCATGATTATTTGTGTTCTAAGAAAAAGAGCCCCATCCAACTTACTTGCTCATTCCAGGAAGTGTCCACCCTAGAAGATCTGTCAGTCACATGCACTTCCTTTAAGGTGGTCTGTGTCAGGGTGTTAGGACACCTAGTTAGAACTAGTTAGAGCACGCACAAAGGAAGCTTCATGAACATTACTTTTTTATGTCCAAAACAATGAAACCTTGAACTGTAAGGAGGGTGAAATAAAGCCAGCAGGTCCTTTATTGGTAAGGAACTGGGGTATAGAGCTCCAGGGAGCCCACAGTCATTCTGGGGCAGGTGCCAGCCACCCAGTGGAGTTACTAATATATGAACTTTGCCTCTGCTCACCCACGCTGCCTGCTGATTTTTATACTATGTTGCATAATTAATCTGTCAACATTCTGTGACAGAATATAAATATTAATAATAGGATCACACAGCTAGCTGTTCCCTTTAAAATTCAGCGCCAAAAAGATAAATCGGCCACTTAATCTTGCTATATTCCAAAAAGGAGAGGAAAGAGTGGAGCAGGAGGTGGAGACAGGAAGGAGAGGGAGCGGGAGAGGTTGGGAGCTAATTGGGAACGACGGAATCCTTGTTTGAATCTGGTCTCACACCTGTACCTTCAGGCTCATGTTTAAAGGCGCAGACCACTTCACAGCTAGCTTAGTTCTTTCATTCCCACATAATGAGATAAACCTTTTCTCTCTCTTTTTCTTTTTACTCAAGGGACAAAAAGCTCTCATTTTTCCATCTGGCATTCCTCATCTCTGGATCGGCATGGGCAGCAGTAAATTCCAGGAGAGACCTTAGCCAACCATCCCCTTTGTTTCCTGAAAGAAGAGAGGTTTATGTTCTCCTGGAAGGCTGACCAGCAGTAACTTAGGGAAGCCACAGGCCAGCAGCACACTGAAATGCAGATGTGATTAGATAAACGAGGGAGCAAAGGCATGTTGTGTCATTATAGCTTTACATAAACTCTCCTTTTCCAATAAGCTCGCCAAGTGTTCTCTGTTGGTATCAATCAAACAGCTCCTAAAAACTTACAATTTCCTAAAACTCTACCAAATTGGCCTTTCAGCAGTCACTGCACTGGCCCCAGGCCACCCACACTGCTGCGTGCTAGCAAGCCGCCCTCCACCTTCTACTTTACACCTCCGTTTATTCAACCAAAAATGTTTCTTCATCATCTACATGGCAGTTGGTACGATACTAAGAGACATGGAAGATTAAAAAGTAAAAAAATCAAATGCAAATCATGACCTCAAGAACATATAATTTAGTGTAAAGATAAAATAGCATTTACTGTTATATAAAGAGGAAACTTATTTGTACAGCAAGTAAAATTCAGCAGCATTTTACATCCGTGTTTTTCTGTGGAATTTTGCAGTCTCATTCTAGTAATTATATTCTTGTTGTATCTTTTATTTATTTGCCCATTTTTACTGTCACTGTAATTTTCTCTCTAGGACACCACCAACAAATAAGAATATGGAAATAAAAACTGAAATGGGCCTTTGAGGTCATCCAGTTCCGCGAAGTCATTTCACAAATGAGAAAATCAAGGCCTATAGAAATTAAAAGATATGTCCAAAGTCATAGGCTCAATTCGTAGAAGTATTAGCTCTAGGCCTCCCCACTGCCCGACTTAATATTTCATTGCCAATATAACTTTTGACAAAAAATATAAGAGAATTTTAACTGAATATTCCTTTTTTCTTATTCTGATATACGATTAATAACACTGAATTACACTGAGGTGGTATATTTCTTTTTTTTTTTTTTTTTTTTTTTGGAGATAGAGTCTTTCTCTGTAGTCTAGGCTGGAGTGCAGTGGTGCCATCTCCGCTCACTGCAACCTCCACCTCGGGGGTTCAAGTGATTCTTGTGCCTCAGCCTCCTGAGTAGCTGGGATTACAGGCACCTGCCACCAGCCCCAGCTCATTTTTGTATTTTTAATAGACACAGGGTTTCGCCATGCTGGCCAGGCTGGCCTCGAACTCCTGACCTCAGGTGATCTGCCCACCTCAGCCTCCCAAAGTGCTGGGATTACAGGCATGAGTCACCACACCTGGCCTTAAGTTGTATATTTCTTTAACTTGAAATGTATCACAGCGTATGTCCCAGTAAAGGATCTGAAGACAGTTTCTCTATAATATTAGTCGAGATAAGGGAATGGCATTGGTTTTTCCCTTACTCTTTATCTTAAAATCCATAGATGGGCTTCTGGGGGTCCCTGCACTCCCTGAAACTGTGTTCATATTGGAATGGAAAGCCTTAAGTACTTTTTTGTAGGAATGTTGTGGGAAACTCTTCAAAGATTTTATTATATTTTTCAAGTTGTGAGTGATGATAGATAGACAGAAGGGGGGCGTGGGGAGAGAGAGAGAGAGATAGGTAAAAGAGAGGAAGAAACTTCTCAGTGCTGTATATCAAGCTGGGTGAGAGCTCAGGACTGCCCAGACTCTCTGCATGCTTTCAGCCTGAATGTGTGGCCCTCCCCTGCAGCAGAATGTTAATGAGGTCGGAGCTCCAGTCTGTGTAATACAAATAGGGAGCAGTGGCAGACTTTGCCACCAACTCTCCATCATTTTGTTTTATGGGTACAGAAATGAAAGGGATACTTTAGATTAAGATTTGTTTAATGGTCTGATTAATTCATTCCAAACAGACCGAAACTGTTCTACAATTTTCTTCTTGCTCTTAACCTTTTCAGCTTGTTTTCATGGATGCTCTTTCCTTTCTTCTTTACTTATTTTTTTGTTGTTGTTGTTTAATTTCATATTTAGGAGCTGCTGCTCTGATTCTGACATAGATCACATAGTGTGTGAGAAAAATGGAAAAGTATGTTTATGTGAGTGTTTCCCATGAGAAGTGGGCAAATGCATCTAAAATCCAAACCTGTCATCACAATCCTCATCAAAACACATCGTCAGGTCTTACACAAACACCATGGAGCTCAGTCAACAATAAAGGGTCATGCACTTCTCCTGACCCTCTGTACTGGACATGAGTTCATTTGCTTCTGGTAGTTTGCAACATTAAGCAGTGGTACAGCTCTCTGCTCCACACTGTACGTGAGACACTGAGAGGGATTTGCTGGTTCCAATGAATGTGAGGGACCGTGAGTCGCATCAGTAGTGCCAACGGTAGGAAGACCAAGGACAGCAGCTTTTTTGATGGGACATTCAAGGGCTTCTCACCTTAGCATATTAATAGTGGGTTGTTTTTCTATTCCTCAGATTTTTTCAGCAATCACCTCTTTCACTCCCCTTTCCAAACTTAGTCCCCTGAGAAAATGGCTAAGACTATTGCTTGATGCTGTGGCATTTTTGAAAGCAGATGGCAGGAAAGATACCGATTAAAAATCACTGGTTTCCTCCTGCAAATCCATGAGTCCGCAGGTTTGAATTGACTCAGAATAGGCTGGGAGGTAGAGGAATGTAACAGGTAAAGATTTTTATGAAAACCAGTAAGTAGTCCAGGTCCATGTGTAAAAGGGTGGCCGTGAGTGTGTGTCATGAATTTAGCTCATTTTGCTTCTTGCCACACATTGGCAAGTAGGGGAGGGGCTGAATTATTTCATTTATATTTAAAAATTTTTAATAACTAACTAGTTGCAAATAACACTGTCTTCACTGGTAAACAAATCCATATCTAGTCTGTGTATTTTAAATTTCTGATTACGGGGACTTGTAAGCAGACTCACTGGGGAAGTAGTATATGCAATACAAGTTATTTTAAAAATATTGTGAATCATAGCAATTTTCCCTATTTATCTATATTTTATATTTTTTCATTGATTTATCTATGCTGTCCCTTTCCATAAAGGATTTGAGGCAATGTATCAAGTACTGTCTGTTAGTAATAACTACTTTAGAAATTAACATCAAAATAGGGCCCAAGAAGGACTGGGAAAGAAACTTGGAGGATGAATTTCATGTGTCAAGCTAATGAGGCCACAGCGTGCCCAGACATTTGGTCAACCGTTATTCTGGGTGTGGCTGTGAGGTCATTTCCGGATAAGACAAACTCTCGAATAGGTGGGCTGAGTGGGGCAAAGTGAGTGCCCTGCCCCTCACCATGAGTGGGCCCCTTCCAGTCAACCGAAGACCCAAATAGGACAGAAGAACTGAGTATGAGAAGACTTCTCCTGCCTAACTGCTTGAGCCGGGACACTGGGCTTTTCTTGCTTTTGGACTTGAACTAAAACATTAGCCCTCCCTAGGTCTCAGGATGCCAGGCTTTGCCAGGCTTCAGACTGGAATCTAAACCATGGGCTCTTCGGGGTCTGCAGCTTGCCCACTGTGGACTGTGGGACTTCTCAGCCTCCATGACTGTGTGAACCAATTCCTTATAATAAATATATGTGGGGGTGTATATACACCCACACACACATACACATATACATACACACACACACACACACCCTATTTTTTTTTTTTGGTCTGGAAAACTCTAATACAATAACCATGGGGTGTTCACACCTGGATGAGTCCCAGTCAAAGCTGTGACTGATTATTTCTTCAGAACATAGTATCAGAAGCCTATATAGAAGAGAAGGCATTTGAGACACCTCTTTGAAACCAGCAGAAAAATAATCTCTAGGTTAAATAAACTTTTAAGCCAGAGCTCAATACAAATTTAACACCCTCAGAGACCAGACATACAACTAAAGTATCCAATGACGTCTTCTATCAGTGATAGAAATAGTCAAGATGGCTTGCTGTTTCTGCTATATATATACATATATATATATATATATTTTTTTTTTTTTTTTTTCTTGAGAGAGAGAGAGAAGGAGCAGCCTGAATAATGAAGTCATTTGATTCAGAGAGGGCTGCCACATCTTCAGTTTCATCTGCAGCCCCTCTCTTCCACTCTGAGTCTCTGCAAATGTTTGAAATGGAGGTTTTATTTTTCCCTCAGAACAGAACCTGGGGTTGCTGTCTGAGAGAGTCAGTGGTGACAAATCGACTCATTTAATAAAAAGATGTGAATGAAGTGAGGAGAGGAAGCGAACGCACCGAGACTTAAGAGCTGCAGGTGTGTCTGCTTGTGGAGCCATCCCTCCTGTTGCCAGCTGGGTTTCCATGGAGACAGCTGGGTGCACAGAGCCCAGGCCAGTGCATGGCCCTGGCATGGCACTGCACACCCACCACGGAGCTGAATTAGGCTAATGAGGGCCAACTTTTCTGCAGTCCTCACAGTTTCCATTTTTCCTGGTGGCTGCAGGATAAATGTTTCTTAGTAAAGCGAATGCTCAGCAATGAGAGTGGCCTTGGCCAAAAAAATGCTAATTCTGGAAAGGCATTTAATTATAATAAGATGTGATCTCACTTACACATGAGTATGGTTCTGGCTTCTCTATTCTTTTTTGGTCCCGCTTTTTGGCTACTGGAGAGATTCAGGAGATATAAAATATAAATGACTTGCCAATTCTGCCCCAACTTCTCAGAAGAATAAAAACTTTCTCCTGAGAATTCCTCTTGTTAGGGATGGGAAAATCACTTCTCTCATTTCTTTATGACTGTGGGTAGGCTGAAGCGGAGTCATAGAAATCATGCCGTTGTTTAATATGTGTGCATATAGCCACACATTGACTCGATAGACAGTAAGCTATCTATGTAGATACATTATATCTCTATATAAATATATCCACTATTTACATATATAATTATATATAAATAACTATATATAAAATATGTAATATATATATAGTGTGTGTATATATATATATATATATATATATATATGTATGTATGTATAATCCAGTTGTATTTTCTTTACTTTCAGAAAGACTATAGCTTCACAGAGTAGAGCAGAAATCTGATTTTTGCTTTTAGATCTGCTTTTAGCTCACTGTGGAAGTTTGAAAAGGTCAGTTCACCTCTTTGGGTGAACCTACTTATTAACATTCAAATTAAGAGTTTGGGAAGGGTTTGTCCCTACAGTCTCTTTCCTTTCTAAGTCTCAAAGTCCCTATCTTCTTATGTGAGGCAAGAGAGAGCAAAAGAGCCAGATGGGGATTCGGAGCTGAGTAGAAACAAGGTGAAAGTGATCACTAAACTTGGCCTTATTTGCCTTCATGACTTCCAGAGTCACACATTTTCCATGTGACGTGCCCTTTACTCTTCCAATACATGAGACCTTTTGCTTTAGTGGGGTTAAGTCATATGCATAACAGACTAATATCCCAAGGGCAATAAATGTGACCCAGGAGGCCGCATTTAAAGACACATCATAACAATTTCACAGCCATGTTCAAACAGTTAATTCTTGGTTTTCCTAGGTGGCTTGCTCTTTGCCAAATTTTATTCTTAAATAAGTTAATGTCTATCAACTAATACTTTTTGGAGTTTCCTTTCTACTAAATTCTCCAGGAACACACTTCAACCACACAGTTATCCTTAGCAAAAATAGAACTACATCCTAAGCAAAAATCCAGGGGGGTGAATAAAGATATAATACTCCCAAAGGCATCAGTAAGTCATTTCCTAATAATATATCCTTTCAATTAATGTAATTTACCACTCTTTCCCTAAGTATAGAATTGTTAGCTAAATGTATTAAAAATCTAAGTGAGACAAAGTACAACCTTACCCTAGACCTCGTGGGAGAAAAAACATCATGCATTAAAACAAGCTCTGAAATCAATTTGGTCTGAAATACCTATTTAGCAACTACTTTGGGAATATATTTTAAAAAATCAATGCAACTTTATTACTTTTAGGTGGATATTTTTATCTTAAAGAATTTTTAAGTACAGGTTTTAGCCCTCCTGATTTAATGATCAGATAGGCCTGATTAGCAAACATCATTTGTACAATAACAATTAATACAATAGTATCCTAAATATACTAAATGAATAATGAATAGACTGTATATAAAAATAAAACTTTGATCTGCAACCTGTAGCAACCTGCCCAGAAAACCAACCCAGCTATCCACAGTAACAAGCCTAGGAAGCCAGGGTGCTATAATTCAAACTTGTAGGAAGTCAGACTGCTACCTCTACTGACAACACTAAACCTTGTAACAATTTGCCTTAACTAACCAAGGCTTGATTAATAACTACTAACTTCCCTAAATTTTGGACCCACTTCAAATTTAGGACTAACCAGAGAAAGCCAAATACATACCCCTAACCGATCACACAGAATGACTTCTATCTAGTTAGCCCATCTACCTCTTCTCCACAGCACCAACTTCCAATCTGGCACACCTGAAGCCTTCCCTCTTTCCATTATAAAGCCCTTCCACTCCTCTGCCTGCCTTTGAGTCTCTGCCAAAACACAAGTGATGGTGGCTGACTCACTTGCTCCAGCAAACTCCAAGTAAACAGTCGCTGCTTGCTCTCACTGGACTGATGTGCGATATGGTTCGAATGCTTTGTCCCCCCCACCCCAATCTTATGTTGAAATGTGACCTCCAATGTTGGACGTGGGCCTGGTGCGAGGTGTCTGGGTCATGGGAACAGATCCCTCATGAATGAATTGTTGCTGTCCTGATGATAATCAGTGAGTTCTTGCTCTATTAGACCTCACATGAGATCTGTTGAAAAGAGCCTGGCACCTCCTGCCCTCTCTCTTGCTCCTGCTCTTGCCATGTAATATACCTGCTCCTCCTTCACTTTCTACCATGATTGGAAGCTCCCTGAGGTTCTCACCAGAAGCAGATGCTGGCACTGTGCTTCTTATACAGTCTGCAGAACCATGAGTCAAATAAACCTCTTTTCTTTATAAGTTAACTCAGTCTCAAGTATTTCTTCATAACAATGAAGAATGGACTAACACAGTCTGTGCTTATTTCCACAATGATACATATTTTATTTTCTTTTACATAATACTCCCAGAGGTTACACACTATTTTGACATCATGCACATATAATTTATGTGCTTAGAAAATAATTTCTACCTATATTGTATTACAAGAACCTGAAGTTCAGTCCACATAGCATTTTCACAAATAATAATGATGAAGCTGATGTCCTATGGTGAGCATCAAAACAATAAACTCACTATGTGATCAGAGCACTTTTCATGTAATAACTTACGTACTTCTCAGAGCAGTTCCAGGCAACAGGGTCTGTTATGAGCTCTATTTATCACATGAGGGATCTACATGGTCAAGCCACTTGCTCAATCTCACCAGCTAGTAAGCAGCAGACACAGCCTTCCTTACCAGCAGATTGCTTCTGCATCCAAGCATTTTACCCTTATGAACTTGGTACAAATTGTGACTTGAAATAAGAGGAGGAGCCTAGAAGAAGATAAATGTTGCAGAAATATTTCCATAAAATAGCCACAAATATACTTCTTTCTCATTTAAAAGAGATAAACAATGACAATCAAAACCAGATACAATGCAATGCTCCCTAGTAAATATATAACAACAACACAAACTATCTACAGGATACCAAATCTTTTAAAAAGTCATCAGAAGGAAAGGTCAGGTCAATGTCCTAATGTCAGTAACTCTGTGCAGTAGAATCACAGGGTGGCTTTGTAAGGAGCCACGTGCTTAGGACCCACTCCAGACCTCTGGGATTTAAAATACCCTTGAGGAGAATGAGGCAGACAGGTGCATCTTGTGAAAAAGCTCCACAGATACACAGATCCCAACCTACAGAGGGAGACCTCAGATCTAAATTTTCCAGATATCCAGGTGACCATTTAAACTAAGCATAGAGCCAATCAGTTGACATTTTTTAAAAAATATTTTATCCAAGGAGTTTGGAGAAACACAAGATTCCATGCTCAGATTTCCATGTCTGATAGAGCTGGGTTTTGCGGGCAGCCTGCTGATGTGGACAATGGCAGATAATATAAACACAGGAAGCAATATCAAAGGTTCTCTTTACCCATACCCATCCTCCACAGCATCTCAGCACCCCGCTTTCCACCTCCAGCTGCTCTCCTTACAGACCAGCAGGGCTTGTAGAATTTTCCCTTTGTTGGATTTCTCTAGCTTTGAAAGCTTTCACTATGTGGTTATCATGGAAGGGAAGAGTCATGAAAATTGTCATTAATGAAAGTAAATACCGTTCATTAACTTTAGCTGTAACTCATCTAAAAGCTGAAACGATTTCATAGTTAAAGTGCTAACCAAAATTAGCCATTAGAGTAGAATAATTAATTTAAAATTGCACACAATAGTACACATTTAAGGTAAAACTAAAACGAAAAGAAATGGGGGAATGATATCAATGCCGTAGATAACTTTTGGATAACTCAAATAAAGTAAGTGATTTCACTATCACTTCTAAAGAAAATAAATGGCTTTGATTCTGACCTCTGGCATTTCCTAGTATGGTTCCCCTTGCCTTTCTTACCCACCTGGCAAGTAGAGATAATAACATTTACTTTTTTTGCCTCTTAGGAATATTAATATTTTTGAAGGACTTTGAGATAACTATGCAAAAGACACATTAGGGAACGGACAATTATTACAACATAGATTTAGATTGCTATAGTTTGTGGACTTAGGTTGTACCATGTAGGTGTTTAAAAAAAAAATCTAGTCACCAGATCTGTGTATAGTAGGCATTCAAACGATATCTGCTGACGTGAATGCACTTCAGTTCTTATTTATAAGTATTGCTTATCTTTCTTCAAAAGTGACTCCCCACCACTTAGAGTTACACAGATAAACTTTAGAGACTTTTAAATCCTGTGGTCCTCAGGGTGTACAGGAGGCTGGGTGGTGGGATGGAGCGTCTGGAGTGAGAGCAAGCGTGGGGCATGGAGTAGGAAGTTCTAGCCTAGACCAGCCTAGTCTCCAAAGTCAGCGAGCATCAGCACTTTCCAGAAGGCCTGTCAAACACAGATGGAGCCACACCCCTGAGATTCTGAATCTATAGGTCTAGGGTAAGGCCTGGGAATTTGCGTTTCCAACAAGTTTTCATGTGTGCTGATGCTGCCGGTTTGAGAACCAGACTTCGAGAACCAGTGATCTGGACTAAATAAACCTCAAATATGTCCTGGAAACTGGGAAGATGTACTCTAGCATCCACTGTGTAATAATCAGATTGCACCCCAAATTCAACGTGCTCATTAGTGAGAAGAATTCTAATTGCTTTACTTAATGCATGACTGTGAGCAAAATCTCTGAGCTTAAATTCCTTTATCCGAAACAAAAATGTGTACCTAGTTACGGAATGAAGGTATTACAGAATTTGTTTATTTGTAATAGGCCCTTTTGGTTTTAAACAAAAAGCACTTTATGAATATTTTCTACAAGTGATTCAGTCCTTACTAATTGAGGGCAAATCGCATAGCTTTGTTCAGTTTTCACATCTGTATAATGGGGATAATAGCCTGGAGTGGCTTATTCAATAGGATTATTGTGAGGATCAGGTCTGCTGATGTTAAAAAAAAAAGAGTACTTTGAATATTACAAGCACTATGCAAGCTTTACATAGTCCCCGTGATAGTTTATTATATGCCCATTTAGAGCTGACCAGAGAAGGTTGGTATCTTTTGTGAATTCCTATGTTTGACTTCTAAATGTTAAAGTTCTTTAGAACCTATAGCCTTGGGTCCTCTTCTCTTCTGATTGTACACTTATTGTAAGCAAACCTGCCCCCATCTTGTGCTAAAAAGTACCAAATGTTTCTCTGTGGCCCAAATTCGCTTTGTATTCTTGACCTGTATATCCAACAAGCTCTTTCACATTTCCAGTTAATGATTTTTTGTTTGTTTGTTTTTGAGACAGAGTCTCGCTTTGTCACCAGGCTGGTGTGCAGTGGTGCAATCTCGGCTCACTGCAACCTCCGCCTCCTGGGTTCAAGCGCTTCTTCTGCCTCAGCCTCCCGAGTAGCTGGGACTACAGGCGCACGCCACCATGCCCAGCTAATTTTTGTATTTTTAGTAGAGATGGGGTTTCACCATGTTGGCCAGGATGATCTCGATCTCTTGACCTCGTGAGTCACCCACCTCGGCCTCCCAAAGTGCTGGGATTGCAGGCGTGAGCTACCGTGCCTGGCCCACTTGATGATTTTAAAAGCATCTCTGAGCTAATATGTCCAAAACTGAACTCTTGCTCTTTTCCCTGAAAAATCTACTCTTTCTCCAGGAAAGGGTATGTCTTTTCATCCACTTAATCTTGCCAGAAACTTGGAACTTATCCTTGACACCTCCCTTACCCTCAACCCCACATCCAATCCACCGCTAACTCCATCAATTCTGTCTCCCAAATATATTTCTAATTTATTCATTTTTCTCTATTCCCATTACTGCTCCTTATATCTAAGGATAACACAATCTCTCTCCTGGGCTAGTGAAGGATTTCCATTAGTTTCCTCACTTCCCCTCTTCCTCGAGATACCTGTCCTTACAATTTCACCTCCAGACGGCAGGTATTGGGATCTCTTTGAAATGCCATCATCATCCCCATCAGCATCATGTGATATCATCACACTCATCTAACATGTATACAACACATTCTATAGGACAGGCACTTAACTAAGGACTACACAGCTATTAACTTATAGAACAACAACCCTTGATGAATTATCATCTCAGTTCTTTGAAATGAAGAAATAAAAACACAAACCGTTTGAGTAGCTTGCCCAAGGTTACCTAGCTGGTAAGGGGCAGAGCTGAGATTCAAATCCAGGCCATCCGACATAGTCCAGGTTATATTCTACTGCCTCTGACATGCTCCTGAATATGTTGCTCCCTGGATTAAACCTCATGGCAGCTTCCCATTGCTTTTAGGACCCAATCTCTGTTTTTACCAGGAATTTCAGCACTTTGTACAACTTAGCCTTCGTGTTCCTCTCTAGTATCAGCTTCAGACTTTCTTTCCTTTGTATGCTGTGAGCCAGCCATGTCGGCTTCATTCATCTACGTGCACCCGACAAACATTCATGTCCTTCAGAGCCTTTGAACATGCCATTCCCTCAGCCTGTATCCTATCACTTCAGAGAAGCTTTCTCTGACCCTACAAATCTAAATTAGGCTTTCCTCTTGCCATGTTTATTATACGTTGACTTCTCTGATAACACCCCACATAATGTCTGTGTATGTATTTTGTGCAATTGTTTATTTCATGTCTGGCTTCAGGAGGGCAGAAACCACATGTGCCTTGTTCACCACTGTCTAGGCAACATATAATACAACAAATGCATATGAATGTGAATATCTTAACAGAAAGTTATAACATGAAAACAGAAAGCAGAAAAATAGACTGCCAATATATTGGGAAGTCAGAAGATAGGAAAGGTGATAGATGCTTAGAAAAAGAGTTGAAAATAAGAAGAGGCTGAATTTACAAGAGAATCAGTCGAGTTCATTTAGACAAAAGATGAAAAAGACAGAATTAGATACTGACATCAGCAGGGGGCCTAGGAAAGGGGACTACTAAGAGCTGTTTCTGGACAAATGGATCAGGAGGAATACAGCAGTTGAGGTCTGAACCTAGAGGTTATACTTAGATCATCAAAGAGAAAGAACAATATTTTGCATGGGAGGAAATACTCAGAGAAAGAACTCTGATATTCAGGAAGGAGTGAGTCTGAAATAACATACATAAAAGAAAACCTAAGATTATCTCGTAAACTGTTCAAAGCAAAGCTCGCTGCCACAGCCAACTTGTAGCTAGCCAACATCAGCAATGCCCCTCATCTGGCTGAGTGTTCATAGAGCTGAAGGTGTCATCCAGAAAGGGGGAGGAATTTCTCAAGCTCTCATCTAACACACCTTATGCAGCTGCATTGAACCACAGCAGCTGTATCCTGGACATTATTTCTGATAAGCTCCTAAGATATCTCGAACAACTCATAAGGAATTAAGACCACAGGTTCAAACTTCTTCATAAGTGTACGAAAACAATATGGAAGTTTCTCAAAAAAACTAAAAATAGAACTACCATATTATCTAGCAATCCCATTACTGGATATTTATCCAAAGGAAAGCAAATCATTACATGAAAGAGACATCTGCACCCCCATGTTCGTTGCAGCACTATCCACAATAAGATATGGACTCCACCTAAGTGCCCATCAACAGATGAAGAGATAAAGAAAATGTGTTATAGAGAGAGGCTGATTAATGGGTACGAGCTTACAGTCAGATAAAAACAATAGGTTCTAGTGTTCGATAGCAAAGTAGCGTGGCTAGAATTAACAATAATTGATTGTATATTTCAAAACAGGTGGAAGAAAAGAGTTGAAATGTTCCCAGCACAAAGATACATGTTTTAGGTGATAGAAATTTTAAATACTCTCATTTGGTCATCAGGTATTATATGCATGTATCAAAATATCACCTGTGAACCATAAGTGAGAATAACTATTATGTTTCAATTTAAAAAGTCAACCAAAACACTATGGAATGATAGGCTGGTTCTCTTACTGGTTCCTTCACAGATTCTCAAGACTGTCTCAGTGACTGAGCAGCGAGTGATTGTCAAATTGTGTGAGCTTCTCTCAGCCATGCAGCACAGCACACGGCCTTCATTGGAACAGACTTGCAGGAACCCCGGAGGAAAGGGCCTGCTGTAGCGGCAGATGCTAGGAAAGGTCTGTTTCCATCTCTTCGGGTGGAGGCACATGCACACACCTGCATGCCATTCAGATGGGGCACAGCTTGGATTGCTGACTGCAACAAATGCCTTCCAATATTTTGGTTATGGGAAAAGAGTAAGAACAATATCATCCACCATAGAAATCACACGGAAAACACAGCCAGGGAGAAAGATTTCGATTTTGGCTCTGCTGTGAGGATATCAGGAAAACCCTATAGTCATAGCTCTAGAATAGTAATGTGTATATAAACTGTAGCAACAGTGGAAATAAGTGATATCAGTCATGTCTCCTTGTGTTTATTTGGCATATTACAATTTTCAAAGCCCGTCATTTCGCTGGACTGGCTGTGGGGTATTGTAACACTCTCATCTGTAGGGAGGACCATGGGAGCCTGTGTGGTCTACAGAGCTGCTGACATCAAAGCCGTTGTGCACCAGGAAAAGCGGAGCTCAGCTAGACGAACTCGTCCACGATCACACACTGTTGCAGCTGGGGAAGACTTGCCACATCTTCTTTTGGCCACTTCACCTGAGTCTGATACTTGTTTTCCCTGCACTATTTACTGTGATCAGAGAGATCAAAATAGACACTGCTTTATCAGCTCAGACAGGCCCTAATGTTATGAAAACAAAGTTACCTGTCTTTCAAGTGGTCAGGGTCCGACTGGCATGGCAAATTTCTAGATTCCTATAGTTCTAAAATCTCTAATAACAAGAACTATCAGACCCCTCCTAACTCTGATTTACAACCCAGATCATTACAACTCTGACTGGATAGGGGACTGGCCTTGAAAACATTATTTTCTGATAAACAACTGCACACCTTAAGCCAGTTTCAGCAGCTTATAGAGGCTGACCTCTTTTGACATAAAGAGCCAAATCCCACCTCATTTTAATGCTAAAACCCTGCCTCAAAGTGAACATGGAGTATATGTTCCATATATGCTTACCTACTGTGCATGCACTCGGCTGCCTCATAAATAGGCACAGCTTCCCCCCAAAACCTGTGCAGGAGACTCTCTTTCTGATTTGCAAACTGATATCTCAAATAAAGCTTGCCTCCCTGTCACTTAGCTATCCTAGTGGTCTTTGAATGACATCACCTAGCTCCCAGGTTGCGGTTTTGACTGACAGGCCCTCTCTCCTGTTGGAGTCTGAGCTTCTGGGGCAGATGATGGGTGTACTCAGTGCTGGCTGGTGGTGATTAGTACAAGGACTACCACATTATGGGCGCCCATTTTGTGAAATAAAGGAACAAATGAGAGAAAGAGCTATGAATAAAAGCCAGACCTTGATTCTGCATCCAAATGTCCCCTCATCAGAGAACGCTGTGTCTCTCTGAATCATTTTACTTGGTTATAAAAGTACAATGGGAGGAAGCCCCTTTATTTCTTTGCTTTTTGTTTTGTTTTGTTTTCATTTGCTTTAAAATAGGGCTTTGCAATTGTAGCGTATTCCATCTTTACAATATTAAAATGCAGGGCATTGTTTTACGGAGAGAGACAATTACTGCTACCTGTGTTCTGTATTGAAACCACTTATTCCACCTTCTTGTTCTCCACTGCCAAAGAGAAAAAAAAAAGTGCTGAGGGAGTATGGAATTCAGAGAATTAAAATACACTTTGATCTATTTTTATTGTAAATACTTCATTATGTTGAGAACTTTAACCACATCTCCACATCTTTCAAAGTCAACTGAATTCTGAGAAAAAAAGTGTAAAGACTAAAGTAATTAAGGCTTTTCCTCATCCCCATCCTGGCTCCAAGGAGTCCGCTCTCCCCACCCCCATTTCCATGAAAAAGGGTGTGGCCATTCCTATAAGTTTTTCTTTCCAGTCTCGTCTTTTTGCTGCGCCATTTCCATAGGTTCCTTTAAGAAGGCCAAGTGACCTCTTTGCTGGCTTGGGAAGTGTGAAGGAGAAGCAGGCCAGGATGGAAGGGCGGAGAGGGGGTGGCGGAGGGGATGGGCGGCCCCCACCTGCGGCCCCCAGGAGGGACGCGGCCCTGGTGAGTGAAGTGGAAACCTTCCTGGAGCGTCACATTCAGCTGAGTGCAAGGGTGGCTCCCGCAGCCCCTGCCTGTCCATTGTGTTTGTCTCCAGTCCATGGAGTTTTCATTATTCATTATTCGCCGGGCCCGGGCAGCACAGCAGCGCCCGTGTCTGTCTAATCCCTACCTGATAATGTGTTTCTGATAAGCATGACGGAGCCCAGTGCTCCTGACAGGACTCACATTTCCAGCCGGATAGAGCGCCATTTACATGAGGCAGGCACTGTGAATTCAGATCAGGGCGATACGGGCAGCGGCGGGCTCTGCTGGTGCTGGCTGGGGACTATCGACTGGGGTCCGGGGCGCCTCCGGCCCCATCATTCTCCCCACTCCTCCTAGACAGATGGGCCCTGGGCCGCTTGCGTGTTGGCAGAAGGGGGACCGATGGGGATCTGCTGCCTGTGGGGTCTTGCCTGCCCTGACCCAGTGCTGCCCTTCCCGGGACCCCCAGTAGATGAGCCTGTGGTACCGGCATGGGACGACCACCGCCTTAAATCTGAGGGGAGTAGGGACATGCATTGTGCCTTTCTCAAGGTCGGAATCCATCCGCAGAAATTACAAGCCCTTTAATTCCAACTCGTAGTCTTGTTTATGCATATATTTTATTGCCCAGTAAAATATTTAAATGGCTTCCTCACCAAATATTAAAAGCGGTTGCAGGGCAGGAACCTCTTAAGGCCTCTGATTCTGTCCCCTTCTCCTTAAAGCCAAAGAGAATGTGTCTGATGAGTCTGTGAATTCTTCAGCACCTTTTGTGAAAGAGGCAGGATTAGCACCAACTAGGGGGCCAGAGAGATACAATCCCTTGAGATGATTTGAGGGTGTCTAATGCTCTTTGGAGCTGAGGCCAATTCTACCTTTCTAACTTAGACATAGCTTGAAAAAGGGACCCTTTCTGAGGGTATGTGCAATTGTCAGCTCAGTCTTGGAAGCACACACCCATGATGCCACTGTCATCTCCTAATATGTCTCAAGTCTGTCCCCCATCTCTCCCATGGGACTACTGCCCTAGGCCCGGTCCTCTTCATCTCCTGCTGAGTTCGCACTAACGATTTCCTACCTAAGTGTCCTGGCTTCAGATTTCACCCATCACACTCTACCTCCTGCAACCTATGCAGCGTCCAGGTGGCATGGGTCTGGCTGCATCTCCAGCTGCTGCTTCATTCCCTGCCGTGACCCCCATGCCCGTGGGGTAAAGACGGCTACTGCCCAAGCCACCCAAGGTGCTCAGGCACCAGTTTCCACTCATGCCTCATCTTCTAACTGTGGATAATTCTTTTCTATTGCTCTTAATAATCACGCTTTCTTTGAAATCCTCCTACCTCCACCGTGTTGTTTCCAACCGCGTGCCCTTGTTAGCCCCCTCCCAATTCCCACTTGCCAGTTGCCTCCCAGGTAAACTCCTTAACATGGGAGCTAGAGTCGAGTTAGCATTTCACTCCTATTCTACCATAATACACTGAGCATATTTCAGCATGGCACTTATCACCTTTTATTCTGAGGCTCTCTTTAAGAATCTGTTTCTGATAGAACAGGATTTTGTGTACACTGAACATCTGCAGGGCGCAGGGCAAAAGTTCAAAGGGAGTTCCAGCTGCCGGGCCTAAAGATTTAGAAGTTATAAATCAATCTATCCAATTGTTAGTTAAAATATATGTTATGTTAATACCTGGATAAATATTTTTTCTAATGACCTACAAGCCTAGGTTCAGATTTGGAATCCTTGGATACCTCAGGGTTCCTCACTGGAAGATAATGGGACCAGGCGAGCTTTCCTGCTTTCCTGCTTCCTGGCTCCCTCCCCATCTCCCTCTAACCCCCGAATCCATCTTGCTCTGTGAAGGAACTTTGTGTACATGAATGGACACCACAAGCCACACATCCAGGCTCTTCCCAGAACCCCTGCAAATAACCACCTCCTACACATGAATATCATATGTACAATACCCATACAAAGATGTGACTACCATATCCTTTCTAAGAGTAAATAACTAGAAACATAATAAATGCCATTGCTAGGGGAAAGGATATGTAAGTTTTGTATATTCAAACAATGCACTTTATACAACTTAAAATGAGTGAACCCAATTTGACCTATCAACCTAACAAAAACATGAAAATATCATGAGTAAAAAAAAAAAAAAAGAAACTATAAAAGATATGTACAGTGATGCCAGCTGAATGTGATATATTATTTATGGTCCCATAAATGTATAGAAAAATAATAAAAACGTGAGTGAAACTGACATATACCAAATTTAGAAGAGTGGTAAACTCTGGAACTGAATGGGTATGGCAAGAGCTTCATTGGTACCTATTCATATACGTATACACACACACACACAGACACACACACACACACATTCAAAGATCCGAGGTTAACATTTCAAATATCTTGTTGAGTACATGGGTGTTAGCTGTTGTACATTTCATACGTTTGAATTTTTCTTATCTTTTAAATATCCCCAAATTTTTAATTTTTAGTGATGTTTGAATTTGTATACTTGTACTGGAGAAGACTTTAAATGAATAGAAATTCTGGAGTTTTTGTTTGTTTCTCTTTATTGGACTAGCTTTATTAAGACATTTCAAATACCATATAATTTACCCATTCAAAGAGTATAAAATACAATGTTTCCTAATATATTCACAGAAGTATACACCCATTGCCACAATAAGTTTTAGAACATTTCCATATTCCCAAAGTGAAATCTCATGCCATTGGGCATGGCACTTAAAACGAACGAGCCAAATTTAACCTATCATTTAACTCCCCATTTGTCCCCAAGTCTCTGCACTCCTACTCCCTGCCTGCCCTAGGAAGCCATGTATCTACTGTCTGTGTCTATAGATTTGGAAATTCCACATATTCCATATTTAATTTCATGTAAAGGGAGTCCTACAATAGCATGTTTTTGTGACTAGTCTCTTTCACTTAACATACTGCTTGCAAAGTCCATCCACGCTCCACTTCATGAGCTAGGTGCTATTATGATTTCCACTTACAGATGAGAAAATTGGGTCTGAGGCTATATTTAGATTAATAATGGCATTGAACTGACTTAGCCCAGGTCTGCCTAAGTTGTAAGCTTGTGCTTATAACCCTTGTACGACACAGTCGGCCTTCTATATCTGTGAGCTCCACATCCATGGATTCAACCAAGCTCAGATGGAAAACATGTTTTTTAATTGCATCTGCCCTGAACATGTACAGACTTATTTTCTTGTCATAGGTCCCTAAACAATACAGTTTATAAGCTATTTCCATAGCATCTACATTGTATCAGGTACTATGAGTTATCTAGAGATGACTTAAGGTATATAGGAGGATGTGTGTAGGTTATATGCAAGTACTATGCCATTTTATATCAAGAACTTGAGCATTCCCAGAGTTTGGTATCTGCATGAGGTTCCAGAATCAATTCTCCATGGATACCAAGAGACAAATGCACTTCATTTATTTTTGGCTAAATAATATTTGATTGTATTAATATACCAAAGGTTATTCATCAATTTATCAATTGATGGTCATTTAAGTTGTCTCCACTTTTGACTATGATAACTAATGCTGCTGGGAACATTTGCGCATAAGTTTTTGTGTAGATATATGTTTTTATTTCTCTTGAAAATATACCTGGACACAGAATTGATAAGCGTGATAACTTTATGTTTAATCTTTTGAAGACCTGCCAGATTGTTTTCCAAAAACAACTTTGCACCACTACCGGCAGAATAGGAGAATTCAAATTTCTCAGCATTCTCACTAACACTTATTATTATCCACTTTTCTTCTTTCTTTTTTTTTTTTTTTTTTTTTTTTTTGATACGGAGCCTCGCTCTGTCACCCAGTCTGGAGTGCAGTGGCACGATCTCGGCTCACTGCAAGCTCCGCCTCCCGGGTTCATGCCGTTCTCCTGCCTCGGCCTCCCTCCTGAGTAGCTGGGACTACAGGCGCCAGCCGCCACGCCCGGCTAATTTTTTGTATTTTTTAGTAGAGACGGGGTTTCACTGTATTAGCCAGGATGGTCTCAATCTCCTGACCTCGTGATCTGCCGTGATAGTGAGTGTGAAATGGTATCGTATTCTTTGTTTAATGGCTAATGTGAGGATCTTTTCAGGTGTTTATTAGTCATTTGTACATCTTTGGACAAATATCTATTCAAATCCTTTGCCCATTTTTAAAATGGGCTATTTGATTCTTATTGAGATTCAAGGATTATTTATACACTCTAGATAAAAATCTCTTAACAAATATATGATTTGCAAATATTTTCTCTCACTCTGGGTTTTATTTTCACCTTTTTAATAGTTGTCCTTTGGAGCACAAAAGTTGTTAAATTTGATTAAATCCAACTTACCTTTTTCTTTTGTCACTTGTGTTTTCAATGTCATATATAAGAAAGTTTTACCCACCCAGTCTCAGGAAGATTTACTTCTGTATTTTCTTATAGGAATTTTATAATTTCAGCTCATACATGCAGGTCTGTGATCCATGTTGGATTAATTTTGGTGTATGGTGTAAGAAAAAGTTCCAACTTCATTATTTGCATGTGCATATCCATTTGTCCCCATCCCATTTTTTGTAAAGACAATTCCTTCTCCAATTGAATTGTTTTGGCAGCCTTGTCAAATGCCAATTAACTTTAAAAGTGAGTATTTATTGCTGAACTCAAAATCCTATTCTATTAATCTAGAAGCACACCTCAGAAATCCTGTAGGTTCAGTTCCAGACCACCTCAATAAAGTGAGTTTCACTATAAAGCGAGTCATATAAACATTTCCGTTTTCCAGTGCAAATAAACATTATGTTTATAAATATTTTGGTTTTCCAGTGCAAATAAAATTTATGTTTATATTATACTGTAATCTGTTATATGGGCCATAATAGTATGCCTAACAATGTACATGCCTTAATTTAAAAATACTTTATTGATCTCTATCAATGGGTCAGTAGAAAAGAAAACATAAATAAGTTAAAAAATAAAAATATTCTATTGTTAAAAAATACTAACAATCATCCAAGCTTTCAGGAAGTCATAATCTTTTTGCTGATGAAGAGTCTTTCATGATGTTGATGGCTGCTGACTGATCAGGGTGGTGGTTGCTGAAGGTTGGGGTGGCTGTGGCAATTTCTTAAAATTAGACAGCAATGAAGTTGGCCACGTTGATTGACTCTTCCTTTCATAAAAGACCTCTCTAGCATGGGATGCTGTTTGATAGCATTTTACTCTCAATAGAACTTTCAAAATTGGAGTCAGTCCTCTCAAACCCTGCTGCTGATTTATTAACTAAAATTATTTTTATTTTTGTTTTATTTATGTATTTATTTTTGAGACAGTCTTTCTTATGATCTCGGTTCGGCATGATCTCGGCTCACCGCAACCTCCGCCTCAGGGAGTCAAGCGATTCTCCTGCCTCAGCCTCTCAAGTAGCTGTGACTACAGGCATGCACCACCATAGCTGGCTAATTTTTGTATTTTTGGTAGAGATGGGGTTTTACCATGTTGGCAAGACTGGTCTTGAACTCCTGACCTGAAGTGATCCACCCGCCTCAGCCTCCCAAAGTGCTGGGATTACAGGCATGAGCCATGGCACCCAGCCCAATTAACTAAAATTATGTAATACTTCAATCCTTTGCTGTCATTTCAACAATATTCCCAGCATCATCACCAGGAGTAGATTCTATCTCAAGAAACCACTTTAGTTGCTAAGTCATAAGAAGCAACTCCTCCTTCATTAAGACTGTATTATGAAATTGCAGCAATTCAGTCACATCATCAGGCTCCATTTCTAATTCTAGTTCTCTTGCTGTTTCAGCACATTTGCAGTTACTTTCTCCATTGAAGTCTTAAACCCCTCAAGAGTTGGAATAGACTTCCAAGCTTCTGTTAATGTTGATATTTTGACCTCCTTTCATGAATTACAAACGTTCTTTATGGGATCTAGCAAGGCAAATTATTTTCTGAAGGTGTTCAATTTACTTTGCCACATTCATCAGAGCAATCTCTATCTATGGCAGCAGAATGGGTGTTTTGTTAACAGGCATGAAAACAATATTCCTCTCCTTGTACATCTCCATCAGAGCTCTTGGGTAGATTGTCAAAGAACAGTGATAATTTGAAGTGAATCTTTTTTTCTGAGTAGCAAGTCTCAACTGTGGGTTCAAAATATGCAGTCAATCGTACTGTAAACAGATGTGCTGTCATCCAGGCTCTGTTGTTCCATTTGTAGAGCACGGGCAGAGTAGATTTAGCATAAATCTTAAGGGTCCTAGGACTTTCAGAATGACAAATGGCTTCAACTTGTGGTCACCAGCTGCATTAGCCCCTAACAAGAGAGTCAGCCTGTTCTTTGAAGTTTTGAAGCCAGGCATTGACTTCTCCTCTCTAGCTATGAAAGTCCTACATGGCATCTTCTTCCAATACAAAGCTTTTTCATCTACATTGAAAATCTCTTGTTGAGTGCAGCCGCCTTTACCAGTGATCTTAGCTAGATCTCTGGATAACTTGCTGCAGCTTCTATGTGAGCTCTTGCTCCTTCACCTTGCACATTTATGGAGATGGTTTCTTTCCTTAAATCTCATGAACCAACTTCTGCTAGCTTCAAACACTTCTTCTACAGCTTCCTCACCTCCCTCAGACTTTAGAATTGAGGAGAATTAGGGTCTTATGGAGAAGGAAGGAGATGAGGGAACTGTGGAACAGTTCAGAGCACACACACTATTTACTAAGTTTGCCCTTTTATAGGGGTGTGGTTTATGGCACTCTAAAACAATCACAATAGTCACATCAAAGATCACTGATTACAGATCTCCATAACAGATCCAATAGTAATGACAAAGTTTGAAATATTGTGAGAATTAATAATATGTGGCACCGAGACATTAAGCGAGCACATACTGTTGAAAAGAAAAATGGTGGTCATAGGCTTGCTCAATGCAGGGTTGCCACAGATCTTCTACTTGTAAAAAAAAAAATGTGATATCTGCAAAGCTCAGTAAAATGAAGGATGCCTGTTTATGTCTGTTCTTATGCCAGTATGACTTTGTCTTCACTACTACAATATTGCATTAAGTTTTAAAATTGGATAGTGTGATTCCTCCAACTTAGTCACTTGTAAAGTTCATTTCGGCTATTCTGGGCCCCTTATATTTCTGTGTGAACATTATTATCAGCTTGTCAAATTCAGAAAATAAGTCAGCTGGGATTTCAATAAGAACTTATTAAATCTTGACCAATTTGGTAACTATTGCCTTTTTAACAATATTAAGTCTTTCATTATATGAACATTGGATGTCTTTCCATTTATATAGGTCTTCTTTAATTTCTTTCAATAATGTTTTGTAGATATCAGAGCATAAGTTTTCACTTCTTTTATTGTGTTTATTACTAAGTATTTTGTATGTAATTGTACATGAAACTGCCTTTTAAATTTTATTTTTGGATTGCTCATTGCAATTGCTAGTATGCAATTGATTTACATATTGACTTATCCTGCAACCTTGCTTAACTCTTTTAGCAGTTCTAATCAAACTTTTAATGGATTACTTAGGATTTTCTATATACAATGTCATGTTATTTACAAAAAGATACTTTCCTTCTAATCTGAATTTTTAAATTTGTTTATGTTTGTTTGTTTGTTTTTACTAATTTCTTTAGCTAGAACCCATAGCACCTTGTTGAATGGAGGTGGTGAGAGTGGACATCCTCATCTTGTTTCTGGATTTAGGGGAAAAGCCTTCAGCATTTCACCATGAAGTATGATGCAAGTTGTAGATTTTTTACATATTCCCTTTATCAAGTTGAGAAGGTCCCTTCTAGTCTAATTTCTTGAGTGTTTTTATT
Source organism: Homo sapiens (assembly GCF_000001405.40). NCBI lineage: Eukaryota > Metazoa > Chordata > Mammalia > Primates > Hominidae > Homo > Homo sapiens. The sequence goes on from NC_000011.10 coordinate 132,800,614, forward strand.
ATAAAGTGCTGTTGGGTTTTGTCAAATGTTTTGCCTTACTAATGAAATGATTAAATAGATTTTGTCTATTACTCTATTAAAATGGTGGATTACATTAATTGATTTTAAGACGTTTACCTTTCATGCTTGGGACAAATTGTATTTAGTCATGATGTATAATCCTTTTTTATATATCACTGTATTTCACTTGGTTGCATTTTTAAAAGTTTCTGATCTAATACCCATAAAATATTTTCCTGTAGTTTTTTACATGTGATGTACTTGCCTTTTTTGGTGTTAGAGTAATAATTACATGATAGAATAAGTTGGAAAGTATTCTCTGATCTTCCATTTTATAAAAAAGCTTGTGAAGAATTGATATTATTTCTCCTTTAAATGAAACAATTCACCAGTAAAGCCACCGGGGCATGGGCTTTTCCCTATGGATAGTTTTTAGATTACTAATTCAACTTATTTACTTTGTATAGGTCTACTCAAATTTTTAATTTCTTCTTTAGTCAGTTTTTGCAGTGTGCATCTTTCTGGGAATTTGCCCATTTAACCTGTTATCTATTTTGTAGGCATACAGTTATTCATTATAGTTTCTTATAATCCTGTTATTTCTGTAAGGTAAGTAGTAATATACCTTCTTTCATTTCTGATTTTGGTAATTTGAGTCTTCTCTTTCCCAGTCTAGCTAAAGGCTTGTCAATTTTGTTGATATTTTTAAAGAACCAATTGGTACTTTTATTTTAGAAATAATTTTGACACAGACTTCCATTTTATGACTTTTTTACCAGCACTGTGAAAGATCCTACAGACTCATGCCTGGAGAGAATACAAGGTCTTCCAGAATGGTATACCAGCCCTCTCAACATCTCACTACACACCAGAATGAGATGGAACCAATTCCAGGTATATTTAAATAAAACAAATGCTAAGTCATCTATTTCTTTCTATAATTCTAAGAAACTTTTCAAACCAAACAAATAAATTGCATTGAATATTAGTACTAAAAGAAATCTCTGAAACTATTATTTTAAACTGCTTTTGACAGAGAAGAAACTGAGATGGGTATATAAATTTATTTTATCTTGAGCTTTTCCATTTTTGTGTTTAAAATCGCTTCTACCTGCTTATGCCTCTCAGGTTAAGTCTCAGTCTATTCTCCGAGCTCTAGGCTCATGAATTCAGGAAATCTTTATTGAGTGCTATTATGTGCCATACAGTATTCTATGTGCTTATTATGAAAGATAATGTCTGCCCTCAAAGCAATTACATTTTGAATTAAATCAAATTTTCGACTTTGAACATTCCTCTTTAGATGTTTCTGAGGCATTTCAAAACTAATATTTCCCAAATGCTGCTCTTGATTTCTCTCCCACCAGAATTGTCATCTCCCCCCACCACCCTCATCATCCCGAACCCAGCCTTCACCATCTAAGTAAATAGCACCAACAGTCATGAAGTTCAAGCCAAAATCATTTTGGGCTACTCCCTTTTCTTTTTGACCATCAGAAAATCTTATGCTTCTGACTCAAACTGTTACCTCGAATAAGTTCTCTTCTTTGCACCTTCATTAGCACAAACCGTCACCATCTCTACCCTCTTAACTCTTTCTCCTCCTTCCCCCAGCACACAGTCCATTTTTTACCCAGGATCTGAAGTGAGCTTTACTTAAGGAAAACCAGATCATGCCAACCCTTCCCCACAAGCATTTCCGTGGCTTCTTATTGTACTTAACATCAACTCTGAAGTCCCTGAACAGACTTGGTTACTCGGCCCTTGCTTGCCTATCCAGCTGCATCATGAATCACCCTTTGCTCAGCCTGGTCTATGCTCACTAGCCTTCTGGTACTCCATCAACGTTGGTTCAAGACATGAATGGAGAACAAATCCTTAAAGATTTCTTAGAAACAATTTCTGACACCTTCTTTGTGATCCAGTTACAACATCTCTCCCTTTTAGAGAGGTTTTTCTGAACTACAAATTCTGAACATAACAAATACCAACAGCAGAAATATGCAAAAAAAATTAGAAAATACTGTACCACAGAATATTCACTGGACGACTCTAGGCATTAGATGTGATTTCAGTGAAGGGTCTATGTTCCTATCCTGAGTACCAGAAAAGTGCGTGAAGTCAAAGCCATGTCAGAGATTAAATTTTCTCCAGTTTCCAGGGCCATAGTAGAGCAAAAATCCCTGAATTTCCTCTAGAAATGAAGTCTGATTTCTGTAGGTAGATGGGAAAAGAAAGAAAGGGGTCTTTGAAGCAATTTATTGTGCTATTCCCCATCCTCTTTGGAAAATTAAATGCTTTTTTCTTCCTAGTACTTAGACTTCACTTAGAATTAAAGGTAGAAAAATAAGAACCATAACTTCTTTCTTCAGATGATCATAACTGCTTGATAGAAGGTCTTTAACAAGCTCCCACTCTAACAAGCAACTGTCGTTTTCATGTTTTGGAATGGTTTAATCCTGGACACGATAACATCCTCAAAAAGCAAGTGCATTAAGCTGTGACAGGTTTCCACTGACCTAAGCAAATGCATTAGGAAAACGCCATTAGCAGCTCCCTCTCTTCATCTGTTCTCCCCTCCTCCTCCCCACCAGTAAAAGCTATGCTCAATACTACTATTAAATTACCCTTAGAAATACGCTCCTTGAAGAAAATCAATGCACATGTGTTTTAGCACTTGTCACAGATAGATCAAATGGCCATTCTAGCATATATTATTCCACCCAAAGCTTTCAATTTTAAACGAGCTTCTTTTGGTGGCACATTTTATGAGCTCACATCCAAACTAAGAAAAAGAATACAGTGGGTAAGGATGGGGATAAAAATAAGAATGAATCCCACTACCATTCCCACCACTTTTTCTGCACCTCTGTAGTACTTAATGGTGAATATTAAAACCTCCTGGTGGAATGAGGTAAAATTGATGGGACATGGTGGGAGGGAACCAGAGGCCTAAAGCCCAAACTCACTATGATTCAACTTGGAATACTCGGAACACTCATCCTTCACTAATGAGCGAGGATGTGCTCCTTCTTGTGATCATTTCCCCTTGCTTAGTCACTACCCACTTTCCACCAGAAGGTAGCATAGTATAGTTGTTAAGGTATAGGAGCTAAAACTACCTAGTGACTCAATAACTTTATAGATATATAAACTTAGGCATTCAATTAATCTGTGTGTCAATTTTTCTACTTAAAAATAGGGATAGTACCTAAATTAGAGTGCTGTTGTAAGAATTAAATGAGTTTAATATGTAAGGCATTCAAAACAATGCTTGGCATATAGTAAGCCATGCTCACTATTAACTGTTCTTATTTAGGATGCTTGCTAAGAAGAAACGTTATTATTCCTGATAAGAATCCTTGAGACACATTACATAAATAATTTTCACTTTAAGCCACAATGGAGTAACTGTATTGGAATAGACCTTGGCCATAAACAGCTTTAAAATATCAAATATAATTGTCTTCGGTCAGTAAAGAGCAGGCAACACAAGACTGAAATGGCTGATAGAAGGTGAGCCCCACAGTTCGCCAGGTTTCTACCTGGAGACAGTTTCCCAACCACATTGCAGGAAGTCAGAGTCAAAGCAAGGTGAGCCCCACAATTCGCCGGGTTTCTACCTGGAGACAGTTTCCCAACCACATTGCATGAAGTCGGAGTTAAAGCAGAGTACTATGTTTCTGCGGAGCCCAAGTGGAAAAATCATATTTCAAAGCAGCTGGAGATTCTAGAATTTACAAGGTGGCAAACTAGAGAGGAGGCAACTGTGAAAAGGAAGCCTCACAAGATGCTCTGGGAGGCCCCTGCAAGTCTGTGGCTGAGGGAGTCCCCCACTGAGCAAGACAAGCAGTTTACCAGGTGGCAGCTGCTATGTAATTAAAAGCAGAACATAGCTACTAAATGCACTGCTGGGGAAAATGCAGTGCCTGGAGATTTTGAAATTTAGGCCCCGCTAGAATGATGAGATCTACCCCTTAGCACACGAAGTCTAGTTGAGAGACCAAAATGGTGGTCCTATGGTGTAATGACTAGAAATAGAGCACGACTTATGCTAAACTCTCTCTAGAAAAGCCTCAAACGAAGCCCTGACAAGATCCAATGTGGATCCCAAGCTGGACCTTGGCTAGTTAGACCAGTGTGATCAGCCAGTAATTGAGCTGCTTGTTAAAACAAGGATCAATAGTCTTTAGAGTAAGGTAACAGAATCTAGAGACTGTATACTGTATTATCTATAATGCCAATATTCAACAAAAAATCAATAGTCCTAAAAAGAAAGAGAAAACTGTGATCTAGCCTTAAGAATAAAATCCACCAATAGACACTGAACCCAGATGTTAGAGTTAGCAGACAAATATTTAAAGCAGCCATTATAAATATAGTCAAAGAATTAAATAAAAATGTGTTCACAAAATTATAGGAAAATATGATCTAAATGAATGAACAGAGATAATCTTGACATAGAAATTGAAACGATAGAAACAGAACCAAATGAAATTCTAGAACTGGGAAGTACACAGCTTAAATGAGAAACTAACTGGATGGACTCATTAGCATATTCAAGATGGCATTAAAAAGCCAGTGATTTTGAAGTCAGATAAATAGAAATTATGCAATTTTAAGAGAAGAAAAAAGGATTTTATGCAATTTTAAGAGAAGAAAAAAGGATTTTATGAGCCTCAGGGAAATACAGAATGCTATTAAATGATTTACTTTTTGTGCAATTGGTGCCTAAGAAGAAGAAGAGAGTGACATTGTGCAAATATTTTAAGATACAGTGGCAGAGAGCTTCCCACATTTTATTTAAGAAACCAGACCAACCTATTGATCCCAGAAGTCCAGCAAACATGAAACAGAATAAATATAAAGAGAACCACACCTAGGCACATCATAATCTAACTGTTGAAAACCAAATAAAAAGAGCACATTGAATAGAGACAACAGCAATAGCAACACTCTGACTTCTCATCAGAGCAATAGAGGAGGAAAGACAGTGGAACAACCTCTCCAGATTGCTAGAAAGAAAGGGAAACAGTCAGCCCAGAAATTCTACAGCCAGCAAAAGTTTCACAGGCAAGAGTGCAATAAAGACCTTTTCTATAAATGAAGGCTTAGAAAATTTGTTGACAGCAGATTTTCACTGTAAGAAATTAAAAAAGATATTTCTCAATTCAAAGGAAAATGATGCCAGATGGAAACTCAGATCTATAGGTAAAAATGATAAATATGTGGGTAAATATAAATGAGTATGTTTACTTTTCAAAATTTACTTTAAAAACTGCTATTTATAGCAAAAATAATAACAGTATAAGATGGAATTCAAAACATATGAAAATGCAAATTATATGACAATAATCACACAGAAAACAAGGACAGGTAAACATAAAATAGACAATAGGAAGCGAGAATCAGAAAGTGTTGGGTGTGAAATGTGAAGGAGAAGGTTACATATCATTAGCCATAGAGAAACCATATAAAAATTTTAATAAAAAGAGTTATAGCTAAGAAGTTAATAGAAGAAATAAATTGGCAATCTAAAAATACTGGATTAACATAGGAGGCTGGGAAGGGAAAACCAGAAAACAACAAAAGATAAAACATACAAACAAAAAACCAAATTGCCATATGGTAGACTTAAATCAAACCAAAACAATAATTACATGAAATGTGAAGGGATTTAAAATGCCAATTAAAAGGCATAGACTAACAGACTGGATAGAAAAACACAACACAACTGTTAGCTGTCTACATAAGACACACTTTAAATATAAAGAAATAGACAAGTTTAAAAGGATGAGAGAAGATATAACATGCAAGCTGCAAGCATAAGAAAGTTGATGTGGGTTTATTGATATCAAACAAAGTAGAAATCAGGAAAAAGTATATTACAAGAGATCATGTGAAATAGTGCATGATAAAAGAGCAAATTACCCACAAGGCATGCTAATCTTAAATATGTATTCACCTAGTAACAGAGTATCAAAATCCATAAAGCAAAAACTGACAAAATTGACTGAAGAAATAGACAAATCTACAACTAAAGTTGGATATTTTAATTCCACTCACTCAGTAATTGCTAGAAATGTAGGCAAATATGAGGAAGAAAATGTAAGATCTAAACATGGTTGTCAACCAACTTGATCTAATCAATATTTACAGGACACTACACCCAACAGTGCCATCATACACATTCTTTTCAAATGTATATAAGCTATTCACCAATATATACCATTATCCTTGGCCTTAGAACAAGTCTGAATACAATTTAAAGCCTGAATTGGAAATTACAAGCAACAAAAAAGCACACATTTCTAAATAACTCATGGATCAAAGGAGAAGTCACAAAAAATGCAAATATTTAAAATGGAATAGTAATGAAATATATCAAAATGTTAGAGATGCCCCTAACGGAATGCTCGCAGAGAAATGTATAGTTTTGAAATGCCTGTATTAGAAAAGAAGACTTACAATAAAATAAAAATCTACATTTCCACTGTAAGTAGATAAAGAAGAAAAATCTAAATCCTAGTTATATAGACACAAAGAAACAACAAACATAAGAGCAAAACCCAATGAACTAGAAAACACACAATAGAGAAAACCTACGTCTCAAACTTGGTTTTTTTGGAAATACGAATACAATTTACCAAAATCCCTAAAAAGAATAATCATGATTAAGCAAAGAAGGCCAAATTACCAACATGAAGAATAAACATGAGTCTATCACTAGAGATCTCCCAAATATTAAAAGGAAAACAGGGAAATAGCATTAATAAGTTATCCCCATGAACTTGACAACTCTGATATTACTAAAAATCAAAAAGTTCCTTGAGAAATGCATTCTATAAAAAAATCTGTAAGTCCCATTTCACTTCAAAGAATAAAATTTATAAATCCACGGGTAAATTCTAGTATTCATTCATCTCCACTTCACACATACTGGTTCTGAATGGGGCTGGCCAAGAAGCAGCTCTTAAAGTGCTGTGGATTCCTCTCCCTCCATCTCTGAATAGCCTTCCAGTGACCATATCTTTGTGTAGCCAGCCAGACATGCCTGAAGGGAAATCAAGGAATCATAGCTATAAAACGGGAGGTCAGACTGCAAGTACCATTCTTCTCTGGGACTCTTTTCTGTTAGATGCTCAGAATTTCCACTCCCAGCTAAACCCGTATCAATCAAAGGGATAGAATTTATAAATCTCTGGTACATTCTATCATTCATTCAAGGATGGATTAATACCACTCTCAAGCAAACTCTAGCCTGAAGAGGAAATTCTTCCCAACTTATTTGTAAGGCCATCAAAATTCTGATTTGTAATCTGGGCAAAGATATTACAATGAAAGAAATCACGTATTACATGAGTAAATGTAGATCTTTCTTTCTTTCAAGAGAGATATTTTTAACCGTTCTTTCTGCTGGCAATGAATTTGATCAAGCTACATGAAATTGCTGTATCATATAGCTAGCTCTAGATTTAAAAAGTCAAATATCAGCAATTTCATTTGGTTCAATTTTATACTAGGGGATGGGAACCAAACACAGTTCTCTACCTAATAAGGTTCACAGCTTAGAGAAGGTAGGCCAACATGTCCACATGTGATTACAAGGCAATGTAATAAAGCTCCGACTGCGGGATGTTGAGACACTATAGCACGGTGGGAATGTAAGTGAGAAATCCCTGCCTGGTCTGTCTTGATGCGCAGTGTGAGAGCGTTCAGCAGGAAGACCTGCCTGAAAGAAATTCCTGGCAGTGGGAACAGAATGTGCAAATGCACAGTGCTACAAGAAAGCATTACTGGTCAGGGAAATTTGAAGAGATTGATACATCTAAAATGTTAAAAGCACAGTGGAGGGGGCAGAGCACTGTGTGGGATCATGGTAAACGCAGTGAAGGCTGGAGGCTTGATCCTGAAGGGTTAACACATTTTTTTCCCAAAGAAATTTGATGATCATTGGGTATAACCCTGTGATGAAGCTTCCACTTTCCTAGTTAGTGTAAATGAAACACGACTGTGAGCGGGTATGACTGTCGTCTTTCCTTGCCTTATCTTTTCCTTCACCTACTTGCTGCTAATTATTGAAACAGGTTTGAAGCAATTTGGGATTGTACTGAATTTCTCTTGGCAAACTACACAGGATTTCAGAGCTGAAAGTAATTCTCCTAAAAAGCAGTAACACATCATTGATTATCCTATTAATAGGCTCTCAAACCTGCATGGAGAAGGTCTCTTAGTGATAACCAGGACCTCTGGCCAAAGGATGGTGCTGAGCTGCTGAAAGCTTTTAGTTTCAGATACAAACATAATTCAGACCTTTGTTATTCTAAAAGCCCCAAAAGAAAAGCTTTGCTTTTTTAAAATTTGGTCGGTGGGGGCGGGGGGGTTGCTTTTTAAAAGTTTGCTTGTTTTTACCCCACTGACAGCTTCTGGAAGGCTATACTCCAAGAAATAAGCTGTCTAGAGATCTTAAAGAAAGTGGCACTCACTCAGGATTTAAAAGGAAAAACAGAAGCAGCAAAAATTAATGCTGAGTTAATTTTCTTCCATAATGCTAACCACCTTACTTACTAAACCATTCGCTGACGCTAAGAAGCAGCATACGTGGCTCATTTCCCATTCATTTCCCTGGGCCACTATGATCGTGGTGTTAACAGCAGGGAAATAGCGAAATGAGGTGGGAAGACAGAGGAGAGCAGTGAGCACAAGTGTGAAGGAAGTAGATAATCCAAACCTCAGTTCCCCCCATACTCCAGGGCTGACTTAGGAACCTCATTTGGACAAAGCAGCTCCGAGCTACAGTTACCACTGTGCTTTGTGCCAGGCCAAGTGCTAAGTGCTGAACCAGGATGATTTTATTTAAGTTCATGTGGGTGTACGGAGCTTATTTTTAATGTTCCTTACTATAGATTATAAATCTTAACAACATTTTTAATATTGTATTTCTAAATGTTCCCCAGGGTTAATAAAAGACTGGAGTCTCCAGTAAGCATAATACACTGATAGCTCATTTATTTAAAATGCCATCTTAAAAAACTAAAAATTTTAATTAAAAAAAGTGCCATCTCCAAGTGTTTATTTATGATTTATGTTAAATTCTATGAGAATTGGTCTCTGAATAGTTCACATTCACCCCCACTTCACACACTGATCTGAATGTGGCTTGGCCAAGACGCCACCTCTTACAGTGCTGCAGGTTTCTCTCCCTCCATCTTCTTCTTGTTTATTTATGTACTTATTTATTTTATTTTTATTTTTGAGACGGTATCTTGCTCTGTCGCCAGGCTGGAGTGCAGTGGCGCGATCTCGGCTCACTGCAGGCTCCGCCTCCCGGGTTCACGCCATTCTCCTGCCTCAGCCTCCCGAGTAGCCGGGACTACAGGCGCCCGCCACCACGCCCGGCTAATTTTTTGTATTTTTAGTAGAGACGGGATTTCACCATGTTGGCCAGGATGGACTCGAAGTCCTAACCTCGTGATCCGCCCGCCTCAGCCTCCCAAAGTGCTGGGATTAGAGGCGTGAGCCACCACACCCAGCCTCTCCCTCCGTCTTCTGAGCTAGCCTTCCAAGGGCCACATCTTTGTGTAGGCAGCCATACCTGCCTGAAAGGAAACCATGGAATCGTGGACATGAAAGGGCAGGTCAGACTTCAAGTCTCATTCTGCTCTGGGCATCCTTTCTGTTAGATGTTCACAATTCCCACTCCCAGGGAAACCTTGCCTAGGTGGATACAGGTGGAAAGAAAAGAAGGGTTATAGTGATGGAAACTTCCAAGCACCAGCATGTCTAGACTCAGATCAGAAGCAAATACCAGGCAGGGCACGGTGGCTCACGCCTGTAATCCCAGCACTTTGGGAGGATCACGAGGTCAGGAGTTAGAGACTAGCCTGACCAACATGGTGAAACCCCTTCTCTACTAAAAATACAAAAATTAGCTGGGTGTGGTGGCGAGTGCCTATAATCCCTGCTACTCAGGAGGCTGAGGCAGGAGAATCACTTGAACCTGGGAGGTGGAGATTGCAGTGAGCTGAGATCGTGCCATTGCACTCCAGCCTGGTTGATGGAGCGAGACTCCATCTCAAAAATAAATAAATAAGAAAATACCAAAGAGTGATGTTGAAAATGGAACTTAACGGCTGTACCTTCAAAATGTTTCCTCTGGGCACCTCAAACGCATAGCACCTAAGGGTAGAGGAAGGAAAAGGGTTTCCTGTTACCATATTAAGGGCTGAGTCTTTATACCGCCCATTCTCCCTCTCAGTTCAGGCCAGCTCCTTGACCTCAGTTTAATGAATTTCTTTCCTGTTTATAAAGATCTTCAGGTGCTGGGTGGGTGGGGATAACACATCCCCTTCTTGGGCATTCAGTCCAGTGTGTAACAATTTGCAGAATGCTTCCTGAAGCCTAACCTGATCGGTTCACTGTCAGTGTCAGAGAATTTCATAAGCAACATCTGGCACATTTTTAGGTGCCCCCCAAGAGCTGTGCACTAACTACCTACAAGCTCCTTGCAAAGGGTTTAGTATCTTGTAAGGGCCCCCAAAATATTAATTAACCAATCAAACTGCTCCCAGCTGCAATTTGAACTCATTTCGTCTCTAGGTTGGGAAACAGGGAATGTGGTCATTATTCTCTCCATTAAAATCCTGCCCAGACATAACGATTATTATTAAATCCCTCTTACTTCTCTTCTCAGCATCAAGGGATTTCAATTCTTTTCACCTTTCTTTAGAGTTGCAATTCATTGAATCACAGGTGCAGAAGGGAGTTAACAATATAACTCAATCAATAATTATTTCCAAGGCTGATCTAGACCCCCTCAGATTTTCTCCCATACTGTGCCATCCCATCCAGATGCAGTTTTCTAGAAGAGCCTGATTAGGCCCCGGGAAAGTGGCTGTTTTGGTTTAAAGATCTGCCCTGGACATGTCAACACCTCTTTCTTTCGGTTACGGTTTTGTGTATTTTTTCTTATGTGTCTATATTTATAGCTTTGTTCCATATCGGAGTGAGAACAGAGACAGATCCTATGCCGCTAATTAGAGCCCCACATGTTAATGAACCCCCAACAGCCTGCTGCCTTAGAGTGTCGGCAACCCCACAGGAAATTAATAAGAGCCTTAATCACTCAGAGACTGGAAAGGTCACTGCTCACTAAGGGTTCAAACGCAGAAACAGCAACACAATCATACCCTAGTTTAAAAGCATAAAAACCATCCATGGGTGTGAAGAGCCTAGCGCTCCATCAATAGGCAGACGGATTAGAGCATCAGCTTGTTCACAGGACTAAATGAACATAATCGCAGAACAGTGTGTTGCTTATCCTCAAATTATATTAATATATACAGTGATGTGGTCATCTCTTGTACCTCTTAGTTTATTTCTCCAGCTTAGACGCAGTGGCTTGCAGCATAAAATACCTGGACAGTCTGGATCCCCCAGCATTTTAGCCTAACTTTTCTCATTGCTAACTGTGCACCAGCTTCTTCAGGGGTCCTTTTAACCCAACCTTAGAGAATCACAACATTAAGGACTAAATGGGACAGGGAAGGAGCACATTCATGGCCAGGCCCTTCCCTGAGTGGCCAGGGATGAAGAGCACTAAACTTCCATCTTCCAAGAAGGAAGACATTTACACTGCGCATTGCAAAGTATAGATCAGTTTCCTCAATTTTACTCCCTGTGTCTGAAAGGTGAACCTGAGCAACAGGTGGCAATAAAAAGTAGAAAAAAGGAATGATATAATCTTTTGCGATAAATGCTCCTAACCTACCCTACAGAGGAAGAAAATTGAACCAAAGAAATAGCGTTGACACTCAGAAAATTAACATTACAGAATCAAGAGGGAGAAAGTTTTAAAATCAAGCACTGCAAAGAGGATATGAACTGAAAGCTGAGGCAAGACTATTAGAGACAGCAATTAGGAGGTTATTGGAAATGTTTTAAAGTGTAGTTTCAATAGCATGATGAAGCAGAAAACCAGATGGTCTGCTCCCTTCTTTTATCTGTCTATTAAAAGTGGATCCAACATTGAGAACTCAGCAAATATTCTACTTCCAGCTACATTTAATTGCCTGCTCTTTGGAACTACAATGATCTTGATTATCTTATCACTAATTCATCTCCTACTCTGTTATTACATAGATTGTGGTATTAGTTATCATTTTGTGTATATCTTCCTCACCAACTTAAATTCTCCTTGAGGGCAGGAGCCTGCTTTTACTAGTACTTTTCTGTATCTCCCTAGCACTTAATACAGTGATTTCCACATAATATGTCCTCAAAAAATATTCATTGAAAGCAAGATGAATTAGATCTATACAGAGGTCCTATAACTTGAGGTTTGTACAGCTATGATTTACTAAATGAGACCTCCCTGAAAACACTGAGCAGTTCTGTAAAACTTATAAACTTTCAAGTTAATTTAAAATAAAACTCAATAAAAATCAATAAAATATTCCCTTTTGATTCAAATAGGTTCTCTTTTTTAATAATTTCATTGCTTTTGAATTTAATTTCTGTGAACTCAGTACACATTTTTTTTAGATAACTTTATATTTTGATGATATCTTCAGGATATCCTGGTTCAGACTTTTTACAGCTCAAAGATCATGTCCATCTGCATATCTCTTTTAAAGAACTCATATATGGAAACAGTGTCTCAATTATAACTAGGCAGCATTACTGAAGTCAGTCTTTACAGCGATAATTAGAAGTCTCAACATATTTTTCCGTCAAAAGAGTTTATTAAGAGGGTTGTTTAATTTTCAAAATGAGTTCACAAAAGTTCCTTTAATTCTGCAGAAGTACCAGCACAATGGTAGAACCTGAGCACCATAACCGTCATTTTACTGCATGATGGACACTACCAATGCAAGAGAAGCAGCCCCCATCATCAGCACCACGGTGCCACAGCCTGCAGCAGCAACCTTCTCCTCTCTTCTGTATCCCCATCTTAAATCTCACTCTTAGCTGACTTCTATCTTAATTGGAGAGAACCTCTTTAAAGATGCAGCACTGTGCATCCCCAGCATCAAGTCCAAACCCCTCATTATAGATATCCTTTATCCACTGTTTTTTGTCCAGCTTTATCCCTCATCATTGCCTCTGTAAGCTCTTCCTTCTGCCAACCTTGAACTACTTTAACCTGTGAAACTCCTACCTTAATTCTCATCTCAGCTGCTTCCCCCGGTGTATTGCTCTCCCCCATCCTACCTTCCCTGGGATAATTACTGTTTGCCCTCAGCCTCAGCTTAAATGGAATCTCATTTTGGAAGCCAGCATTCCTCACCCTTGTCTGAGATAGGTGTGCGTTTTACATGCACTAATAACACCTTTTCAAATAACGTGTCCATCGCCTTCACAATCACCTCTTTAGTGGTTGCCTCAAAGTTATCCTTTTCACACTGAAATCCCAATGTCTAGAACAGTTCTGATCACAAAGTATGTGTTTAGTAAATAACTAGTGAATGATGGATGAATGACAGCAGTCACTTCCAAGTTCACAGGTTTCTTTGCTCATTCATTCATTCAAAATACTGTTGAATTCTACTACGTAGCAAGTGATATGTACGAGGAACTGGAGAGTGATGAGTTGAACTCATTGTCTGCTGTTTCAGTCAAGGTTCTTCAGAGAAACAGAACTAATAGGAGATTATAGATAGAGATAGAGATGTATTTATTATGAGAAATTGGCTCATACGGTTATGGAGGCTGAGAAACTTCATAATCTGCCAAGTACAAGCTGGAGCCCCAGGAAAACCAGTGGTATAATTCAGTCCAGTGCAAAGGCCTGAGAATTAGGGGAGCCAATGATGTAAATCCCAGCCCAAGGGCAGAAGCTGATGAAATGAGATGTCCCAGTTCAGGCAGTGAGGCAGAAATGAAAACATGAGGAAGGGCAAATTCCTTCTTCCTCTGCCTTTTGTTCTATCCAGGCCCTCAATAGACTGGATTGTGACTACTCATATTAAAAAGGGCATTCTAGTTTAATGAGTCCGCAGTCCACCAATTCAAATGCTAATCTCATCCTGAGACACTTTCACAGACCCACTCAAAAATAATGTTTAATCTGAGCACTCCATGACCCAGTCACGTTGACATGTAAAAAATTAACCATCACACATAGCCTCATGGAGTTTATTGTAATGGGAATTTGCTATGGGGGGCTGTGGAGGAATTAGGATTTCAGACTTCAGACTCCAATGAAATAGAAGATTCTTGTGGAAGCAGCTCACAAGAGGCAAGTGTTCTCATTAGTGTGGATGAAGTGGGTCCTAAATACACTTCCTACAATAGCACACAGTCACTCATAAGTGTTCTGATCTCAGTGGAATATGACTCCTTTAGAAAAAAAATAAGTTACAGTAAATCACCGTGAGGTCTTTATTGTGAACTTAAAAGCCATCTTTCCCCAAAGAGCTTAGTTTCATTTCTTACCTGATTTTCGTGACCCCCATAAAACCCTTTGCTGTAAAGTTGAAGCCTTTGCCCCACATGGACTATTTTAATAGTTTCTTAACTCATCTTTTTGCGTCCAAATTCACCAGATTAAATCCATTTCTCATTCTTCCATGAGTCACCTTTCTAAAACGTCTATCGGATTATGCCTTTCCCTTTTTGATGACCTACCTGGACTTTTAAGTCTTGCTATGAGAATAGAAGTCTCCTCCGCATCTTGACCTGTCAGCCCGCTGAATATTTGCAGAATTCTCTACTGTAATTCAGATGGCAGGGACCTCCTGTGAAGTACGTGAGGATGGGAAGGGGCTACACAAACATGTAATACATCAGACAAAAATAATAGATTAAAGATGTGTGGAGATGTTTCAATGGGTGCCCTTCGCTCTTGGCGTTAAGTTTGAAGTCTTTAGCAAAGGAATTTAAGGTCTGTTTGGCCCTGACTCTTCCTGTCTACCTTAGATTATTTTCCCCCAAAATACTTTATGCCCTTTCATGTTAGGTTTGTGTGAGTTGAGAAGTGACAGTGACAGTTAAGAAGAGTGAATACAGAGTACTCTTTCCAGTAGGTTAGGTGTGAGGAGAATGAGGGAGATTATTGTGACCCCCCATAGGAGGGTCCCCAAAGGAGGACATGGGGTTGAGATGGTTTTAAAATTCTTATTCATTGATTTATTTTCTTCAAAAACTCATGTTTATATGTTGTGACAAAATTTATTAAAGCCAGTCAAGGTTGAAGATCTAGAAGAAGAAAGAGATACTGGATGGCATGAAATCCTGAAGAAGAATGCAACAGACACAGATAGAGAAATGTGTCTTGCTGCAAAGCAGAGATGTGCACAAGGAAGATAAGATGGGTGCTAGATGCAGAGGAAGGCAGGCAAGAAGCAGCAGCTGGAGGCAGTTCACACTTATTGGCCTAATTTTTCTCTACATAAAATAGGACATGAAATCAGCTGGTGGGACTGTGAAAAGTGGCAAGGGCAAGTTGGAGTCTTGAGGAAATGGACATGTTTGCGATAGCTGTGCTGGAAATAAGAGTAATATTGGACTAAAGACTCAGAGGCTTTCTAAGCAGCATGAAAAATCACGTAGGATGATACTGATTCCAACTTCATGGCATTGTGGTTTAACATGATCATAGACAAGCAGTCTCTCTTAGGTCAGTTTCTGCTTTGAAACAGCTTGGCAAACTGTTTTTGTAAAGGGCCAGATAATAAATCCTTTGGCTTTGAGGGGCATATGGTCTCTGTTGCAAATACTCAATTTTGCCATTTAAAAATATCTCCGAGGCATTATGTAAGTGAATGTGACTGTGTACCAATAAAACTTTATTTACAGACACTGAAATTTAAATTTTATATGATTTTATGCATTATGAAATATTCTTCTTGTGATTTGTTTTCAACCATTTAAAATGCTTTTTTAAGTACAAAAACATTCTTATTTTATGTGTTATACAAAAACAAGAAGTGGGCATTTACCTCCAACTGCAGGTAAGATTTCTTGTTTATAGCAGGAAGAGATACGTGACACCTGGGTGTTCAGGGAACAAGGCTATTACTCATGAGAGAAGAAGAAAACTGAGAATCACAGCGTTCGAGAGTTCTGAGAGAGTTTTTGGTCCGTTGTGGGACTGCATTTTCATGACTCAAATACAACACAGATGTGTAGCCTGCTTCTCTTGTTCATTTTAGGATAGAGATAACAACTCTTCTCTCCACAGCCATATCCTTCTTTTTCAAAATCAGTTGTACAAGAGGGAGAAGGGTATAGTCGACAAATAAACAAGAAGAGCTTCAGTTCTTTATTGATTTCATAAAATGAGGCGTGAAGAGGGAGTTGACAACAAGGGAATCCAGGATTGGAAAGACAGTTACCCCTCAGAAAGGCGTTTCTGTGCTACTCTCCTCTCCTCTCCCAATAAAGGGAATAAGACCCTTTTGTTGACTTCCAGCCTCACTGAAGATAGAAGTAAGCGGCAACAATGATGGCTCAGGTGGAGTTAGATGTGGGTAGCACTTGTAAAGATGATGGATGTTGCCAAATGGTAATTTTCTCTGTGTGGTGGCTATGATTGATCTGTGGCTTGATGTGATGGTTGAGGCTTTCATATTCAATCTTAAAGAAAAAATATCATGTCATACACAGGGAGTTTCAGATGACTGGGGTGGGGGTGTTGCTTGCTGGGATAGTGCTTTACTTTTGAAGATGATACACTCTGAAAAAGGAGTATTTCTCTAAAACTCAAGTCTACAAACCAGTGAAGGCCAGTATATACAATTTTATTAATATAATATTCCAAATAAATTTTCTTTGTATCTCTATTGACCCTGTAGTCTTAGGTATGAAACTGAAGGACTTGGGACCACAGGTGTTTTCATGGCTTCTTTTTTTGTCTTTGGAAAAAAAATTTTTAAAGGGATGTGTGAAGCAGACAGCTGGCTATGTAGCTGATACTAAAGGAAAATAAGGTTTGTTTTTCTGGATATATGCCTATGCTTCAGAGGTGATCTCATAACAAGGGCAGAGAACATCTCATAATTCCCTGAAATAGAATAATGAACTTGGCAGGAGAAAACTCAGCTTTACCAGGAGGGCTTTGAATTTAAATTTTAGAGGCAAAAGGGAGGGATTAGATAAATCTATATATTTAGACTGTAATGAGTGCCTTGTAACTGCCCCCCTCCCCCGCCAAAAAAAAAATGTAATGGAAGAAGAGCCTAGTACTTATCAGGATGAAATACTTATGGCTACGGAAGTCTATATATCAATGCGAAGAGTATTTATAATATACAATATAAACCTTAAACTTTAAAGAAATAAAACAAAATATTTTAAGTATCACCAAGACGTTATGAAGTAGTGACCACAATATGGCATTGTACAAGGGAGAAACTCATTCTAAGTTGACATCTGATAGAAGAGGAGATAGACAGCTACAGACCGTGTTTAGAAAGCATAAACCTGGATAGAATCCCACAGACCTGAGAACAGACACTTCATGATGGAGCCTCACTGACAATCTGGGGCTATACTGGGAACTAGCAAAAGAGGTGCCAGGGTCCAACCATTCACAGATGAAACAACTGTAGAAATACTGAGCCTGGAAGTAGAGAAGATCCTTGATTCATTTCCTAGATTTCAATTTTCTATTGAAATTTTCCATCCTTTCATTTACTTTATCAATTTTTTATTCTATTTTCTTCTATTTTATCTTTTCTTCAATTTGGGGTAATTAATTGTATACATCAACAACACATTTAAATCAGTGGGCTTTGAGCAAAGTCGACTGCCCTCCGTAACGTGGGTGGACTTCCTGTAATCAGTTGAACCCCTGAATAAAACAAAAGACTCACGATCTAGCGCAAGAGGGCATGCTGTCAGCACATGGCCTTTGCACTTGAACTGCAGCATCAGCTTTTTCCATGTCTCCAGCCTGCCGCCCACCCTGCAGACTTGGACTTGCCAGTCTTGCTCGCCGTGTGAGCCAATTCCCTAAAACCTCTCTCTCTCTTAGATAGATAGATAGATAGATGATAGATAGATAGATAAACACATAGATAGATATGAGTGTATATATATATATAGACAGATTATATTATATATAAAATCATATTGTTTCTGTTTTCTGGAGAACCTTACTAATACATGTGTTAATTATAGTTATTTCAAAGTCCTTGCCTGCCAAATCCAATATAAGAACCATATATGGGGGAGGGGGGAGGCATAGCATTAGGAGATATACCTAATGTTAAATGACAAGTTAATGGGTGCAGCACACCAAAATGGCACATGTATACATGTGTAACAAACCTGCATGTTGTGCACATGTACCCTAAAACTTAAAGTATAATAAAAAATAATAATAAATAAATAAATACCCTCTACTTGGGGCACACCCTATGTAAATGAAGAGGATGAAGTAAAGTTACAAAGTCGAAAAAAAAAAAAAAGAACCATATATGGGTCTACTTCTATTATTTTGTGTGCTATGTATGGATTATCAGTCATATTTCCTTGCCTTTTCACACATCTAGTATTTTTTAATGCCAGAAATTTTGTGCATACCAGAAGGAATAGGAGGGATCTCTAGAGAAAAATAATATCTGTAGCTTTATGATTCCTTTATATGCAATGTCTGGTATGTACTACAAGGTCACTAGAAGCAAGGAAATATGACTGATAATTGAACAGGGGAAAAGATATTGAAGCAGACCATAATATGATACCTATATTGGAGTTAGCAGACAAAGACTTTAAATGACTATGATTACTTTGGTTAAAAAAAAAAAAGGAGAGAGAGACAAAATGGATGAAATAGATGTATATATAAATGAAGAATTTTAACAGAGTGTTTGAATTTATTTTTAAAAAATTGCATAGAAATTCCAGAATTAAAAGACACAATATCTGAAATCATTAACCCAATAGATGAATTTAATAGCAGTTGGACACAGAATTATCAACCTGGAAGATAGGCCAATAGATCATAGCCAAATTAAAAAACTGGGAGGAATGAATATTTTAATGCTATTCAACATGCTGCCATTACAAATAATTATACAGGATTCTCCCATTTTTTGTTATGACACAATATATTTGTCTAGACATATGATATCAATATTTATTTCTGAGTTGTAGGATGAGGGAGTTTTGCTTTTCTTCTCTCAATTATCTATATTTCCCTCAAGAAATACAACAAGAGACATCATCAGTAAGTCACTTTAAGTATACTTTTCTCCAGATAACCAACCAAACAGCTCGCTAAAAAACACATGTTTGTAAGTGGAGGCTGCTGTGCTGTTTGTGATGCTCTAGAGTCAGAATGCGGCAGGGCTTCCTTTAATGATGTGCCTTCTCCCCCAGGGTCCTGGGGCTGGAGGCTCTGAATGCTTCTATTCCTCATCTCCATCCAGTGCCTTCCCTGTCTGCATCTTCACTCTGGAAACGTCAGAGGGTCTTACATATAGCCTTAACACAGCAAAAACTGAATGAATGAATGAATGAATGAATGAATGAATGAATGAATGAAAGAAACCAGAAAGGAAGAAAAGAAAATGGAGTGTGGGATTTGAATCTCCTTCCTGCCGTCTTGGGTTCTTAGGAGCCCGTAAAAGTAAGGTCATTAACCTCTAGTTAATGGGGGTCCTGCTTTCACATGCAAGTCCTGATAATCCTATTACTATAAGATCTTACTACCCACCTTCTCATTCTGTCAACCACAAAGGAAGGAAAAGAAGCCAAAGCATTTATTATTCCATATGTAGGTATTTGAGGTTAGATTTAGTGAGGCTGCCCAGTGTCTGAGCAGGCCAGTGATAGGCGTATTACAAACAGCTAGACAGACATTCGATCAAGTTCCAACTTCAAGAAAACTAAGGACTTATATATTTATGTTTGTGTTTATATACACATATATATGTGGTGTGTGTGTATGTGTGTGTGTGTGTGTATTCTGTTTTTGAAAAACATATTGTGAAGTGCTGCAAGCCCCTTGGCCTTACCCTCATTCAGGGAGAAGATGTGTGCCATCGGAAATCAAGGAGTTTGATGGGATGTGCTGGTGGGAAGAAAGGTAAAGACAGAATTTCCAGAAATTGCTGAATTCACTGCACATATCTAAACAGTTGAAGCTGTATCTCAGGCAGTTTGGTGACAGAAGGAAACACCAGCAATAGAATAATTAAAGCTTCCCCCAAACCACAGTCTAAGAGATTTTTAACCTGTTTTTGCCTTACCAGGATATACAATCTGTAGCTTGTACTTTCTTTCCCCGCACCTCCTCCCCGAAAACTTGTCCCTCTGAGAGGGGGCCTTATTATAGATACATAGCATGTATGTTTAACCCAGATATTTTAGTCTTCCCCCATCATACAGCATTAGGCATCAAACAAAAAGACTGCTCTTTTTCAATGGATCTAATTGTGCATCACTTGAATGTACCATAGACAGAGTCCTTGGGTGATGGAACCACAAGGAAAGCCTTCTCTGGTTAGAGGAGTGAGGTCAAGAGGCCAGGACTGTTCTTTTGCTGACTCTAGCATGCAAATGTATGTGTCATAAGTAAGAGATTCATATGCATCTCCAGTGGTGTTTGGACTGTTAGCATGACACTGGCAGAACGAAGCTGAGATTCTCCTGCTAGCTGAGATAACATCAGGGCTGGGGAATGTCCCTGGGGCCCTTCCTCTCTCATTTCTAGCAAGGAGATCCAGACATCCCCTAGGCACAAGGCAAGGCAGAGCACAGGCTCCTTTCAACCAGCCACAGCTCTCCCTGGATGTCAGCCCTATCCATGCCTTCCCCAGCTGCCTCTGGAAGGAGGGCAGAGACCAGAGCCACCTATTCTGAAAGACAACCAGCTCCATGTGCCAGGCAAAGCAAGAACTCTGGGCAGCTACAGGGAAGAGAAACAGCCCATTTAATGTGCTCTGATTCCCTCCTGGAAAGACTGGAAAATTATCCGCTTGCCTCAAATATCTTCATTAAAAATGCATTTAAGCTGTGAAGCTCTACGAAGGAGAGACCTGTAATACATGAAAGATTAGCCCCAGATTGCTGATTGGACTATTTTACATCATTATGGTAATTAAGCTAGCAAGGCTGTTGTGCTGACTTCGACACTTTCTTCCATTTGCCTTTGTTTCCAATTCAAGGTATCTTCCCCCCTCTTTCCATCTTCCAGCCTTCTTCCTTTCCTCCCCTTCCTCCCCTTCTCACCCCTCCCCACTAAATGTCTCCTGGGAGCCTTGGTGGGTCCTGCCTCATGCATATGCATTGCACTCGGTTGGATTCAATCTCCCATGGCTTCTCTGCCAACCTTGTCTTGACTCTGCAGAGTAAAGGGAAGAAATTAATGGTAATTACAAGGTGTGAGTGGATATTACAGCTCTCTATCTGATTGCCAGTGAAACCAAATAAAAATGGAACGTAATCAGCCAATTATTAAAACACAGAATAAACAAAAGGAGTCTTGTCTCTTACTTGCCTTCCCTTGCTTACTTTCTATCCTCAGACCAGCAAGCCTGGCTCAGGGCAGTGACTGGAGACACCCGTGATACACTCCCTGGGACTCCACTAGAGCTAAGACTACACAGCTGGTGTGCAGGGCCACCTTCCAATGTGGAAGATGGAGAGAGCCTGTTTGAAGGCCCTCCATGATCGTATAGGCCCTCCTCACTCTCCCTCTCCCACCTCCCCCCACCGCTTGCCAGAGTCATCAGTACTCTCAAGTGTCCCCACAAAAAGAAGTGGTTCCATATTTCTTTCCACCATTTGTAAATGCATGAATAACTTCTAGAAATAGATGCAAAACTCTGCACTCGGTGACATTCCCCTGAGAAACCAGGAGTCTCTGAGGCGGTGAATGGATTACAAGGAGAAATATAAGAGAAAGGCTTTTCAACTGTGACAGCTGACAGGAGAGTGAAGTGTGTGTGTGTGTGTGTGTGCGCGCACACACTCATGCACTGTCACATGCAAAAGCAGTTCTGGCCCAGGGGATGGTCCAGTCAGCTTTCTTCCCTTCCCTGGTGACCCAAGGAAACAGTACTGGAACACTGATGGTGGAGGGAAACAGACAAAAACCAAAAATAAGTCCCTCCCTTTCCTTAACATTACTTGTGATATGCAGCTGAGATTTTTAATTATATAAAAGTACTGCATGCATATGTTCACACCCACAGCTCAGTTGTAACCTGAGGAGCAGCTCAGCATGGAGGTGTAAGGTCACAGTCTTTGTCATTAAGTAGACTGGTTTCTACCCTTTCTGACTAATTTACTAGCTGTGGGACCTTATGAAGCTTACTTCACTTCTCCAAGTCTCAATTACCTCATTTGTAAATGAAGACTATAATCATATCCACCTCATGTATTTGTAAGGATGAAATGAAATAATGCATGCAAAGTGCACTTTATGAATATTCATTGTTATTAAACAATATATGTAAGTGGTAAATCAGACTTTAATCTTTGAATGTATTTCTTCATAGATTATATTGCATGCCAATTATCTCAAAAGAATACCTTACCTTACTTTTAGGACTTCAGAGGGCACCTGAGTCTACCTGGCCATCCTGCTATAATTTCCTAGTATGTTTGCTTGTTTTCTTCCCCTGTCCCTGTTCCATTTTTTTCTCCTAGCTTCCTCAAATCTGCACACCTCCACACGTCTTGCCATCCCTTCCTTCCCAGTAGAACCTCATTTCATAAGCTCTTGAGAACATGCCTTCGCATGGGGGACAACCTCTTCTTCCCACTAATGTATTTAGGAAACTATCCGCACCTGTCCTCACACCCCTTCCTCCCACTTGCTAAAAAAGTTGATGTCTCTCAACCACTATTGGTGGCTAGCACCTTTTCCTGCACCCTAGATTCCAACCCTCTTGCCTGCCTGCTAGGGACTTCACTGCTGTGGCCATCGCCTGTCTTTCCCCAGCATCATCAATATACGCTTCTCTGTGGAACCATCCCTATCAGCATCCAAACATCATCTAGGGTGCCTCACTTATAAATAAAACAAACAAACAAACAAACAAACAAAAGCACTCCCTTTAACTCACTGCTTTCTCCATTTATCGTCTCATATTTTTTGTTCTGTTTCACAGCAAAACATAACAAAAGAATTCTATATATGCTTTGTCTCCACTTACTCTCAATCCATCTTCTCTTGAGCACACCCCATCATCCCTTCATCTCTGCCTCTCCACTGAAATGGCTCCACAAGATCACCAACTCCCCTCCTATGGTTAACCTGTGTGTTGTGGCACATGATCGCAGCATTTACACGGATGGCCATGCCATCTTCCAGAAAAGCAGCCTGTATGTCTTCTGACATGCACTCTCTTGTTCTGCCTGCTACCTCACCGGTGGCTCCTGCTCTGTTCATCACTGACCTGTCCCTTCCTGCTGGACACCTGTCTAATTGCTGGAGTGCCGTAGGGTTCAATCCTGAAACTCTTTCCTACCTACGTCTCTCCTTCATTGAACTTTCCCTCCCTCACTGATGCTGCAGCCTTTCCAGTTTAAATCTCAGCCCTGAATGCTTACTGGATCTCCTCATTTTAGCTTATTTTATCTAAAAATCTTGTGTTCTGAACCATCACTCATGCCTCTTCAAAAATACTAGTCCTCCTTCTCTGGCTTTCTTTCTCTCACTGAATGCAACTGCCATTTATTGAAGCCATTCCAGACAAAAAGTTAATCATCACCATTGATATTTCGCTCTTTCCTTTTCTCTTCACATCCAATTCATTAGTTTTCTCTGCTCATTGCAGCTCCAACGTGCACCTAGAATCTCTCTGCTTCCCTCTGTCCTCTCTGCTACCCTTCCTAAGCCAAGTCAGCCTCAGTTCTCGCTTGGACACTGTAACGGTACAGTTAGTCACACTGTGTTCATCCTCACTTTTTATCATCTCATTTTTTGTTCTGTTTCACAGCAAAACATCACAAAAGAATTTTATATACACTTTGTCTCCACTTACTTTCAATCCATCTTCTCTTGAGCACACCCCATCATCCCTTCATCTCTGCTTCTCCACTGAAATGGCTCTGCAAGGTCACCAACTGCCCCCCTATTGTTTAACCTGTGTGTTCACACATTCCCCACCCAGCTGTGGTCTTTCTAATCCAAAAATAAGAGTATTCACCTTCAAAAACAACTTCCCGTGGCTGTAAACTTCAATTATAACAACAACAAAAAAATCAACCACCTTTCTGTGATTGTCATTCCTCCCTCTGTGACCCCATCTCACACCACTTCCTCCTGCTGCCTGTTCTTTCACCACAAGCCCTTCAGTTTATCCACCTGTCTAAAGGCCTTGTATGCTCCCTTCTCTGTGTCTGGAAGGCCTCCCAGGTAGGTCTTTGCATAGGAAGATGCCTCCTGTCTTTAAAGTCTCAGAGCAGAGAGGGCTTCTCTGATACACAAGCAAAAGGGGCACTTCATGCTACCTGCTTCAGTCTCTACTATGTTGTTATTCCCACCCTTCATCATGATTTCATAATATCTTTTAAATTATCTACATATTTGATTATTATCTGTCTTCCTTTGTTAGATCATGAACCTCATGATGGTAGTCACCTGCCTTTTCTGTCCATCTCTAAGTTTTCCTCAATTTGAAAATTACCTGGCACGTAGCCTAATTTAATGCACATTTGTTTATTACATGGATGAATACATTACTTAGAGTCTAACTTCCTAACTATATATGAGCCTCTAGATACCCAGCAATTGAAGGGCATCCATCGCCCAAATTGAAAACCCTCAACTATGCCTGCCCTGATATTTGAGACCACCTCACTCCTTCCATCAAAGCCCCATTTGAACAGGACAGACCTGGTTTTAAATCCCACCTCCTCCATTTGACAGGGTGATATTGGACACATTTTTGAACCCATCTATGCCTCCATTTTCTCAAGAGGAAAATGAGGTAATAATATATTTGGAAAACTATTGTGAAGGTTAATGAGATAAAGTTTGTAAAGTAACCAGGTCTGGCACGTATAAGACATTCAATAAATGGCCTTTCTTCTTTCCTCAATATAAAGGATTTCAGCTTGCCACTTGGAAGGCGGGTTGAAAATACAACTCTAATTAAACAAATTTACACCCATGTGTGAATGACTCTTAGCCCTTTAGCATTCCCAGGGGAAGCTTATTAACCTAAATGCATTATTAATTGGTAGAATGTCTGTTAGTTTAACAAAGTGAAGGGAAA
Organism: Homo sapiens; assembly: GCF_000001405.40. NCBI lineage: Eukaryota > Metazoa > Chordata > Mammalia > Primates > Hominidae > Homo > Homo sapiens. The sequence continues at coordinate 132,825,792 of NC_000011.10, forward strand.
AGTTCCAGTAGAGAAGGGAATACACCTTTGGGTTGGGAGTCCTAGAAACAAAGCTAAGGAATATGCCCCTGGGCCGATGGGGTCACTGCCCAGTCAATTACTCTTGCTTTTCCTGCTGATGTTTATTTGTTTGTTTGCTTGTGTTTTTCTCTTTGTCCATGTGTGAACCCCGCTACCTCCCTAACCACTCAGGGTTTTGTATGCTTTTCCAGACTCTTTCAGAATAATAGTTTCCACAATTATTCAAGGTGCAAAGACGTGGCTACTGTTGGCATGTAGCAGTTCCATGGACTGTATGTCCTGTCCATCTCTGTGAAGAGTCTGGGTAGTTATGGGTTCCACACAGATAATTATGTGCACAGGTATGCTTTTCTGTGTGCTTCTACACCCTTAAGTATGCATGCTTGTCTGTCACACAGTTAGCCACTGATCAGAAATTCCAGTACAAAACAAGCTCCTGTTGGCTTGGAAACTATGAAAAATGCATTTGAAAGAGCAAGTTTTTGATGGCAATTGTCATTAACTACTTTATTTCCAAATACATTTCACAGTGCATTTCATGCCAGGAAGGGTTTCTTATCTTCTGAACTCTTAGTCTGCCAGTCTGAGTGGGATGGTGACAGTTTCCTTTGAACACAAGTAGTGAAATAACCCCCAGTGAATGGCAACAGCAAGAGAAGATGCAAAGGGGCAGAGGTGAAAAAAATGTGAAAGGCATCCCTGTTTACCTTTCAGACACTCCAACAGCCATGTGACCTGTCTCAAGATTATTCCATAGAGCAGAAAAGAATACTTTATGTAACATGGCCATAGCACTTCCAAAACTGCCTCAAGGTTTTTTAGCTATCAGTGATCCACTTGTCTGATTAAAAGATAATTCTCTTAATTTACCCTATACTGCATTATGACCACAAGATTTCTTATGCAGTCCTGCCTGATTTCTCTGAGTCTTGGCAATAGATAAGAAGGTATGTAATCATACAGAAGGTGGTATTTGTTATTACTGTTACTCTAAGAAGCTATAGGATTGAAAAGGGACACATTTGTATGAATACACACAAAGAGTATTTATCTGAATACTTTTAGTGTCCATAAGTAGCCTTTACCAGGAGCCAGGGATCCTAAGGAAGAAATATAGGTATAAAGGGAAGAGAAGGGGGAGACAGATATATAGAACAGTAAGTCTCCAAATATCTACCCTATCAGCATCAGATCCTTCTTAGCACTTTGTAACTTAATTTGAGATCAGAATTTCTCTTGTTCCATGGTTGTTTCTTTTTAAGAACAGAAAGTTGCCTTTTTAAAGGTCTATAAACTACCAAGATAATGAGAAGACAAGACATAGGATGGGAGAAAATGTCTGCAAAACATATATCCGATGAAAGATATATCTCATAACAGATACAAAAACTACTCTCAAAACTCAACAATAAAAAACAATTGACCCAATTTTAAAGGGGAGCAAAAGATCAGGTACCCCACCAAATATGATCTACAGATATCAAATAAGTATATGAAGAATGCTAAACATCATACGTCATGGGAGTTGCAAATTTAAACAATGAAATATCACTACACACCTACTTGAATGGCTAAAATTCAAAGCATTGACAACACCAAATTCTGGCAAAGATATGGAACAATAGGAACTCTCATTCATTGCTGATGGGAATGCAAAATGGCACTGCCATTTTGGGAAACAATTTGACAGTCTTTTACAAAACTTAACATACTCTTACTGTATAATCCAGTAATCACACTCCTTGGTATTTACCTCAATGAGCTGATAAAGCATGTCTACATAAAAACCTGTGCACCAATGTGCTTTTGTTGTTGTTGTTTTTGTTGTCTGTTTGCTTGTTTGTTGAGATGGAGTCTCTCCCTGTCACCCAGGCTGGAGTGCAGTGGTGTGATCTCAGATCACTGCAACCTCCGCCTCCCGCATTCAAGTGATTCTCCTGCCTCAGCCTCCCCAGCAGCTAGGACTACAGGCGCATGCCACCACGCCTGGCTGAATTTTTTTTTTGTATTTTTAGTAGAGACGGGGTTTCACCATGTTTTGATCTCCTGACCTCATGATCTGCCCGCCTCGGCCTCCCACAGTGCTGGGATTACAGGTGTGAGCCACCGCGCCTGGCCCCTGTGCACCAGTGTTTTATAGCAGCTTCATTTATAATTGCCCAAACTCGCAAACAACCAAGATGTCCTTCAATAGGTGGATAGGTAAATACATTGTGGTACATCCAGGCAATGGAATATTATTCAGTGCTAACAAGAGATGAGTTATCAAACATAAAAAGGACATGGAGAAAAAATAAATGCATGTCGCTAAGTGGAAAAGGCCATGTGAAAATGAAAATCATATACTATATAGTCCCAACTGTATGACATTCTGGAAAAGGCACAATTATAGAGACAGTAGATAGATCTGTGGAGTTGGGGTGGGGGCAGGAAGGGATGAGCGCGTGGAACACAGAAGACACTTTAGGGCCATAACCACCCGGTATGATACTACAACAACAGATACATGTCATTACACATTTGCCAAAACCCAGCGAGCGCACAGCACCAAGAGTGAACCCTAATGTAAACCATGGACTTTTAGTTGTTAATGATGTGCCAATGTTGGTTTATTGACTGTAACAAATGAACCATACCGATGCAGAATGTTAATGGAGGAAGAGGCTGGGTGTGAGGAAGGAGGCTATAAGTAAGAACTCTCTCTATTTTCTGTTTAATCTTGCTAAAACAGCTCTTTTAAAAAAAAAAGTCTATTTATTTTAAAACAATACTCCATGAACCAGAAAACAAAATTATCCTATTGTTCACCAACAGAAAAAAAAAGTGGAATTTTTTTATTGTTTAATATTTCTTTCCTCATGTCATAGGCAAATGACAAACTTTTGGGTATCCGATGTTGGCTAGAAAAATTCTTTCTTGCCCCAAAGAAAGCCAGTGCTGATACTGAAGTTGTCTAGAAGATCTATGTGTTATTGAGAGATGACAGGATGCTCAGTGAATTTCCCAAAAAGTGCCTAAGTAGGCAGGCAGAACTGGGCAGAGAATATGATTTCACTGGCTGGCCGTGGGCTGGACACTGTGGCAGATGTTGAAGACAGTAGGTGCCTCGTTTTCTCCACTCAGCAGCCTTGTGAAGAGTATTCTCCTTTGAAAGATAGCAGTGTGGAGGAATAGAAAACTTAAATAACTTTCCCAACACAGCAAGAAATTAGGAGAACTGACATTCAACATACAGATTACTCCAACTCACACATTACTCAAAACTTGCCTGCTTCCATCAGAAGGTTTGAGTCAGGGGATATTATTTATTCTAGTATTAGAAGAATCCAGAAGAATCCAAGTTATACTTGTTTATGCTAACCCAAGTATAATCTGGTATCTCTGGAGGGACCAAATTAACCCCAAATGCTGATCGTACTGTGCTAACTCAAACGGAAACTGGATTTAAAAATCATAGCAGCTAGGATATAGTAGGTGCTTATCATATGCTAAGTGTCTCATAGGAATTAACTCATTTAATCCATATTGAAACCCTCTGAGATAGAGACCATTATTTCTATCTGACAAGTGAGGAAACTGAGCATGAATGAACAAGTGAATATTACTGAATGAGTCAATTAATGAAGATGGAAACGCGGGCAAGGACCAGTACAAAGCACAAGACTGAAAACGTACATACAGAAGAGCTACCCTTTGCAGACAGTGTTTGAGAAGGGCCTCTGACTTCTCCTCTTGACTCATCTCCTGAGGAAAAGCAAAATGGTCAGAGACCTAAGGGCAAAAGATCATGCTTCTAAATCTCCTGTCCGGTGTTGGCCTACATTAGCAGCCTCATGTCTCAGCTCCAATGGGATCCTTCATTTCTGCCTGCTTTTACTGAGCATATTGATAGAATTCAACAGAATCCTTTCTGTTTTTGGGGGTTTGCTTTGGTTTTCTGGTTATAGTCAAAATCCATCAGGTAAAAACCTTCCTCTTTTAGAATTAAAGTTCACAGACTCTATTTTTCTCATGTGTTTCTCATAAATGGTTTGGATCCTCTCATTTGGGGTCCACATCTCTCTATACTTGTTATTAACTGTGTATTAATAATATACTTTTAATATTACCTCTACTTTTTAATATTGTGTATTGGTAACCCAGATTTCAGCCCACACATTATAGGCAGAGAAAAAAAATTGCTACATTAGCATTTACTATAGCACAATGAATCCGGACTTGTCAGCGTGTATGGCACCGCTGGTTTGCAATAGCCGAATAGAATCTTATGGGATTACTCTTTTCCCCCAATCTGTATTATTTTCATGTGGGTATGTTGCATTTGTACCAGTTCATGTACTGCTCCTTTATATTCATCAATTTAGCCTATATCATGTTTTTTAATCACTTGCCCATAAGGTTACTGCACATCTGGTGTTTCTTCCAATTACTATAGAGATCAAAGTTAAACCATGCCAACTTCTCTGAGCTTTTTGATTTCCCCATATGGTAAGTACGTGATTCATAAGTTCATCTCAACATACCCATAAAGCGGTGTTGGACTCTATTCTCTAGCTAAATGGAATCATCCTGCCTTGACATGTAAGGTTAGGACTGGCAGAGCACGTGAAATACCAAACAGTGGCCTTGATTTGATTAACCAGCTCACAGCATGAGCCCCTCCCTGCACTGGGACATGCTACCCTGCAGTGTCGGTTCACCAGGATGCCTTCTGCAGTTCTCAATTATCATCAACCTCTTTCTACTTGCTCTTTCCTCTGCAAATATCAGAATCTAAAATCATAATGCCCAATTACAGACAACACCAGGAGGTGCTGGCTCATGGATAGAACCCAGAGAGATTTCTAAAGAGATTCATTTGCAGAACATAACCAGGAGGAGCAGAGGTTTAGGAGCGGTTGCCTTCCTCTAAAGAATTCTGCCTCTCTATCTTTTCCCTTAAATTGTACATGTGTCATACCTTTCTAAGGACAAGAAACATACACGCGTGCTTTCTTCAAAGTGAAAAGGGGAAATATGTTTTAATATAAAACTACAAGGGAATGCATCTCTTTTCCCCCAGCAGTCTTGATATTCAGCAATATTGAGGAAAGGAAGTGCAGAAGAAGCAGAACTAAATTCAATAGTTTTGATGCAATAGGATATATTTAGAATATGTCTATGTGAGGCAAGGTCTCTTTAAGTTCAGAATCAAATTTCTCCCACCTGCTTTTTTTTTTCTTATAACTGAGCTACCGTCATACACTCAGATAATGAAGGCTTAATTTTGCTCACTGACTCGTATATCCCAGTATCATAAACCTGTCTCAGTACATGTACATGAAAGCAATTGGGCAAATCACAGCAATTACACTTGGCATTAAAAAAAGAAGATCCACATGAAATACAAGAGGAAATTTCAAAAGCATAAGGTTAATACAACTCACTATCGCCCAATGAACAGAAGTCCAAACTCCAAACAACAAATTTGTGTTTCAATGCTCATTTAGCAGACAATGAAAGGCAGTGATTCAACTCTTGGAAGAAACCAGGTAAAATGATTTTCAGTCAAAGGGGAATAATCTACATTCATAAGCCCACAGGTGATGAGGCACCCCCACCATAGCTCCATCACAGGCGATGAGAACTGCTATTTTCAGCCTCATTAATGCAGCTGTGTCAGTTTGTAGGTGAATCAGTCTTGCTTCATCAGACACATCAACAGCCAGAATCCACACTGCCATTTTCCCTCTACTTAGACATATTTTCTTAATTGCCATCTTTAAATAGACTTGCTTCCTCCTGCCTCTCCAAACCCATCCATCATAACTGGTAATAGGGCCAGGAATGACCACTCGAGACATTTTCACTTGACCCTCTCTCCTGACTCCCTCTCCCCCATTCAGCATCCCCCAACACAACTCTTCCCCCTTTTCTTCCCTCTCTTCAAGTTTCAAACACTTTAAAGTTAGGCTGTCAAATTTGTATAAGCACAGAAAGCCCTGTACAAACCTTGTGGCAATAGAGATCTTTATTGTCATTCAAGGAGTTTTCTTTTTGTCCTGTCTTACAAAATGTGGTCATTAAACAGCAATCACTTTGTCTTTCCCAGTGCACCTCCTGTCTTCCCTCTTCATTTTCCTTCTTTTGCTGTCTCTGGGGCTCCAGCAACCTCTTACCCTCCCTTCAAGGAGAAGCAGGCATGCCTCAAGTCCATCGCACAATGCTTACCTCTCTTGTGGGACATTTGCTGCATGACAACTCTGGTTCAAAGAATGACTGTGTGTCTGGTGGTCCTGTTGAACCACAGCCTTCTACCTGCAAGGCTTTCAGTAGTAAAGGAATCCCTAGTCACATCCCAGAAGTCTACAACCTTCAGCATCATCAAAAGGCAGTTAAGCATCTAATTACATGTTCCTTCCCAACCTCTTTTTTTTTTTTTGCTTTTATTTTAATGAAAAAAAAAAATGATAGTGTACTTAAACTTACAGAACGAACAGTCCAAAGTAAAGGAAGAAAAGGTTAAACCAACATTCTTTAAAGCTGGAAGCCTAAACCTCAAATCATAATGAAAGAGACCTAGACTATGTTAAACTTTAGAATCTTTCTCTGACTTCCTCATTCCAACCAAAGAATAGATATCCTTCATTTACGGACAATTATTCTGCTTATCTGGGCCATGAACAGACTTCTGAAATGATGTGCAACTTACATGCACACACATACATCTCAATAGCATTAATCAGATTTTCCAAAAAAGCCAATGCTTTCTTTTTTAACAAAAGCTCAAAGAAACAAAAACGTGAAAAAAATGATTCATACATATGCCTAATCATGTATGCTTTTTACAATTTGCAGTGAGCAGGACTTTTCAAATACGGTCATGTGTCACTTACTAGCTGAGATACATTAGATTCCATCTTTTTGTAGGCTCAACAGAGTGTACATACACACACTAAATGGCATAGCCTACTGCACACCTAGGCTACACGGGAGAGCCTGTCACTCCTAGGCTACAAGCCTGTACGGCACGTAACTGAATATTACAGGCAACTGTAACACAATGGTAAGTATTTGTGCAACTAAGCTTATCTAAACATAGAAAAATTACAGTAAAAAATGTGATAAAAAGATTTTTTTTTAAATAATACACCTGTATAGAACATCTAACATGAATGGAGCTTGCAGGACTGGAAGGTGCTCTGGCTAAGTCAGTCAGTGAGTGGTGAGTGGACATTACCAGTTAGTACCGGGGACTTTATAAACACTACTCAGGCTTCACTACATTTAACTTTTTAAATTTTCTTTCTTCAATAATAAACTAATCTTCGCATTATGTAACTTTTAAAATATATATAGTTTAATTTTTTAACTTTTTTGTAATAACACGGCTTAAAATACAAATTTGTACATCACAGCTGTACATATATTTCCTTTCTTTATATCCTATTCTATAAGCTTCTTATATTTTCTCTGTTTTCACTTTTTAGTCTGTTTTGTTAAAAACTAAGACACAAACACGCACATTAGCCGAGGCCTGCACAGGGTCAGGATGATCACTATCACTGTCCTTCACCTCCGTATCTCATCCCACTCCAAGAGCTTCAGGGGCAATAACACGCATGGAGCTGTCATCTCCGGTGCTAACAATGCCTTCTTCTAGATACCTCCTGAAGGCCCTGCCTGAGGCTGTTTTACAGTGAACTTCTTTTTAATAAGTAGAAAGAGTACTCTCTAAAATAATGATAAAAGGTGTGGTGATGTAAATACATAAACCAGTAATAGTCATTTATCATCACTATAAAGCTTAATGTGCCTTACATAATTGTATGTGCTCTAACTTCATAAGACTGGCAGCACAGTAGATTTGTTTACACCAGCATCACTACAAAAATGGGAGTGGTGTGTTGCATTACAATATGACAATAGCTATGATGTCACTAGGCCATAGGAATTTTTCAGCTCCATTATAATCATATGGGACCACCATTGTATATATGCACCCCATCATTGACTGAAACATCGTTACGCAGCACTGTATTTAAAGGCAAGGTAATCCAGTAAGAGCATTTAGGATGGAACTACAGTTTAGGGAAGAAGAGTTTAATCAGAAAGAGAAATGAAGTATGCAATAGCAAAAACACCAGTTCATTCTGGCACAAAAAGTATTAATAGTTTAGAACAAAAAAGAGATGCTAACTCTTGACCTATGGGTGCCCTTCTTATAGACAATTTTTGAGTAAAGATTATGAGACTTAATGAATTGTTATTTTACTTTTCTTGGTCGTTAAATTTTGGCTCATAGCTCCTTTTCTGAGAAGTTGGCTGATGTTTGATTATAATCCATTTAAAAAGCAATGGGCCTTCTTTGTAAACAGGCAAAGGAAGAGAATTACCTATTGAGAGAGGAGATAGAGCCAAAATACCTTTAAGGACTTTGGGATTCAACTTTAACCTTTTTGTTCCACTCATACCACCTTGTTAAAATTTTACCAGTGCAATGACATTAATATTATTGAAAACAGACTTGGGAGAACTCCCTCCCCAGTCCGCGAATGCTAAGTCCCATCTGAATACTAGGCGTAAGCTTCTGTATTCATTTCCTGGGGCTGCTGTCACAAAGCACCATCAACTGGATGGCTTCACACAGTTCTGAAGGGTAGAAGTCCAAACCAAGGTGTTGGCAGGGCCATGCCCCTCTGAAGCCTCTAGGGGAGGGTCCCTCCTTGCCTCTTCTAGCATGCGACAGCCCCAGGCCTTCTTTGGCCTGCGGCAGCACAGTTCTAATATCTGCCTCTGTCTTTACAGACTGTCTTCCCTCTGAGTCTGTGTCTTCACATGACATTCTCATCTCTTTGTGCATCTGTGTCCAAACTCCCTTCTTCTTATAAGGGTATTAGCCATATTGGATTAGGATGAACCCTGATGACCTCATTTTAACTCGATCACACCTGCAAAGACCGGATTTCCAAATAAGGTCACATTCACAGGCAAGAGAGCGTAGGACTTCAACATATCTTTTTGGGGAACACCATTTCACCCATAACACCTTGGTAGCTGAAACATTTAGCAGTGCAATGACATTAAGATTAAAAAGACACATTTGGGGTTGTAAATATGCTACTGTGAAGTTTGTAATTACAAGGAGAGGTCAATTAGCCCCTCAAGGCTAAGTCCCCCGGGTGGTGGCACTTTGTAAAAAAAAAAAAAAAACATGGAAAGGAGGGGGACCACCAGCTTGCCAGAGCCAGGACTTCTACTCTGCAGGGTCATAAAATTGATTTCATCAGCTCCACAAAGGTGGCCAGGCTGAGGAGGATTGATTCATGCCCACCTAACTGACACAAGACAGATTTATAAACCAGCATGATGGCATATTCACTGCCAGTGAAGAGCCTCCTTGGCATGAGAGAGGTTTCATATTCTCTGGCCATGCCTTTCTCCTGGGCACATCCACTCAGGAGAGCAGACTGTAGATCAGCAGACTGCTGCGGAAGTGTGGGGTTAGTACAAACGAAGTGAGAAATGTCCTTAAAAATACCACCAAGTTACAAAGTGGAAAGAATTGCATTCTCCCTTTCAGGAATATTATGATTAAATCAGAAGTCAGTACTGAGTACACAGAAAGCACTTAATAATGCCTCCTGAATACATTAATGAACTGAGACCAGTTGTCTAGAACCAGAGTCTGTCTCTCCCTAGTCAGTACCAGTGGTGACAGTTTTCTGTTCTCAGTTTGCTTTTTCTAGATGCCAAGCAGCATTTACAATTTGCATTTGTTCTTGCATTATAGGGGAATGTCATCTGTCTCTACCCCCAACTTACAATCAAGTCATGGTGGGATACCTGTGTTTTACTTATTTGTGAATCCCTGGACCCTAGAAGAGGCCCTAACACACAGGAAACATCTTTCACCACCTTGCTTTTGATGGCCACATACAACTCAAATGCATTATGTCAAAGTCCAAGTGAACGGCGGTGCCCTTATGCCTCTTTCTTCTCTTTGTCACCTCTCTTTGATGGTGACACCACTGTAGACTAAATATCTGATCTTAAAAAAATCCAGAACATCGTCCTGTATCACTTTCTCTTCATTTCCTATCAATAATCAGGTGGGCCTTTACATGTGCTGTCTACTTACAAATATCCATTTTTGTTGTTGTTGTTTCATGTTCTCTATCCTTTGGTTTGGAAATGGAAAGTGGAAGAAATTCGCTCTCTAAAATTGGATCCCAGCATGCCCATCCATGTGCTGAATACTGGTTCCTGAATCAGGGTAGGTGGTAAGAGATGTATTTCAAAATGCGAAATTAACAGTGAGAACATAAACGGCCTCCATGTTTCAACAGGGAACTTAGGCAGACATATCTGAAAAGCTTACAGGATTAGACACCTGTATCCATGGTGTCTAATCCACAGATAAACATTATGTTGGCTTTTCCCAAATAATGAAAAATACACAAAGAAAAATGCTGAACAGAATCTCATCAGTGTTAGAAAAATAATACCCTGCCTGCTCAGCATTATCTGTTATGTGAGAGTGTGTTCTACAGAGAATTATTTGTACAGCATGAGCCAGCTCTAGTAGCCCGGTGTGACTTCCGTCCCCTCAGGATTCTCTGAGAAATAACATAACTGTCTTAAGGCTCTGAAGTTCAAAATGTATATGATATGTGCATATGAGATTTTAATGGCAATAATTAAAATATTACAACTTTTAGGGGAACCGCTGGTGTTACTTCATCTGCTAGAGGATAAATTTAACCTCATTGGATTATGACAGCTCAAATCAAGAGTTTTACGAATATTACACTAGCATGAGTCCTCTTTTCATCTTTTGGTCGCCATTATATTATCTGCTAATATTTGTTCTATATTAATACAGACATCAAAGGACAGATAAATCCAACCACTGTGAGCTAGAGGCAAGGATATGTACGGCATGACTGAACAAGACACGAAATTTATTTAAGCCCCAGCGGAAAAATCAATGGGTAAGGAAAATCTAGACCACGGAAAAGAGCAGGGGGTGGTGCTGTGAGTGTCGGGCAGGGAGAGGTGAAAGCGCTGGCATCAGAGAAGGCAGATGTAGAGGTAGTTTTGGAATCCATTTGATAACCAGTGATCCTACATATGTAAATGCCAAAGGAGCCACAAGAAAATCAAGTGAACGATCACAGAGGGAAAGTGCGTGAGACCAAAAAACGAGAAGTGGAAGTGTTTAAAACAGTAATCGGTCTGGGCTGGATGCAGTGGCTCATGCCTGTAAACCCAGCACTTTGAAAGGCCAAGTCGGGTGGATCACCTGAGGTCGGGAGTTCGAGACCAGCCTGACCAACATGGAGAAACCCCGTCTCTACTAAAAATACAAAATTAGCTGGGAGTGGTGGTGCATGCCTGTAATTACAGCTACTCGGGAGGCTGAGGCAGGAGAATCTCTTGAATCTGGGAGGCAGAGGTTGCGGTGACCGAGATCGCGCCATTGCACTCCAGCCTGGGCAACAAGAGCAAAATTCCATCTCAAAAACAAACAAGCAAACAAACAAACAAACAAACAAAACAGTAATCATGACATCCTAAGAAGAGAAGAGACTTTCAGTGGCCTTCTACTTCCTTCACTTATCCATGGACCCATTGTGTCATGTTTCCATCTAGCCACTGGTTTATCAAATAATAACCAAGACTCCACAGTCAGCATCTGTCCTAAAACCTAGCTATAGGGGGAAAATGATAGGACCTGCTCCTCGAGGAATGCACTGTCCAAGAGGAGGTGAAGAAAAATATGTTAACAAACCAGAGAAAGAAAAAGCATGGGTCAACGACATACATACAAAGGTGTGCAGGGGACAGGTGTGCACATCAGCAAGGGGCCAAGGTCAGTTCTCCCTGGGGAGAGGAAACAGGAAAGACTCCACAGAGGAGATGACTCCAGTGCTAAGACTGGAAGACAAGTAGGCGTCCATGAGGCAGACTGGATGGACAGGGCATGGCGGGGGAAGGCGGGCATCTGAGTGGAGGACCACTGTGAAGCCTCAGGAGCTAAGCGGGTCAGTACCAAGACAGGCCCTCCCTCCTCCCTCACTGCTCAGGGTCTCTGTAAACACTCGATCTTCTCCTGCCTTTGAAGGCTGGAGGGCCTCACGTTCAATGCCAGGCCGCTGTCACGTCATCCTAGTTTAATTTCCTTTATAGGATTTATGTAACCTTATGATATGTTTCTGGTTTATTTATTTGTTTACAGATTGCATACGGCCCACCTTGCCCTACTAATTTGTATACATGCTGAGAGGAAGACACTTGTCCATCATGTTCACTCTGGTATTTTCATGCCTAAAATATTCTGGCTAAATGGGAGGTTTCCAGCAAATACAAACTAAATAACAAAACATGTTTATTAAAGCCTACTGTGGGCCAGGCACCATTTGGGGCCTAGGTAATATGGTCCTTGCCCTCATGGTATTAACGGTCAAGAGAAACAAGGCAATTAATAAACAAATAAAAATAAATAAATTTGAATAGCAGTATATTCTGCGAAGAAAATGAAACTAATGGAATAAACTAAAGGGAGTAAGGGTTGACAGGGCTACTAAGCTACATAGGGTAGTTAAGAAAAGTAGTTCCAAAAGATGTATGTCAAGCAGACATTTGGCCTGGATAAATGACACAGATCCTGCCTACAAGTAATTCACAATACTACAGAAGAACCGCCTGTCCAATGGCAATGTTGGAGACAGAACTAACAGTTGTGAAAATGGATTAATAACTTTATTATATAAGACTCTTGAAAGCATTGCTGGCATAATTTTATTTCTGATATATGTATGGTATAACACAGTCACAAGCTGCTATAATAAATTCATTTTCAGAAAATCGACTTTTAAAATTTATTTTTTTATTGTGCAAGGACTACATTAATGCATACCCATTGCCAAAGAGCTGAACACCACAGAAGTTTGCAAAGTAAGAGAGTGGAAGTTTAGAGATCAGAGTCATTCATGGCACGGCCGCCGCCCTATGAGGAAGCAGCAAAGCTCCCTGGGAAGCCTGTCTCAGGAGATGACTCAGCACCAGGCACTGAGCACCCCCGAAGATGGGAAACAGTAGAGCCGATATATGCTTGTTAATTTGTGGCAGGAAGGAGGTCCTTAAGAATTTGTTCTAGAACATTACCAAGTGCACACCAACAGAGAAAAGTGTTGCTGGAATATTTCTCTGCAATACACTTTCCCGTGAACAGGAAAACTGGCCTCGGGAGGAAACAAGGGGCATGAGCTGTTTAGCCTCCCAAACACCGCATTTTCCTCAACAGAAAATTCACAGAGGAGACATCCACTTGTATTTCCCCACAGGGAAAGCATTTTCATCACCTTCATAGCCTTAGAAACCCTGTTTGTCTTGTCAGAAAAAAACAGACCTAGCAGAGTGGTAATGAGAATCTTGGAACGGCCTTGGGAAATCAGGTGGGACACAGGCCTGAGCCCCACTCACGGGCTGCATGACATTTTATCTCGGCAGAGAGGAGCGACAGGGGAACGCTAGAACCCTGACTTCATTGACTGGAGCTGGTGAAGATCGGAACCGCAAGCATGAAAGCTGAACACCAGGGCCCAAGGACAAACTCGCGACTCCTTCCCATATGGGAGGCGCTTGGCTGCAATGGCCGCTTTCCTTAATTTTCCAGCATGCTTAAATTAGGTTTGCTAGAGCTTTATAATAAGTTTGTGCAGGAGGCTAATTAAATGCTTCTTGCCACCCATTCCATATCAATTCCACGTGAAATGAGGACAAGGCTGGAGAGGACTGTTCCTGCAGTCTCCAGGGCTGACCCACCACACTGCTGTTGTTGACGCTGATTATTTAATCTGAAATCCTTCCTCCACTGAACTTCCCTCCTCCCTCTCACTCTCTGAATAAAATACGGATCAGATGCTGCAACATTGCTATTCTTAGGAGCAACAGATGCAAATATGGTTGCTTTTTCAATTATTCGGCAACTGATCTGATGGTTCCAAGACAGAAGCTAATTAAAATCTAATTGAAATAAAATCATTTCCAATTCTGTCTCTCCCTTCGTCGACTGCCTGAGTGGAGGGTTTCTTGCTTTGTGGACAGAGTGTCTTCCGTCCCATTAAGACTTCCTTCGGCTTTGTAAATAGCCATTTGTGATTATATCATAAAGTGTCTTGGTTTGCTGGGAGGAGGTCCAGGCGGGGAGGAGAAAGCCCCTGGGAAAATCACAGGAAGGATATTTACAGTGAAAATGGGAGGCAAAAATAAAGAAATGAGGACAGTGGAGGAAAAATACATGAGAACAGGGGCCACAGCAGCCATCAGACAATTTAGGATAAGAAGGGACAGGGAGGCAGGGAAGCCACAGAGCCTGACACAAAACTTCTGACGGCATTTAGCTTGCATGTGTAGGGTTGGCCTCCCCTGGGTGTTTTTCAGATATGGCAAGTAGTCACCGATATTTAAAGATCAGAACATTTTACTTAAATATTCAGATTTCTGGTTGCCTTTGAAATATTAGAAAAATGCAGCAGCCCTGTGTCCGAATTCCCAGGGCAGCAGCTGACGGGGCCCCAAAGCAGCTGCCCCTTTGCTGAGGTGGAAGGCGCTGGGCCCAGGCTTGCCAGTTCCCACTGGGCCCGTTTTGCTCATTCTCATTCATATTGGCCCTGCAGGAATCTGAGTTTGAAGTTCTGCTAGTGGGTGGAAAGCCCTTTAGAGTCAAAAGATATAGGTTTGAATCAGTCCTCTGCTACTGATAATGGGGGCACATGGGGCAAGTATTTTAACATCCCTAAACCTCATTTCCCTAATCCACAGAAAGGGTGTCATAAAATTATTATCACAAGGTTGCTCAATCCGAAGCGTTAATCTGTCTTTAAATGCTCAGGAAATTACACAACGTTATTCACATTCGCTTTTATAATTTTATCCTTTTTTCCTTATGAAGGGTGGGAATTCTTTTTCAGGAGAACAGTAGGAAATAGAACCATTGGAGAGGCTGGAGAATGCTCGTTAGAAAAATGTTGATGAGGCCGCTGAAAAAAACCCCACACAGCAGCGCCAGGCCAGGAAGGGAAGAACGTAGTGAGAGGGAAGCAGATGCGGCAAAAAGAAGAGCCCAGGGCCCAGGTGGACCTCCAGAGCGAGCTCACATGGGACACTGCCTCTCAGGGGCTGTGTGATCTTAGGGATGTTCTGTAACTTCTCTAACCTCAGAGTCGTCATCGTTCAAGAGGGAAAAAGAATACCTATCCCATAAGGCTGTTTGCAAATGGAGGGAGAAACGTGCCTATAAAGTGCCTGGCACAAGTAAGGGTTCTATAAGCATTAGCCGTTAAAGCAGCCATTAACAAATGCTGCAAGCAATTATCCAAGACTTCGCACTGTGCTAGGGTGAGAGTACTCCCCACAACCCGAAGTGCCGCACTCTTGTCCTTTTTGAAAATATGATGCAGAAGTTTATAATTTCTTACCTAGCACTTACTGACCCCCCGGCCCCCACTAATTATTCCTTTCACTAAAGAAGAGAATGGAAAGACAAAGTCTAATTGAGGAGCAGGAGAGTAAACAGCAGTTGTGAACTTTCAAGACCTAGATGATCTCTAGCCCACTGTAGAGGGCCAGGCCTGCCAAGGCCCAGGGGGGTTAAAAATGAGATTCTTTGTAACTGTCAATCAAAACATTCAAAGATTCCCCCGGGCTAGGGGAGGAAGAAAAGTGTGTCCCTCAAAAATACAATCTACCTTCAGTTGAGGATAGGCAACACCCATGTTAACCATTTAGAATAACTCCTTTTGAGGACGGGCCTGGTGGCTCACACCTGTAATCCCAGCATGTTGGGAGGTCAAGGAGTTCGAGACCAGCCTGGCCAACATGGTGAAACCCCATCTCTCCTAAAAATATAAAAATTAGCCAGGTGTGGTGGTGAGAGCCTGTAATGCCAGCTATTCGGGAAGCTGAGGTAGGAGAATCCCTTGAACCTGGGAGCAAGAGGTTTCAGTGAACCAAGATTGTACCATTGCACTCCAGCCTGGGTGACAGAATGACACTCTATCTCAAAAAAAAAAAAAAAAAAAAAAAAAAAAAAGAATAACTCCTTTTGATATAATAGTTTCAACAAAGGACAAGATATGGTCTTAGTTAGACCCAGGTCAATCCATCTGCATGCTATTGAAAAGAGAACACTTAAAATTGTATCTTAAATGTTTGAGGTGACAGGCTCTCAGTAACACAGGGGAAAGTTCAGAAGCCATGGAAATGGAGTGGAAATGACAGCGATTAAAGCAAGAACCACTTTCCTATTCATGAAATTGGCTTTATTCCCTCAATCAAGGTCCTTCAGATGTAAATGTGTGTTTCTGTAACCCCGTTTACTACTTTACCCCCTTCCTTCCCCAACACCGATGTAGCCACCTAGAGCTCCCATAGGAGTCTGTTGTCAAGTCTTCCTCTCACGCCGCACGTTCCACTCAAGTGAATTATTCCTCATTATTAATCCTTGCTAGAGGTCGCTGAGGGTCACGCTGATGGAATGATATCTGTATTAACGGGAACTCAGGGAAGCTGTCACCACATTACTCAGCAGCTCTGGCCACAGCCTCCCCTCTTCCCAGCAATATTCGCAGTAGCTTAAGGGCTAAACAAACTTGGTTTGAGGACCAAAGAACTGAAGCCATTTGCCTCTGTGCTGCTGTTAACCTCCGGGTTAGGAAGCAGTAGCCCTTGCAGCCCTAAGGGAAAACCCTGCTGACACCAGAATTTAAGAAACTTGGAACTGAGTGTTGGATAGTTCAGCAATTTAATGTTTGCTTGTCAGAGTTTTTTCTCCTCTAGGTACTATTTTCAAATCTTAGCCATACAAATGGAAAAGATTTCTCTCACCATACCCATTCAAGGATTCATGCCAGCCCTGGTCACAGGCTAAGGTTCTGTTTAGACGCACTGCCAAAGCCACCTGTACAAGAGTGGACACACTTAAAGCTGAATCCCATCTTGAACATGACCCCGCCACCCTCTCATTTGACACATGAGATTTACATTCACCCTAAAATGTTAGGTGATGCTACGACACTGAAGGTGAGAAAAGGTGAGTGATTTACACACAGTCATCAGCCTAAGATGCTTGCTCCCAAATAGACAGACTTCAAACTCGTCATGCTTTGGTAGCTTTTAGAAATTTGTGAATCAATTAAACTAAGACATTACATTCATTTGTAGAAATCAGTTGCCAGAGACTAGTTTCATTCTTTTACACTTCTACTGTTTTAAAGTGTGGTTCCTTTTTCTTTCTTTTTTTTTTTTTTTGAGATGGAATTTTGCTCTTGTTGTCCACCCAGGCTGGAGTGCAATGGCACAATCTAGGCTCACCGCAACCTCTGTCTCCCGGGTTCAAGCGATTCTCCTGCCTCAGCCTCCTGAGTAGCTGGGATTACAGTCATGTGCCACCATGCCCAGTTAATTTTTTTGTATTTTTTAAGTAGCAATGGGGTTTCTTCATGTTGGTCAGGCTGGTCTGGAACTCCTGACCTCAGGTGATCCACCCGCCTTGGCCTCCCAAAGTGCTGGGATTTAAAGTGTGGTTCTTCAAGGTGGGCATCCAGTCACCTGGAAATCTTTTTCCAAAATAAGTTCTACCAGCAAGATTCTGATGCAACGGTTCTAGAAAAGGGTACTTTGGAAAAACTGATACATACCCAAGAAAGAGAGTCACTGTTTAAACATAGCACTGGTGTTATTTTAGACGCATGTGTGTATGTGAGTGCATGTAAAACATCTGTATCCTTGGCATCTGAAACAGAGCCTGGCACCAAAAAAAAAAAAAAATCAATTGATATCTGTTGAAGAATGAATAACAACTTCAGAAAAGTACATCAGTCTTTATAAAGCTCATCACTGTTATTGAGATTGTGGCAGAAGGTCTGTATGTGTTAGAAAAATCTATCATCACTGCGAAGGACAGGCGAATGCTGCCGATTGTACCTGACCACATCTTTGTAGATTCTGCTGAATTTGTGTGATAGTTTCAGATGTATACATACATGGAGAGATTAACAAAGGATTGTTAAGGTATCTGTACCTGCACTGGGTTTCAAATAAGTGGTTGATATGGTTTGGCTGTGTCCCCACACAAATCTCATCTTGAATTCCCATGTGTTGTGGGAGGGACCTGGTGGGAGGTAATTGAATCATGGGGGCAGGTCTTTCTTGTGCTGTTCTCATGATAGTGAATAAGTCTCAGGAGATCTGATGGTTTTATAAGGGGGAGATTTCCTGCACAAGCTCTCTTTTTGCCTGCTGCTATTCATGATTCATGTAAGACGTGACTTGCTCCTCCTTGCCTTCTGCCATGATTGTGAGGCTTCCCCAGCCACGTGGAACTGTAAATCCAGCTAAACCTTTTTATTCTGTAAATTGCCCAGTCTCGGGTATGTCTTTATCAGCAGCGTGAGAAAGACTAATACAGTGGTGATCCAAGAAAAAGGAGAAGGAATCATATCTAAACAAATGAACCCATATTTGTGAAAACACGGAGTCAGGAAAAGGGAGAACAGTCCATTTGGAAGAAGTAGAGTGAGAACAAGAGGAAGCAATAAGAGATGAACTTGCAGAGGCCTTGCTGGCTTGGGTGCATGGTGGGGGGAGGTATATTTGTATTATGTAGGGAATGACAGGAAGAATGACATGATCATAATTAAGTTTCAAGAAGATCCCTACAAAAATATATTGTAGGTCAGAAAGACAAAGGGCAAGAACAGTTTGGGAATCTTTATAATTAGTTCAGATGAGACATGATGATTTAGAGTATAGACCAGGGCTAAAAACATTTTCTGTAAAGGACCAGATAATAAATATTTTAGGCTTTGCAGGCTATATATTCTCTGTCATCACTATTGAACCTGCCATCGTAGCATGAAAAAGAACTACAGAAAATATGTAAAACATTGAGCAAATCTGTGTCCCTATGAAACTATTTGCAAAAACATGTGGCAAGTGAGAGTTGGTTTGTAGCTTGTATTCCTTCTGGGTCACTGCACACTATAAGTGGACCTATATAGCTTGTTAATTCACAAGTGAACCTATATACTTGGTTAATCGCTACCCACATTAAGAGAGAGAAAGAACATATAGAAATAAAAGGAAATGTAAAAAAAAAAAAAACCTATTTTTTTTTTGTTTTTGTTTTTGTTTTAAAGAAATCAAAGACATAACTGTATGGATAGCAAACATGTGTTCACAGCCACAAATACACACCTCTTTAATTCCTTCCCTTGGTGGTGTGGGACCAAGGTATGTGGGGAAGCTCATGGCTGGGAAGCCACAAGCAGATCACTGTAATTTGACTCTAGCTCGTTACTTGGCATGATTCCTGGTGGCTTTCTTTAGTCATCAGTGCCTCATACCCAGGGTAAATTTATTTGTGATTTTTTTTTTCTCCTAATAAAGTCAGCACTTGAATTTCTGCAAGTAGAACAGCCCTGCATTGCCATTTACCGCATGCTTAGGCCACTCAGTTATTTACAGATGATGATGGCAAACGCCTTTGAACAACAGCTTAAGAAAAGCATCTTTAGGGAAAGAAAATATAGAACAAAGCACCACATTTCAAACTCAAATACTCTTTAAAAATCTGTGGAATCATTTCAAACTCAAATACTCTCTAAAAATCTGTGGAATGCTATCTCTGATAGTGTCACTACACTGACAGTTTTCCTCCCAGTAGCTATGGGGAGGGATTAGCTGGCAGGATCCTCAGATGTTCTCTGGGATCCCAGGATGGGAGCCCTTCAGGTGGATAATATTCGAGTTCCCAAAAGGGGCCCTGAATTCTCTCACTCTGTCCTGTCTCCCAGGTTTCTGTCTATTCGCATTCAACACAGCTTTCCTGAAACTTCTTATATGCTCTTCCATAGAGATTCCCGTCACTCTGTCACTATTAGAGACATTGAAAGCTTACTCTCTCTGTCTTTCACTCTCTCTCTCTTCTCTGTTCCTCCCCTCCTACATTATTATTATTTTTTTCTAGTCTAGTAATGATTTGAGGTTTATTTGCCCCATTCCCTGCTCAGTCTTCCATGTGGCGAAAGGCCCATCCTGATGCCTGGCTGGGATACAACGAGGGTGGGCTGGATGGAGCAGAGCCACCTGTCCCCAGTGTGGACACTTAACTTTGACTTTTTTCATACCATGCTTCAGAACGCTGAGAGCAATCCCCCAGTCACCATCACTCCTTTACAGTGCCACAGAAATTAAAAGTTAATTAAAGAAAAGGGCAGGACACATTTCCATAAAGCATCAAACACTCGGGGGGAAATTCATTTACAGTCTCCTTTATAGCTGCCGTTGATCAGGTTCTTCCTTCCAGGGTTACAGAGAACTCCCTGGAAATAGTGTCTAGGCTTACAAGTTTTACAGCCAAGGGCCTCATTGTCTCAATGTACTGAGATGGAGCCACATAAAACTTAACCAGCAACAAAGGCTGAGCGCCCCCACTCGGGACTGCTAAGTGTTTCTCACAGCAGCCTGAAAACACTGGTATAAACATGGTTCCCAAGGTCTAGGAGTCAACTACATTGGAGTTGGCAGATAATGTCAGAGTGGCTGGGAAATAATTTATTTTAGCCTGCTCCCATGAAGCTCTTTTTATGCCTCCCTCATAAATATCTGCTTCCTAATGAAAATGAGAAGAAATGTGTTTTAAATCCCTCAAATAGTTAAGAATTAGAGGAAGTCTAGGAAGTAGCTTTTAACTCCACCACGGTAACATTCACACTGAAAAAATATACATAGAAATCTTAGGATTGAAGCAGCTTTAACATTGATCTAGTCCATAACCTAGCATCTTCTCCTGCCCTGATAAATGCTTGTCTGGTCATTGGACAATAAATGATTGTTGAGAATTTGCTATGTGACAGGCACTGTGTGAAATATTAGGGTGAGAAGGATAAGACTCCCAACATGATCTACTCAATTTTGTAAACTTCTAGTGACAGGGAACTCCCTACCTTCCTACTTGGGAGAGCTCTGTATGTCTGAAATTATCATTTAACCACTCACTTAGCTTCTACTTGTTGATCCTAATTCTATTCCTTGAGATCCACATGATAAACTTTTAAAATTGTAATATAAGGTCCCCCCAGTGGAGTCTAATTCTCCTTCTTGACAGATTAATGGATAGAAAAGGTAGACTACATAAAGATGTTCCCCCCAATGCCTGTAAAAGCATGAGGCTATCTGCTGTCTAATGGGCAATAGATAATATGATACATCTTGGAGAGTTTGCTTATTTGTCAGCCTAAAACATCTCTCAGAATCTGAGGGTAAGCACAGAGGGTAAGATCATCGACCCGTGACAACTGAAGGTATCTTGCTGCATTCTCATCCTCAAACACAGGATAAAAAGAACGAAAACCAGTAGGAAGACACCTTCGAAGCCATAAATCTCTAACTCTATATTATTTTGTTAAATATTTTCTTTCTTTTTTGTTGACATGCTTTTTTTTCTAGATAGATGTATATCCATTGCATTAGAGTAAGAGGTATACCTTCCTGTCAAAACGTCCGTGGAGTAAGACTCCAGAGTTATATTAATTTGTACGTAGTTATTCAAATTAAAAACAGCAAGAAAGACCACATTTCTGAACCTGGGCCTGATAGAAGACTGGAACCCTATCTTCTTTAGATTATAATAAATGTTAGTGATAGTGATTTTTAATACTCATTTTTTTCTTCTCTATGCATCAATTGTTCTGCGTAAGTATTCTCATGACTCCTAAAGAGGGAAGGGAGAGCAAAGGCAGGAAGTCATAATTGGATCTTCACAACAAGTTTCTCACTCTCTTTCAGGAATCTCAGATACCACTAAAAATGCTGTCTTTTGGTCAGGTATCTGAGCCTGAAATTAAACTTTTGAAGTACAGTCTTTGGAGGATTCTGTTTCTCTTTTTTCTCTCCTTTTAGTATTGATTTTTCTCCTTTCATTTGTTGGTGCTACTTCTTTTCTTGTTGCTGGAGATTTGTTAGAGCCACATTTGTACATGAATTCTTATTTATGTTTGTTTTGTACATAAGCACCAGATGCTTCAAGTTCCAGCTTCCCAATCAGTCAAGAGAGTTCTGTAGAAGTCCGGGCTGTCACTCAGAAGAATGAGGAACTCACCCACCTCTCCTGATCCCAAGGCAGTTTCATCAGAGACACAGGGCAGATTGCCCTGTGGACATGGACAGTGAAATTGATCAAGTCCCTATCGTATTGAGAAGAAAAATGATATAAGCATATAGCCCTAATCAGGAATCAGGAGGATTAACTAAACTTTTTAAGATGGCAGTAGGAAATGGAAAGAAAGTTTGTAAACATTCACATGTGAGATCACGTCTCTCAAAAGAAAGCACTGAATCCAGGTATCCCATGAGAGCTTGTACTTATGCCTGTAAAAAATTATACTGCTATTCTACAAGTATGATGCTACCTTTAAAGAATATGCTCCCTGCTGTGAACACAATTTCTACAATCCTAGAAAGGTGATGGGATGGATGATGGTTTTCACTGTGGCATATTATATATTCACATATACCTGCCTTTCCACTCACCTTGGAAAATAGTCAAGTCAACCTTAAGACATTCCAAGCAAGCTCATTGTGCAACATTCTCTGCCTTGTGGATGCACGCAGAATATTTGGCATTTCTCTCAAGTCTTGAGATGCCTATGTGTGCTTGGGCTCTGACCACAACATCTCCAGGGAGACATGCTGAAAGCAGTCCTCCTACTTACCCATAATTTTTGTTAAAGCTAGAAAGGAAGAATTCATGACTGGACCAAATTCGTATGCAGTTTTGAGTTTTATGAGTATGACATACTAGTCAGCCTGACATTACACCTTTCCTGATTCAAAGTAATAAGATAGTCCATAAAATATAAGGAGAGACCTGGAATATCCAAATTCTTGTCCTTATGCTGCCTCTCATCAGCTGTTGATCTGAGCAAATCACTTTACTTCTCTGCCTTTCATTTCCTATAGAATGGTAACAATGACACTTTTTCCTTTTTCACAGAGTAATTGTGAAAATCGTATTAGATCATGCCAATGGAAAAGCTTTATGAAGTCCTCTACGAAAGGCAGGATGTTGCTGGGCGAAGTTGGTGAAGATAAATCACTAGCTCCAGTTGTTCTGTCTCTGCCTTGGCTTCACACACAATCACAGTGTTGGCAACTGATACTGCTTAATGGGACCACAGCATGATGATGACAGAAGGAAATAGGATCAGAACTTCTTAGGCTTTTGTGCCATACTACTAAAATGTAGTTCGCTTCATGTTAAATAGTTTACAATGCTCATTTCCTTGCATTGTCTTGTTCTATCCATTCCCAAGCATAAACACAACTTTCTCCATTTTATGGACAAGGAAACTGATGTGAAGAGAGGATGAATAACTTGCACGATCACATTATTGTTTATTAGAACTTAGGAGTTCAAGGGTAAGATTTCATGCGATCTAGCGCTATCATATAAAGACACCAATTGCCTATGCGGTTTCCTCACCTAGCCAACACATGTTATTGAGGACTAACTGTAGGCCCAGGCATTTTGGTAGGCACTGAGGAGACCCCAGTGACTAAAATAAGCAAAGCTTCTACCTTCGTGAAGTGGCAGCATCTTCTGGAAGAGGAGCTGACCATAAAGAGGCAAAGATAAAATTATGGGAGATGTCAAATACTGCTAAGTGCTATGGAGACAAATCAAGTGGGGTATATGGAGGGCCAGGATGATGAAGATGCTGTTATTTTATACTGAGGACACTCCCATATAAGAAGATCACCTGCAAGTAGAGACCTGGCTAAAATCAGGCATTAAGCCATGCAACTATCTTGAGGAACAGTGCTCTCAGCAGAGGGACCAGTAAGTAGAAAGCAGACACACAGCCCTTGAAAGGGACCCAGAGGACATGGTTCACAGCTGGCAAGGAAGGCAGAGTGGGCATGGGGTCAGCCAGCTGAGTATGCCACATGTAAACCGGGGCAAATGAGGCCACACACCGGGCAGGCATTGTGCCAGTCCTCATGGGCCAAGTGCAGACAGATTTTCTTCTGAATGACTGTGAAACTGTGTCATGGATCTCTAAGTTCTTTGCTGTGTCCACTCGAGCAGATGACGCACCAGCTCCTTCCATCCTAACCATTTAAACCTGCATATGTTAGAAATTTCCCTAAATACTGTCATCTTTAACCTGAGAGTAAGGATGGGAAAGACAAACTTTCCTGTACCAACTAGAAAGTTTATAGTGAAGTGTGTGCATTTTATTTCAAGTCTTGTGTTTAGCCCTCCCTCTAAGTGAAGTAATCCTTCAAAGAGGCATCCTCCTTACTAAACAAAGTCCCTCTGGGAAACCTCCTGTGTCCATCAGGATGTGCATCTCATGGAAGGAAAGCGAGCCCTACTTGCCCTCAGTGGTTATGGGTGACTGTTCTTACCTCCTTCCTGTGCACCAATCAGGCGCCATGTAACATGGTCCCTAGCCATCTTGAGAAATTAGATCAATCCCCCTTTGCCCATTAAAAGGCTCATAAACATTTGCAGCATCAAATTAGTGCTGGTAGATTTCTCAAACTTGGAACACGTTAAAACGCACAGTTGGGTAACAAGAATCAATTAGGGCCAGACAGGGTGTTGGAAGTTAAACAATTTGTCTATTTTATGATTCTACACTGTGGAAAGGGTGTGTGTGTGTGTGTGTGTGTGTGTGTGTTTACACTTTAGTTCAGATTTAAAATCACTCATGTGTATAGTTTGTATAATTCAATTCATGATTAGAGCAGAAACTACCCACAAAGTGAGAGGTTATTTTTTGAGGAGTCAGAAAAGGCTTGTATTTACAACTTTATAATTTGTAATTAAGCTTATTATAGCTTTCCCACCTCCTAAACCTCAGTCAACTAAGCTTAAATTCAGACAGGAAACTAGCAATTATTCAGCAAATACACTATGCATACAATAATAATAATCCAGATAAAAAAGACCAGACCTGGCTAGTTGCCTCTTCTCCAAAATTCATCAAACAATTGACAGTTTTCCAACATTTTTTTCTGCCTTTACCATCCTTTCTAAATAAAGGCCAAATATAGGCAAAGAAGATAATATAGAACAGAGGTTATTCACTTGGGGCCCATAGGCCCCCATGGGGTCTGCGAATAGAATTCAGAGAGGTCTATCAACTTCAATGGGGAGGAAAATTACGTCTTTATTCTCACTCACCTCTAATTGAAATGTAGCATATCCTTTATTTATGAATATAGATAACCAAGCACAGAAGTGTCAGAAGTGCCTGTGACTTTATCAGTGAGAAAAATCACAGCTATTTTTATATCCTATTATACACAGTGCCAATATCTTGAAATATCCTTTTCACTCAACATTTCTTCCAATTTGTGTTAGTTGTTAGACTCACTGCTAGATTTGAATTTAATGCATTAATCATGAAGCACATGCTATACCACAATTTTTTAAATATTTTGATAGCTGCATTTTAATACAATTAATTTTCTTTGTAATCCTATCTACATGTCAAAAGGTCTAGAGCTCAAAAATCTGAAGAACCCCAGGTCTAGAGAGGCAAGGGCTGCCATACTAAGAGGCTCTGCTGGGTGGTGCAGTGTGGACGAACAGCTTCCCCTAGGTTCCTCCCAAACAGGTTTCCCTGCCTTGCCCCTCACAGTGCCTAAAAGTCTACCAAGAAAAGGGTTCACTTTTACTACGATATTTCTTCCCTGCACATAATTAACAGCACACAGGAAATTAATTTGTAACTTAAAAAGAAAAGAAGAATATAATTGGCAATAAAATATTTACTAATCCAAGCACTCAGCTAAGCACTTTACTTAAAATCTCATTTAATCTTCAAAAATCTATATGTGGGTACTATGATTTTCCCCAATTTATAGAAGAGAAGACTGAGATTCAGAAAGGTTGAGTGTCTTGCCCAGTAACACCCAACTAGATCTTTTCTGAACTAAAGTCAATGACACACTGAGAGTTATTTTTATGTAACGCCTGTTCACATGAAAGAACGCGATGTGAGGGAAGAATAGGAAAAAGTTATATGGCCAGTGAAGGAGTTCAGGACACGCCACCTCTTTGGCACATTGATTATTTTAAGCTAAAAGCATTTGAAAAACAGCAGGCTCAAGAAGAGCATTCTGACCTTCCCTTTTCTTCCTGGAAGCAGGAGCTGTAACTCCCAGGTGAAAGGTGCCCTCTCTAGAGCAGGGGAAATAAACATTCTTACCACCAGAGACGGGCAGTCGAGGCGAGAAATCTGTACAAACAGACCTTGTTAAAATAATTCTTATCTGCCTTATTTTAGTTACATTTTTGCAGTTGCCTTTCTTTGCTCAACCTAGTATATAAGCACTTAGACCTAGCTAGGCCCACATTTTTAAAAATGGGGGCTCCCACATATATGCAAAAAAACTACTGAAAAAATTTTGTATGCTTTTCTCCGTTTGATCTCATTTATGTCAGTACCAGCTGGAAAACCTAAGAGGGCAGAGGAAGAATTTTACCTCCGCTATACCAGCGGTTTTCAAAGTGTGACCTGCAGACCCCATGGGGTCCCTGAGATTTTTCAGAAGGTAACTGTTCTCAGAATAATCCTAAGACATTATTTCCCTTTTTCATTGTGTTAATATGAGTAACAGAAGTGCCAAGGCAATAGTGGGTGGAACTTCTGGCAACTGAGCATGAGTCAAAGCAGTGGCACCAAACTGTATCTGTCGGCACCGCGTGCTTCCCCACCACGCCTGCGCACAAAGGAGAAAAAAAAAAGAGAGAGAGAAGAAAAGAAAAGGAAAGAAGACAATGCCTGTTTGCCTGTTTCACTTAAGAATGTCCTTCAATGAAACAGAGAGAGTAATTTTAGTATATCTTGACTCCTGAGTACACATTTTAAAATATTCCATACAACCAAAGAGAAAGCATACATCTAGCACTTAGGTATACCACAGTATGGTGGGTGTCTACAGGTAGGCTTGGCAAGGCCTGCCGCCTGTGTTTTTCTATGGCAAATTTGAACTGAGATCTTTTATTGAAAAAATTTTAAAAGGTTGTTAAAAAAAAAAAAAAAGAAGAAGATTTGACAGACACCTTATGTAGCCCGCAAAGCCTAAAATATTTTCTTTCTGGTCCTTACAGAAAAAGTTTGCCGGCAGGAAAAAAGCAATTGTGTCATCATTTGAATTGTGAGCAGAAATATCTGCATTTTTCATGAAACACTGCTTTTCCTTGAATGATCTTGAATGAAATTATAGTTATTCAGAATTGGTATCTTGCAGACATTTTTTCAAGAAGCATCATTTCAAGGAAAACAATTGATAGTATTTATTGCCAGTTATAAAATTTGAGCTTTCATGGAGAAAATAAGAATTTTGGAAAACTTGAATTCATCACCATGACTTGACGGCTTTCTAATATTTAAAGAATTTTCAGATGAGATTGGTGGTGTTATTAATAAGTTTTATTTTTATATTATATAATGAAATGTGTCAATATTTGGAGGATCTGCATAACTCTGTAAATCAATATTTTCCAAGTGATTTTTACTGTGTGATTTTACAAAATTGAGCATGGTAAAAATATGAATTCAAAATACAAGATAGACCAGCAGATAAAACAGACATGCCATAAAAGTCACCCTTTTTAGGGATATAGTTCAATGTGTGTTAGTATAAATAGAGTTGTGCAACTATTACGGCAATCTTATTTTCAAAGATTACTATCACCCCACAAAAAAATCTCTTGCCTATTTATAATGATTCCCCATCCCACAGCCTTAAGCCTCTAGTATACTTTCTGTTTTCATAGATTTGCCTTTTCTGGACTTTTCATGTACATAGAATTGTAAAGTATATGTTCATGGCTGGTTTCTTTCACTTATTTTCAAGGTCCATCCATGTTCTAACATGTACAAGTATTCATTCCTTTCTATTGCCTGTATGAGATATAAAAACACAAACAAAACTATTTTTCTTTCTTTCACATTCAAGACTTAATACTTCATCACCAAAATGTGCAGGGAGTTTTCCCCACTCACCAAGCAATTCTCCAGTAGGCAGTTAAATTGTGTTAATTGTGTTCAATGGTGTCCTACCATTTAACTCAATTCTGACGTTATCTATTATATTTGAAGCTAGCCTCAGATCACACAGGGTAAGGGCTTAATCCCACAAGACTGCCCTAACATCAGATGCCAATATCAAGCCCCAGGCTGTTTGGTCTGACAAACAACTATAAATAGGGAATTACCACAATCCCCTTGGGGCAGATTTGCTAGGGCGGCTCACAGAACCCAAGGCACCACTTTACTTACTATTACCGATTTAATACAGGGATTTTTTTAAAGGATACAAATAGGCAGATGAAAAGATGCACAGGGAGAGGTTCAGGAGGATCCCAAGTGCCAGAGCTTCTGGCCCCATGGAGTTGGGGTGCACCATCCTCCTGGCATTTGGATGTGTTCTTGTTCATCAATCTGGAAGCTCTTAGAACTCAGTCCTTCTGGGTTTTATGGAGCTTTCATTGCTTTAGCATAATTGATTAAATCATTGACCATTGGTGATCAAATCAATGTTTAGGTCCTCTCCCCTCCCTCCAGGTTGGAGGTTGGGAGTGAAAGTTCCAAGGCTCTAATCACAAAGTGGGTTCCCCTGGCAAGCAGCCCCTATCCTGAGGCTAAGCAGGAGCCCCCAGCCATCAGTCATCTCATTAGCATGCAAAAGGACTCTTAGCACTGAAGAGATTCCAAAGGTTTTAGGAGCTGTATGGGAGGAAACAAGGATAAAAACTAAATATATATTTCTCATAAATCACAATCTCACATTGCCAAATAGTATTCCATAATGCGGATATGCCGCATTTTGATTATGCTTTCACTAGTTGATAGACATCAGGGTTGCTTCCACTTGGGAGCTATTATGAGTAACTGAGTAATGCCACTATGAACAATTGCATGTAAGTCTTTGTGGGACATGTTGAAACTGCCTTTGCAAAGATTATGACAGAGAGAAGTCTAGCATAACAGACTCCATCTTTCTTCTAGCCTCACAGGCCCTCTGTCCTCACTCATTCCTAGGTGTAGGCCAAGCTAAGCATGGAAGGGATTTAGTTTATAGTTAAACTTTGAAACTCCCTAAAACTATTCCCCTCCTTGCCCAGGGACCAAAGCCGCTTTTGTAAAGCTAATAAAAGGCTATGAGATTAGGATTATGGGAGGGGCCTGAATTCTGCTAAAATGGAGGCATAATTTGTATAATTCCTTACAGCTCAGGAGTCATATGGTCAAAGATCTGTTCCTATGGATAACATCACTATTATAGAACCTAAGATTGGTCTTGTGATGTTTTTCAGATTACTGCATTCTGGTAACTGACTGACTACACCCAGTGTTTTCACTCATGACCCAGAGGTGGACTCAATGCGCAAGGGCCATTTTCCATACTCCTGTGATTTCATCCCCAACCAATCAGCAAACCCATTCCCTAGCCCCCTGCTCACCAAATTATCCATAAAAGCCTTAGTCTCTGCATTCTTGGAGAGGCTGATTTGAGTAATAATAAATTCCTCTTCTCCACTTGGCTCACCGTGCATTAATTAAACTCTTCATTTACTGCAATATTGTTGTCTCAGCAAATTGGGTTTATCTGTGCAGCAGGCATGAAGACCACTCTGGGTGATTACAATATGATTTCATTTCTCCCGGGTTAATATATAGGAGCGGGATTGCTGGGCCACATGGTAACTCCATGTTTAACATTTTAGCCATGTGAGTGAGCTACTGTGGAAGCTATTCCTCCAGCCCTGGTCAGGCAGCCTTCAGATGTCTGCAGACTCAGCTCACATCCTAGTTGCAACCTCATCAGAGTGCCTGAGGCAGAACCACCAACCTAATCCATCCAGGATTCCTGAGCCTCAGAAATTGTGAAATAAATATTTGCTTTATGCTGTTGTGTTTAGGGTAATGTGTTATACAGCAAAAGATAACTAATGCAGTTTTCTCAGATTTCTCCTCAGCCTCGACACCTGTGCTGACAAGATCAGCTTCAAGACCCTTAATTGCATTTTTAAGAAGCCATACTTTCTTCCCTTTGGTGACCAGTTGGTGTGATGTCTAATGGAAGATAATGTTACAGTTCAGCTACATATGATTTCACTGTAGATTCCATTTCAAAAATCGGTCTTTGCTTCTCTAAGGAGGAGTGCTTTGACTATAAGACACTCGAATGCCAATACAATAGACCTAACAGTTAATCTCTTTGAGCTAATAGTCATGTCCTAGGCATAAAAATTTGCTTTATAAATAATGTTATTAGGTTAGTAGATTAGAAGAAAACTAGTTCTCAGTTTCAGCAAGTATCACAAAAATTAATCAATAAATCGATTGAAGCATAATCAATAATATGAAGAAATGGGAACTGATTTAACCTGGGAAAGTGGCATGATGGCTATCAAATAATACCTTGGTAGGATATGGCGTAAATGTAAACAAAAAGTTGAGAAACAGTCACACTGTTTTCCAAAGTGATTGTGTTAGGGTAAGTAGTCAGACAGGCATGAGGAGGACAGGAGAGGCCCCCCGCTCCAGGAATGTCAGGTGTCTATCAGGTGATGGTCATGCAGTTGTTAAACTGTCTCTCTAAAATAAGAATTGGTCACAGCCAGCACCAGGGAAAGACAGTCTCCCAATTGATAGAAAACAGCTGAAGCTGGTGATCAGTAGCTTCCCGATAAGCTCTCAGGAGGTGGACAAGCCGACTCAAGCATGCACACTATGAGGCAAAATGGCAGAGTTTAACTGGTATATGACCTTCCTCTAGGAATACTCAACTGGCTAGGGAAAAATACCTCCAGTGAGCATGCATGGAACACCAGTAAGCACACTGTGCATGTGGCCCCTCCGAAGTGCTGGCATGCCACTGTGCCTGCAGACACCCACCCCAAGGGAAGGATCAGGAGAGACACAAATCCGGAAGCATGCCAACATAGAAAAGCCCAAGTCAAAGGCCGCACAGCACACTTGGATCTCACAAATCACACACTTCATCCTCTTTGAAGTGCACTTTACTTCCTTTGACCCTGCTCTAAAACTTTTTAAATAAAATTTCACTCTTGTTCTAAAACTTGCCTCAATCTCTCACTCTGCCTTATGCCCCTTGGATGAATTTTTTTTCTCTGGGGAGGCAAGAATTGAATTGCTGCAGACCCATACGGATTTACCAATGTTAACAATTGTACCATTTTTACATTCACACCAGCAATGAATGAGGGTTCCAATTTCCCCATATCCTTCTCAACTCCTGTTATTGTCCAAAGTATTGTAGCTCTTCTATGGTTGTGAAGAAGTATTTCATAGCGAGTTTAATTTGAGTTTTCCTAATGACTAATGATGTTGAATATTCTTCATGTGATTAATGGCCATTTGTATATCTTCCATGAAGAAATGTGTGTTGAAATTCTTTGTACAATTTTTAAACTTTTTATTTTGAAGTATTTACAGATTCACAGTAAGTTGCAAAGATAGTAAAGAAAAAACTAGTACATTTTAATGTAACAGAGGAAGAAAATTTAATTGATATGGTTTCTGATTATACATTGCAACTACTTTTTAAGAAAGTATCACTTGTTGAGTTTTGGTATACTATCAAAGAACAATATCCACAACTATCACACAATCTATGAAAATCCTCCCTTTTTCTACTACAATCTGTGTGAAGCCAGATATTCTTTACATACTTAAAAATATATATATACTGTAACTGATTAAATGTAAAACCAGATATAAGGCTGTAGCTGCGTTCTAAGAAACATGCAAAGCTATAAAGCAATGTCATTCTTCTCATTAATGTTTTGTAAAACAATATAGCTATTTTTCATAAAAATTACTTATGCTAACATGTAATGAAATTTGTGTTGCTATTTTTCAAAGAATTAAAAAGCATTGATTTTTTGTCAGTTTTAGTTTGTCATGTGGAAGTATTGCTGCATATCCCTCATGAACAAAAGCTCTTTGGAATCCTCAACAATTTTAAGCATGTAAAAAGGCCCCGAGACCACAGAGTGTGAGAATTGCTGCTCTAAGTGTTACCCTGGGGAGACAGGTGTGGGTGAGCACTGAACCCCGAGGCAATGAGGACAGTGTGGCGTCCTTAGGAAGCCGGTGGGTTATGTGAACACAGAGAGAGGGAGGGGAGGACTCTGAAGACAGAAGTCGGCGGTTTCTCACTGGCACATACATGCACACATGTAAACTCCACTCATTGAGAAAAACTAGGAAGGAAGAGAATATCTGACAGCCTAATTTTCTAACTGTATAAATGCAGTACTGTACACATGAAAACTCAAATCCGTAGCCTGTCTGCACAGCTCTCAGGCTCTGGGGTTGTCACCAAAACACTACAGTGACACCCTGCTCTGCTTCCTCTGATGGCTGCACCCGACTCAGTCAGGCTCCCAGGTTCCCTCCTCTTTGACCGGGCCTGCCAGGGTGCCTCCTTCCTCTTTGAAATGCCTCCACAGTTCCTCCCATCTGCCTGCAGGAGGCATGCACCTCCTCGGCTTCCCCCTCCCTTGCTCTGCCTGCAAGAAGCACAGATGCCTTTGACAATGATACTTACATTGCTGAACTCTGCTGGGAACTAGCTAAGGGCAATGGGAGTGACCCGTGTGGAGAGGTTATGAGCCTCCAGGACTTGTGAGGCTCCACCCAACCCAAGAGGGATTTCCCAGAGGCCCCTTTCTTCCCGGGGGGTGAGGAGAACTTTGGCTCAGGTATCAGAAATCCCATCCAAGTCCTGACTCTGGTAGCAGCATTAGTCTTTCTGAGTGTCATTTTCTCATCCACAACATGGGTGATGAATTCTCCTTATATTAATCAAAGAAATACATATGCAAGTGTTTTTAAATATAAAACTCTATCAGTGTAAGCCACGTTATTATGAATAAATCTAAAAGTACGTTCGCAAACCTAATTCAATGGGTCCTTGTGATTATTTCATAAACTAACATAAAGGTAGCCGACTATGAGGTAACGCAGCAGAAATGCAAAAGATCTAAGTAGCATTGTTTATACGTGTGTGTGTGTATACTTGGAAATCAGAAGAGTATTCCACATTCTCTTCATTTCTTTGAGCCAAGGGTACTTGATTGATTAGTTTAAATATTAAATATGCTCGTTTGTTTTCTCTCAGTTGGACTTCTCTCTGAAATATATTTCCTTTCTTCATTTCATTTCAGAATTTGCTTGGAACCACAGTTTAAAAAAATGTGAAATAAGGCAGCTGGACTTTTTGTGATTTAAAATCATAGTGATGATGATGATGATAAATGAAAGCACATATCACTTTGGGGGAAGAGCAGACTGAAGGAAGGAGTGGACGGTGCAGCCATGAAGAAGCATGCATACCTTGTATGCTACACTGAGTTTCTCCATATGCCTCTACAAAGTATCAGGTTTTCAGAGGTGCGAGTTCTCAAGGAAAGACTTTAGGTCACCATGCCTTAAATGTGGGTGGCTATGTTGGAAAAAAACATTTAACTTATTTCAATTGCCTGGACTGTACAGAGGAAGAGAATCAATTCTAAGTTAACTGAGTCCCAAACAACATACAGCTGTGTAGATTAGGTTTTATATCGTGAAATGCATTCTTCAGTAATGAGGAAACTCGTGTGGACTTCAGAAATGAGAAAAGTCTTCTCAGTCCAAGAAAGCTTTAGGAGCAGCATCTGCGTCCTGCAGAAAAGATAGACTGGAGCTAGCACAAGTCAGAGTTTGATTATTACAGCAGCTTCCTACTTTGCCAGACGGAGCTTTCTTGAAAGCACACATGAAATTCTAACGTTAAAGGTTAGCAAAGGCTAGTGTTTTGTAAGAGACAAATGAGAGTACACAATGAAAATATTATCTTCCTAATTACACTTTATATTTCAGGGACAGTTTTCAACAAAATACTTCCCGTATTTCACATGTTCTTAATTTTGTAAACACGCCTATTCATTTCCATCATTTTCTCAACGGTACTATGGGCTCAGCTACATATATATATGAGACCTCAGCTTCCTAGCCCTAATACTAACCCTTTCATTTTCTGCTTTCAATTCATTAAAAAAGGGGAAAATGCAACAAAGCATTCAAATAATTGCATGCACAATATTACCATACAAATACCTGCACAAGGCTGACACACTAGGCCATTAGCTGACAGGCAGCACTTCATAAGATCTCTGGAAAGGTTAATACATCAACTGTGGTAGGAAAGACTGAATTTCGTGTATGCAAAGCAGCTTATGAGAGTCAGGTGTAATTATGTAAGTAAATATTTCTAAAAAGCTGAATGTATGGAAGTTAAAGATGCTTTACTGAGATTGTCTGTTGATGCCTTTCTATTGCAGGGAACTTAATAACTTGCAGACAGCCACACACTTCTCATGTTCCTGAACCTGATGCAGAACAAAGGCCTGGAGGGCCAGTTTTCATCTCAAAACTTGAGTTATACTATGTGCCCACTGATTCATATCCCGCTTGCCTTATTCAGTAACTGATTTTTAAATGGAACAACGTTTGACATGACTTTTTAAGAAGGGTGTTCTTAAGTCATTATAGAGAGGGA
Organism: Homo sapiens; assembly: GCF_000001405.40. Classification (NCBI taxonomy): domain Eukaryota; kingdom Metazoa; phylum Chordata; class Mammalia; order Primates; family Hominidae; genus Homo; species Homo sapiens. Next base: position 132,860,454 of record NC_000011.10, read on the forward strand.
AAATATGATAACCTTATTAAATTACCTGCCTTTGTAGACTGGGTAATGTCGCAGGCCTGTCCCCCGAAGGCCTGTATTGAGACAAGATGCATAGTGAAAGCCACGGCAATCCATTACGTCCTGCTTCAAGGTGAGTGTGGCAAGAGGAAAACTTTCCCTCCAAAGCCTCTAGAGGAAAACTAACTCAAACTGGAGGGACTGAGGCAGCAGGAAACGCAAAAGGTAGGGGTACTTTTAGTTTCCCAGGATTCATTTTACCAAAAAAGCTGTTTGAACGCTTGGGGACACCAGAAAAGCTAGATTCACGTAACTGTACTTACTGTTTAACTACCACCACCCCACATAAAACATTCCATAATCATGACCTCAATCAGCTCCGAAATGTGACACATAAAACGTTATGACATAATAGAAGGCATTCAGTAAATACTTGTTTACTCCTTTGAGGTAGTAGGCAAAATTTTGTTTCTCTTTTTGTAACAAAAAAGATTTAAGTGCGAAGAGATTTGGAGAAACTGCAACTAAAATGCTATACAAACTAATATATTGTACAAGGCCACGATTTGCCAGGGACTTTTGCAGATATTTTAATTCACTGTATCTCATTTAATCCCACCAACTGTCTCCCAAAGTAGATATTTTCATTTGCGTTTTCACAGATGAAGGAATCAAAACTCAAAATGTTAAATAACTCGTGTTCTTTATTTAAGTTAAATGTAGCAGTTTCTAAACACCAGGCTCTCGGGATGTTTTATAACAAAGCCCTTACTTGAGGAAATGGGGTATAATATAAAGACAACTTTCTTTAGAAGGGCTAGGCGCTTGTTTTCAAAGCTGGGCTTCTTCATTTATTAGCTAAGGGACACCAGGTTAGTTATTTCTGAATTTCAGTTTCCTCGACTGAAAAACAGGAAAATAACTCCTATGTGTTAAGGTTATATTGACTATTCAAAATAATTATGTATTCAAAAATGTCTACATATGTATATGCTTATAAATACAAATATACATATGTACTTGCATCCAAATAGATGTTTGCCTGTATGTGTCTCACTTTGTCTGGCACAGTGTATGAGATCCACTATTTAAAACTGCTTTTTTGGCTGGGCGCGGTGGCTCACGCCTGTAATCCCAGCAGTTTGGGAGGCCGAAGTGGGTGAATCACGAGGTCAGGAGATTGAGACCATCCTGGCTAACACGGTGAAACCCTGTCTCTACAAAAATACAAAAAATTAGCCAGGCGTGGTGGCGTGCACCTGTAATCCCAGCAACTCAGGAGGCTGAGGCAGGGGAATCGCTTGAACCCGGGAGGCGGAGCTTGCAGTGAGCTGAGATCGCACCATTGCACTCCAGCCTGGGCAACAGAGTGAGACTCCATCTCAAATAAAAAAAAAAAAAAAAAACAAAAACTGTTTTTTTAATTTTACTCTCTCCTTAAGCTAGTTAACTGAGTATGAAAATAAGTTTACTCCTACTGGATGCTGGTACTTGTTTAGTCTTTTTGTTTTCCTTTAAATCATTTCTTCGAGTTACATTGTATTAATCTGAATATTCTCTTAACTTGAATTAGCAAACATCTTCAATTTGCATGTTTACCAGCCTTTAAATTTAGAATGATGTTCTGCACAACAAAAGCAATGGTAGCAAGGAAGCTAGAATGACACAGTTTTTAAATGGCTTTTAAGAGGACATTTTAATTTCAGAAGAAAAAAATACCATGTATTTTAGACATATTTTCCCATGTGTTAATTATTACTTTTAATAATTAGTATTTTTTCAAAGAACCCAACAATTTTGACCACTTCTCCATGTTAGCTGTTGGCTTACATCTGCACTGCAGATGGGAACCAAGTTTCGGGTAGGCTGGGTGCATCATCTGTTTCCAATTTGACTTCGTTTTGAAATATTCCAATGTACAGTATCTGGATTTCCTACCAATGAAAGTGGTACGGCAATCCTTAAAGATTCACACAGGTTAGAGCTGGACAGGCTCATAAACATCATCGTATCTAGCTCTGTCATCTATACGAAAAAAAAAAAAAAAACTCTGAGAGTACAAGAGGTGCACATGGCATCTCATAGGTCAAACTGCTAGTTGGGATAAATTCAGGATGAAGCAAGATTCCAGCTCAGGGTGCTTTCCATTGCTTGTGGCCCAGCATCCTAGCTAGGACACAGGCAGCTGAGAAAGATGGTGGGCTGGGGAGATATTTCGGACGTGGCACTACTGTCACTTCAAAGCATGCTAATAAGATTTTAATGGGGCCTGTCTCCTGGTCTGCGCTAGCCTTCCCTTGCCTCATCACTGTGAGTTACAGAAAAAAGCCCCTGGCAGCTAAACTCTTCTCTAAAGCTTTTCTCTTTGGCTTAAAATATTTCAAATCCTTACACACAAGTGAGACCTAAAGTTTCCAGGCTATTCTTTCATAAAAGAAGATTATAACTCAAAAAGCTAACCCTTTATGCAGAACCTTATCTGGCATGGTTACACTGAGATATTTCTTTGAGGTTAAGAAAATATTTGCTTTAAGGAAACTACTCCTTCTACCACTGTTAAGGTGACTCTCTGCATACACTGTATGCCTGTCTATTGTTAGACTGGGTGTGGGCAGCCTCAGTATCTGCCCCACTGAGCAGTCACCATGTATCAGACCCTTCCTGCCTGTAGCTACATGGCATGGGGCGTGATCAGACCCTTCCTGCCTGTAGCTACATTGCATGGGGCGTGGCTCGGCCGAGGATGTGTTTGCAGCAGAAAATCCTGAGCCCAACAAGCTCACTCTGGCATCCAGGCTGGCCTTTTGCAGTGACCACAAGTATAGTTGCATGAATTAATATACATGGGAGCTTTTGACGTAGGAGGACATGACCAAATAAACATATTCAGCTGAAAAGAGAGCTAGGCAGTGAGGACGTGTGTGAATATGACACAACGGGTATACTGACTTCTTTCTTAGTGAAGTGATTTTGAGTTGCTGGGTCTCAGCAAACAATACTCCCAAATGAAGGCCTCAGAAGCAGCCTAAGAAGCAAAAGTTTCTCGCTGGCTTTCTGGAGCCCTCCTGTCTCTCAGTCTTAACCTCCCCTGAGGCTGGCGGCAGAATCCAGAATCCCTCTTCCTCAAGGCAGGTCACTGAAGTCAGAACACGTTTTCTCCAAAGTCGGCCATCCAACCTAAAACTATGACTCTAACTTTCCTTCCACCTTTCTGGGTTAAAACTGGCCATAGAGAAATCATCCAATTTGCCTTGTTTGACTGAAGGCCATAAGACGCCCACACCCAGAAGGGAGGGACGCTGCTCCTAGAGGCCGGGAGGAATCTACACGGGCCTGGCTGGGTTCCCCACTCAGTCTGTTAGCATTAGATCATGACCTTTGCGTCCAATCCTATTTCTACATGGTTGTGTATAATTTGCTGAACCTAAGCAGGAAAATGGACAATTTTCCCTGTTATCACTGATTTTTTTTATTCTATTTATTTTATTTATTTGTTTATTTTTTTGAGATAGGGTTTCATGCTGTCGCCCAGGCTGGAGTGCAATGGTGAGATCTCAGCTGACTGCAACCGCCGCCTCCTGGGTTCAAGTGATTCTCCTGCCTCAGCTTCCCGAGTAGCTGGGATTGCAGGCATGCGCCACCAAGCCTGGCTAATTTTTATATTTTTAGTAGAGACGGGGTTTCACCATGTTGGCCAGGCTGGTCTTGAACTCCTGACCTCGGGTGATCCACCCTCCTCGGCCTCTCATAGTGCTGGGATTGCAGGCATGAGCCACCGCACCCAGCCTGATTTTTTATTTTGAAGGTTCCCATGTACACGTTAATAAGTTTTGTGTACCTGTTCTCCAATTAATCTGCCTTTTGTGAATTGATTTTTCAGCAAACCTTCAGAAGGTGAAGGGAAAAACCCTACAGAGTCCAAAGATATGTTTAAGGCTCAAATCTGTCACTCACTCACCACGTAACTTCAGTTAAATCACTTAACATCCCTGAGCCTCAGTTTCCTCATTTATAAAATAAAAGTAGAACTATCTATGTCTCCACCTCACAGGGTTCAATCAATGCTTTGGATTATGCAAAGAAAAGTACTTTAACTGCAAAGCAGTATGTAAAAATCAGGTCTAAAATTTCTCTGCCATTGGTCATCTATAAATTGTAGGATCTAATAGAATTGCAAGTAGGAATTCAATAAATTTGAATGAAATCATGACCATGAAGCAGGATAGGGGAATGCACTTCAGATTAAAAGAAAGAAGAAAGACACATAAAATCTTGAATCACAAAGTAAGGATCTCACTTGAAAGTGGTTCTCTACCCAAAAACATCTATCTATTTTTTTCTATCTGGGGTTCTATGATATTCTTTGTAAGAATGGTTCCATAACAGCAACAACAACATACTGGACTTTAATGGGCGATTACTCAGCATCTACCCTGGGCCAGGCACTATGCTGAGAGCCGGAAATGCCCTATGAGTGAAGGGCTCATCTCCTGAAGCCATGCTGGTGGGAGAGCGGACAGCGAGCCCCTGGCTGCCACAGAGGGCGATAGAGCCGGCACTTGGGCATTAGCTCCGCAAGTCAGGCCGCTTTGCTGCATGAGTCAGCATTTTAGCTTTTGATTTACCGATGCAGGCAGGTCATTCTTTTTTCCTTTTTAAAAAATATTATGAAATTTTGAAAATGAGATTTTTCGAGGGGATAAGTAGAGGAATGAATAGATTCACACACACATACGCGCGCACGCAAACACACACATACATACATCTTACAAACTGAATTTAATAACAAGAAAATAACACTTGTAAATATCAAATATGGTTTGTTCATCATTCTTTCATAAGCCTTTTTCAATTCAAAAGGAGTATATTTTTGAAAACTGTACAAAGAAGAAAGTGTATTTTTCGATTTTTGCTTAGGAGGCATTTTTGCAAACACTGTAAAAACTCCATGAAAAATGTTTACTACAACTGAACAAATAGGAGAAATGAAATCATACGCTCAGCCCAACAGAGGAAACACGGCTCCTGGCCAGCTACCATCACTTCTAGGCCTCAGCATTAGCATTTAAACAGCATCATGTTTTCATGGTATTTCTGAAGCTGCCTGAATCCAGCTTACTGTTTAGAAAGTAGTGGCTCAACATTGTTAAATGCATGTAAGGCCAGTGTAGACGCTATTATCAGTCCTCTGTAGACTTGGACCTAGCACTAAACAGACTGGGGGAGTCGCCAAGACCAAGGCCAAATCGAGAGCAATGATCTGAGAACATGGCCTGCTGTCATGACGATGCAGCTCCCAGCCTATATATGAGTGATTATAGCTCTGTAGCCAATTTCAGTGGTTTTATTATTATTAGAAAAAACTCATAGATAATGTAGAAGGAAATGGCAGGTCATCTGGCCCCTGAGAGTACTTTATCCAGTTGAGCAGTAAATGTTTCTACCACTTCCTGAGAGAGGCAATTCCACGATCTAATAATGGCTATTGCCAGGAATCTGTTTATTCCTGGTGGTCAGCTGACACTTTGTCATATTTCACTTCATCTGTGACTCTTAGAAATTTCATCTCCTTGGAGCACTCTTTAGTTCAGTCCTAGCCATCCTTCTCTCTTCTCCTCAGGAAAAAAAAAAAAGTAGCTTAAAAATGATTGCACATAAAAAGCAAGGATCCACTTTAATGCGATCTCAAATTATAGGTAGCACTTCCACATACTTGCACATAGAATTGCTTTTGATGTTTACATTATGTGGCCAACAAAAGAACATAAATTGTTTCATTCCTGAGGAAACTGAGGCAGAAAAAAAGTCAAGCCATTTGTTCAGGTAAATTCTTTGTGAAGCTAGGGATTCTGCCACACCAAGGGGATGCTATAAAGCGCATCATGAAATCATCAAATGCTACTTGTGATCCTATTAAGCTGTGGATACACCTTGGCTATGTCATCCAAGTAGGCCCTTCTTAGCACTGCAGGTGTCTCTTTTGAAGCACTGTACCAAGAAAACAATCCCAATTGGTCATCTGGAAGTCTTGTTAGTTTTTTGTCGATTTTTGACTTTTTCATCTCAAATTGTACCAAGAGAAGGGAATCATCATAATCGACAAGGAACAATCGTGGATTTTGAAATTTGTGTTTGTGTTTTGGATGCATTATACATTTTTCACTGTGGATGTTCCTTTGCAGTTAGGTTTAGTTTTTACTAACATTGTTAATAATGACGAATATTTGCATAACATTTTCGAATATACAGACAATTTTCAAATATTATCTTACAAGATATCATTTCCATATTGTGAGGTCCATGGAGATCAAGTAGATTTCAATACCCTTGATTCAAAGATGAGTAAAACAAAATTCAGGAAACTTAAGCAACTTTCTTCAGGTCACACAGCTCTGAATTTGCATCTCTGTACTTTGACTTCAAGTCCCTTGATCTTCCTTCTGTATAATGTTATTGCTCATTTGTATTCACTGATCAACTTCTAAATGTGTGAGTAGTCACAGAAAGCTAGGTGCCAAGAGAAACAAGCCCAGGCTTAGACAGTTCCTTAACACAATGCATGACACATCCTTTTCACTTAGACTTGCTGAGGCCCTTTGTGATTTGAAAGCTCTGTTATAACAGGTAATAATTTGAGCTCACTTAGAGAAAAATCTCAAAAAGTTAGAGATGAGGAAAGTGATCTCTCAGAGTCTTCCAGCCACATAATTCAGTAATAATCTGAATGTTCTTGCACACTCTGCCATGTTGCAGTTTTATTTTGCATCTGACGTCTTGATGGGAATGGAAAAGGACTGTTGGTGAGAAGAGTGGCGCTGGGAGAACTCAATTCATTAAAATGACAAGATGTTTCCTCTGTCACGGACTCAGCATCTCAGGCACTAAAATGCAATAGCCCAAAAGTGCCGAGAACAAAGGAAATCCGACTGGTGACTGCAGATTACCTAGCATGGGAATCTCACCAAGATAAATAGAAGTTACTTTCATTGAGGATGAAATAAAATGTTTGTTTTGTTTTGGGGCTGTGAAAGATGATATAAAGTTAAGCCCTCTGCCAGCAGAGCTTCAGGAAAAGTAGACTGTCAGACACATTGAATTGATTTCTTTATGGAAGTAGCTGAAAATAGAGCACACCAGTGAATCTGCTGCAATTTTCTAACATTCTAGACTGGGCTTTCAAGAAGCGGGGATGAGAGACCCAAAGAGCTGAAGGGTTATTCGTTTCTGGGTTAGGAATGGAAACCCAGTGAGTGGAACTACTTCTTGCCCTTAACTTTCCATTCCTTGGATCTCTCTGCCCACTGCCCTAAGTGTAATGGTTCTTGTAACACCTAACCTATGTTTGAGGATACTTGATTTAATCGTGTTAGCAAGGCATTTGGAGGTTTCCAAATGAAAGGCAGTGGAAAAGTACCAAACAGTGTTATGATCCATGTTAATGAGCAGGTTGTTGGCAGGCAAAGTGAAGAAGGTCATAGAAAATGTCACTCAGTCTGCATGCAGAGAAGTGACAAAGAAGTTCTCTCGGGGCTCCGTGTTCAAGCCAATCTTATTTGTTAATAATAGATGCAGTAATGCTTTGATATTGTTTTGTGAAAGGTACTCTGAGAGCGTAAAGTGCTTTGCTAGCACTAATGTATTAAGCCTGCTACTTCTGTGGAAAGCGGGGAGGGGTTAAGTGTTATTTTCTCAGTTTCACAAATGAAGAAACTGAGGCACCAAGAGCTGCCTTTCCCAATTTCTCATAACTGGGCAACAAGGTCAAAAATAGAAATGATGAGAGGAATGGAATTTTTAGCCCATAAAATCATGTTTGGTTTCTAATATTTTTCCATTGAGGCTGTGATTTTTTTTTTTTTTTTTTTTTTTTTTTACAAAGGGGATATATTATATATGTTTGGGGTAAGGAGGTGCATGAAATTCAGCAAAAAGAAAATGTTGTGAATTATCAGGTGATTGAACCCTGAACAGTGTCAGCCCTGTAGGCGCCACGTTGTTTTTAGACAAGTCACTTAACATTCCTTTATGTCAATGGGCACTTTCTAAATAATTGAAAAAAACTTTGTTTCCTCCCTTTGTTGTGTCCCAAATAGGAATCAAAGGGTTGTCCTAGTGAAGTGTGAAGTCCAATCTAAGCTGTTCTTCTGGCCCGTGGGGAAGAACACAGTTGCACCAAATTTCTTTAGGGAAGACACTCTAAAGGGCCATTGTTTCTCTCAGCCTCTAGCACTGTGGGCTTAAAAACCCAGAAATGAGAACAGAGGGGCTGGGACTGCTCCCTTGACACATCCAGGCCAGGATGATGGGCCAGAGGATGCTGCCGTTACTAATAGGTTTCTGCTACCTGGAGTGGATTTAGGCTGCCTTCTCTGAGAATTGTTTGACTTTGAGGGCAGGAAGTGCATGTGTCCATGCACAAGTGTGTGTGCTTGTGTATGCATACGTGAGTGCCTGATCTCAAATTTACCCTCAGGACAGGTGGAAAGGCTTGGGTGCTGCCCAGAGGATGCGCCCCTGGAGAAGCTGTGGGGAACGTGGCCTGTTCTGAGGAATGGCATAGAAGTCTGTGAGCCAGAGAGGCATTCTCCGAATGTGGGGTATGGCGGTAACTCCATGAGCAGTTGGAGCAAAAGCACCACTGGGGGAGAAAGAGCCAGGGCTGAGAATAGAAGCCAAGAGTGGAAACTGGAGCCTCAGGGGCCACTCCCACCCCATGGGGCTAGCATGAAGAATCGAAGGAGTTTATCAGACTGGATTCCTCCTTCCAGAACATACCTGCTCTAGTGTGAAGGAAGACCCAGGCCTGGCACAGAGCTGCCAGAGAAGCAAACACCGAATGCCCATCCAGGTGACAGCCCAAGGGCAAAGAGAGTTGACACCCCGCCTCCTCCTTCCCACCAAAGTACATAAGGAAGATGCGGAGGGCTGGTGGGAACACATAGCTTATATAACAGAGCAAAGTGAGAGCAGTATCCTGTCATCTTTAACATTACAAGGGTAAATATCGAACACCTACATGCATCTGAATAAAAATACTTACAACCTGGGAGGAATGACCCACAAATGGTTAAAAAAAAATGAGGATGATGAAATAATGAACCTTTTTTCCTTAAACACAATTTGATAATTTGAACTTAGTAAGATGAGCTCCTCAAGAAGAAATACAAAAAATCCCACAGCATCATCTGTACAATCTCCTGCCTTATATCATTAATGATCTTATTATGTGGACTGTCATTTTCTCAGCTAAATTCTGAAAGGACAAAACTGTTTTAGCTAATTGTGCACATCTCTGGAAGTGTCCCAAGCACACTCTACATAAAGTGGGCCTCAGTGCATATGGGCAACTTGACTGCCTCAAGATTCAGAAAAATATTAGGCTGTACTGGCAGGTCTGAGCACAGATGCACCTCTCCTGAGCACAGATGCACCTCTCATGCTTCTTATGTTCATTTACAAAGTGTGACAAAAAATAATGATCCATGTTTGAGAAAAACAGTCAAACATCATCTATTTAAATGAGTGTAGAAATCATAATTATTACTGAATTGGGATAAATAACATCATGTAACGCCCCTTCCCTCCTATAAGCTCCACACCTACCTACTACACACTAGATTTCTTTAACCACGTGACCTCATTTCCGCAACTACATAACATAGATATTACTAATTCCAGTTTAAGCATAAGAAAGCTGACATTGGGAGAATTTAAGTAACTTGCTCAGGAATGGGGGACTAATGAGTTCAGACAGTCAGCTTGATTCTAGGCTCAAGCACGTTCTTTCCAATAAATATGAGATTACTGCCTCCATCCTGCCACTTTTCTCGAGGGCAATAAAATTAAGCCAATAAAGACTAAATTATTTACTCACATGTCAGAAGGGCTATTACAAAAAGATGAAGGATAACACATGTTGGCCAGTGTGTGAAGAGAGAACGCTTGCACATGGTTGGTGGGGATGTCAATTAGTACGGCCATTATGGAAAACAGGATGACAGTTCTTCAAAAAATTAAAAATATTCTAAGAAGTAGGCTCTGGTCAAATTAAAAAAAATAAAAATGGCGCCACCCTATGATCCAGCAATCCCATTTCTGGGTATATGTCCAAAGAAAATGAAATCAGACTGTCGAAGAGATGTCTGCCCTCTCATGTTCATCGCAGCACTGTTGACAATAGCCGAGATAATATGGAAAGAACGTAAGTGTCCCTCAACAGACGAATGGGTGAGGAAAATGTTGTAGATAAATTCGATGAAATACCATTTGGCCTTAAAATAAGGAAATCCTGTCATTTGGAGCAACATCAATGAACCTAGAGTACATTACATTAAGTGAAATAAGCCAGGCATAGAAAGAAAAGTGTTGTCACTTATATCTGGAATCTAAAAAAGCTGAACACACAAAAGTAGGGAGTAAAATGGTGGTTGCCAGTGGTTACTAGGGGTAAGGAGGTGTGGCTTATGAACATGTTGTTCAAAGGACAGAAAATTTTAGTTGAACAGAAAGAACATATTCAAGAGATTCATTATACAACACAGTGACTATAGTTAATAACAATGTTTCCTGTTCCTGAAAATTCCTAAAAGAGTAGATTTTAAGTGTTCTCATTACAAAAAAATGATAACTACATGAGGTAATGATATGTCAATTAACTCAATTTAGCCATTCCACAATGTATATGTATATATTCCAAAACAACATGTTGTACAAGATAAATATGTACATGTTCACTCGTTAATTAAAATTTTTTAACTTAATTTAAAAAAAAAAAAAAGACAGTCAGCCCTCCCTATCTGTGGGTTCCACATCCATGAATTCAATCAACTGCACATCAATGCCTTGATTTGATTCTTACACATTGTATGCTTATATCAAAATATCACATGTACCCCATAAATATGTACAAATACTATTATCATCAGAAAAGTTTTTAAATAAAAATCGTATCTGTACTGACAGGTACAGACTTTTGTCATTATTCCCTAAGCAATGCAATATCATGACTGTTTACATAATGTTTACATTGTATTAGGTATTGTAAGTAATCTGAAGATGATTTTATAAGAGAGACTTGAGCATTCCTGGATTTGGGTATAGGTGGAAGGTCCTGGAACCAATCCCCATGGATGCGGCATAGCACTAAATAGATGTAGTTATTGGTTATGTCCACTGCTTAGCTTCGGTCTCCCTCCATGGGATGAAGCGCCACCGATGTTAGGCACTTCCTCTGTTCATCTGCAACAGTGCCTGGCTCAGACTACGCACTCAAATAGCCATGTTTTGGACAAAGGCACTCTGCTGCTGTTTCTAGAACTGTCTTCAGCTTTGCAGAATATTCCAGAAGAGTAATCATTCTCCTGACTCCATGGAGATCTCATCAATGTATGTATGCCTTTGTTTTGTTTTTCTATTTATTCTTAAATGAAATCTGCCTTACCTGGGGTCACTATCAACTCCCTTTACCGAACCTGCCTCTCTGGCTGACTTTTCCTGGTTTTTGAATTCAGTCTTATTCATACTAAAATTTTATCCCATCTTTCTAGAACTTCCTGTCCCCTTTCAACACTTTACTTTTCCTGCCTAGCACTGTTTCCTTTCTAACATATTATGTTGTTTTAAACTATTTATTGGTATCTTCAAGGTGAGAGATTTGATCAGTGTGTTTGCCTTTTATCAATGACTTACTAGAACATTGCCTGGGACATAGTTTGTGCTCAAAGATTATTTGTCAAGAAGAAGAGCAAAAGGAAAAATTCTTTTTCTAAAGATATTCAGAAGAATATAACCTGCATATAACTCTACAAGTATTTAAGGCTTTGTTTTTTTCTAAATATTCTTTCTTTTCCATTAAATCTGCCTCCTGAACGTGACTATTTTCCAAGCAACCAGATGCTATGGGCTGTTGCAGATCTGGCGTGCTGCCAAACGAATCGCGGATCGAAAAGGCTTCCAGGTACATAATCACTCGTGACACCCTCCCCACCTGGTGAGTGTGCAGGCGACAACAGGGCACATTTTCACCCACCTCCACAAGTGAGCAACTCCAGGCCTGGCCCAGTCTGCATATCTGGTGACTGGCAGGACAAAGATTTCCAGTGCCTACGGAACCCATGAGGCAGCCACCGTGCTCACTCCCAGTTTATAGAAAGGACTCTGAGGCCCAGAAACCATTAAACAACTCGCCTAAGTCCTCCTTTGGTCAGATGTAAAAGATATGAGACTCATGGTGTGTCTGACTCTAGAAAATTATCTTAATTGCTTTTCTTCGGTGTTAAACTCCTATCTGTAAGAATGTGAGCGGGTGAATAAAAGAGTGTATGAAGAGGGCTCCCCATTCCTGATTTTGCTACCATCCTCCATGCCTTGATTTCTTTTCCTGTCATGCCACCTTGCTCCCTGGCTATTAGCTGAGTATCATTAGTTACAATGTAAAATGAATACTTCTCTGTTTCAAGAAGGCCTTCTTTCTTTCTTTTTTTTTTTCTGGGAAATGCTGTGGCTGGCAGTGCAGAGGCAATTAATATACACACATCTATCCTGCAAGGAAATGCAAGCCCTGCTGGCCATCCTCAAAACCATGCCCAGCATGAAAGGTCCCCTCTGTCATCCTCTGCCTCACTGCCCTGTGGAAGCTGAGGCTACCTTTCAGGCTGGGGTTCTTGTCCTGTCAAGAAAGAGGCTTAATGTTTCTTCCAGGAGTGGTTAAAAGTCAACCAATAGATCTCCTCAGTCATTTTCCAAGCTGGGCTGAACTTAGATTTCATAACAATTCTATTTTTAACTACTTTGTAATTCTATTATCTTCTCCTTTGGTTCAATGTTTCTGTACATTAAGCATCCTAGCAGATTTAAATAATAGTCTGTGATAAGTCTAGAACCAAGTTAGGTGATACGCTTTCCTTCAGGTAAACCATTTCAGTTATTTCACAAGGCCAAGAGCCCCCCAGGTGTAGGCATGCCCCCCAGAGCCTCCTGCCCCTTACTGCGCCCTTTCCCTGAGAGAAGGCAGAATGGGTACAAGTCCACCCTTGTTATTTGGGATAAGAATAATGCCTACATAGGACAGAGGCACCCAATGGGTGCTAGAGAGGTATGGTATTGGGAATGGGAAAAGATAAGGTAGCAGGGCTTAGGCCAAAGGGGAGAGGAAAGACAACAGAAGAGGAGTAAAGAGGAATAAAGCTAATATGAAGAAAGTCATGACAAGTTGTATAAAGAGACATCAAAAATTAACCTAGCAGCTGGGCTGAGCAGTTGGGCACAAAAAAAAAAAAAAAAGGAGGAAAGGTAATATTTATGTTTTTAAAGGTGAAAGATAACAAAAAAGTAAAGAGAAGAATAGTAGCTAAAACAAACTAAATCAAATAAAAAAAATTAGAAAGTAAAGGAGCAAATGAAAGAGGAATTAAAATGTAGTCAAATCATTAGTAAGTTAGTGTTGTATATCGGCTTAAAAATATAAAATATTGCTCTGATATAGCAAATTTACCTCTCTTCCGCAGCCCTGTGGTGTTCTAAAAATCAGTAGCTGAAGAAATAAATCGTTACCCTGTCACACTGGATCAGGTGCCTGCCATAACACCAGCTCAGGGTTAAGTTTCCTGTTATTCCCCATTACGAAGGTTCTGACCATTCAGGGTTTGGGTTCCGCCTCCTGAGTCTCTGTCTATGTTTAATGACTGCCATCAATTATATACTTCTTTTCTCCCCATGACATTTTGTCAATCATAATTGGGGCAGGTATTTTTGCTATTATTATTATCATCTTTATTATTTTCAGTGATAAACTATCAGAGCCTGGCTCAGTTGATAGAAAATCTATCTGAATCTTGGCTGTCAGGATAGCATTGCTGATTACTTTGAAGTAACCTGCAGCAGTGTTGAGAGAAAATAATCATTGAAATGATCCAAAGGAGTAACTAGGGAACAATCTTTTATCTTTCCCTCCCTCCCTCCCTCCCTCCCTCCCTTCCTTCCTTCTTCCTTCCTTCTTTCCTTCCCTTCCTTCCTTCTTTCCTTCCTATTTTAAAAATTTTCCTGAAGGATAAACTGTCTTCTTGGAAATGATGCACCTCAACCTCAAGCTACAAGGGAATACTCTGAGAATAACTGGAATTGTTCTTAGGAACTAGTCTCTCCCTGCTGTTGCCCCTGGGTCTTTAGAGGAAACATAGTTGTTACCACTAATCAGAATAGACAGGTAAAACCACCAGTAGATAAGCTTCAGTTAGCCAAGATGGGACTGCAAGAAACCTTATGAACGAAACCTTAAGGTGGCTTAGCGGACTGCACGGACGGTCTGTGTTTAGGTGAGGAGCCTGGCATTTCAGAGCTCTGGAGAATAGGAGCAGGCAAGAAATCCAAGACTGCTCACTCAGACAGTGAGTCAACGTGTAAACAAAGGCTGAGAAATGTGGGCTTAGCTCTTACCACAACTAAAAAGGCCTTTATTCATCCATATGTTTCTAACCTCAGCTCCTCACCACCCATCAGAAATGATTTAAGATAAATACCAGCCCAAGTAAATATTTAAAACATAGTCTCAGATCCTAACGAAGTTTTAAGATTTTCTAAAAATATAATCTACGCAAGTTTTTAAGCATACCAACTATTTTACTTGAATATATCCAAAGAAAAGGGGATATGCACTTTGAAATCTATGAAACTTAACCATTTTTTAAAAAATGAATAATAATTTGCTTCATGTAAAGTAGAAATTACAATGAACTCATGCTACATTATGAAGCTACTTACTGTTGAATCCATCTTTCCCTTTTCTAGACTGAAAAGTAAAATAACCTTGCACTTAAACCCTGTCTCTATCACCTTGGACGAGTCACTTCTGAGCCATAGTTTTCTCTTCTGCAAAATGGGAATAATATCAAAATTATAAATTGTTATATAAATGACTGATTTATACAACATTATAGGTGCTCAAAATATGGTAGCTTTCATTCATTTACCCGTTCATCCATGTATCCATCCATCTGCCAATGTATTTACCCATCTAATTTTTTTTTTTTTTTTTGAGACGGTGTTTCTCTCTTGTTGCCCAGGCTGGAATGCAATGGCATGATCTTGGCTCACCGCAACCTCTACCTCCCGGATTCAAGCAATTCTCCTGCCTCAGCCTCCCGAGTAGCTGTGAGTACAGGCATGCACCACCACGCCTGGCTAATTTTGTATTTCTAGTAGAGACAGGGTTTCTCCACGTTGGTCAGGCTGGTCTCGAACTCACGACCTCAGGGGCCCACCCGCCTCGGCCTCCCAAAGTGCTGGGATTATAGGTGTGAGTCACCATGCCCAGCCTACCCATCTAATATTTATTGAAGGTCTCCTTTCCAGCAGAGGCCGTGCTGGGTGGTGCCTTTTATCAAGATGAGAGCCTGGGTTCCTCTGGTTGTTTTGCTGGAAAGGTTAAGTTAGACTTTCAAGCATCAACAACCATATCGACATACAAACTGCATTATTGCAACCCAGATGTTAAAAAATAATTGTCAGAGTTTGCACTTAAGAAGGCAGATGGGATCTATTTTAACAAATGAAACTTGGAGAATGATGGACAATTTGAAGTACTTTGCATAATATTCTGTCAATTTAAAAAGAAATGCAAACCACAAGTTTTGCAGGTCCTGGGAGGGCATTGCCCTCAGGATGCTCACTCCTGTCCCAGTCCAAACTAACTCCAATTCAAGGAAGGAAAAAATTCATACTGGTTTCATAGAAGTCGGGAATCGATAGTTCTTGACAATCACTTCTTCCCTATAAACCTTAAGCCCAGGAGGTCCTCAAGAGAAGACTCAGTGCTCACAGAAGGAGGGGCAATTTGAGGGCAGACATATTGTCTTTCCATGCACAACCTCTGAAGTATCCTAGCAACTCCTGAGAGCAAACCCTTTATGATCTGAGTTCAGGGCCATCCAGTTCTGTCTCCTTAACGCTGTCAGTCAGAGCTACCCAGGAAACATCATTACTCAGAATTTCACCTTGCAAATAAATAGCTCTGAATGGCCACCAGAGGCAATGGAATCTCTCAAAGACATTATCTGGAAATAGTCAGTGGACAGCACCTCGAGTCCCATTAATCATCCTCATGCTTACAGTACTTCTTAATGGCTTTTATGGTTTATCCTTTGAACGCCAACAAGGAGTGTGATTTTTCCTGGCTTATTCTATTAAGCAGAAATCTATATCTAATATAAATGTCCCAATGGTAGGGTATTTGGCAAGGCCCCGGATGAGCTATCACCCCAGTTTTATCTTGCCCTGCCCAAAACGATGTGCGGAGATTGAAGATTTAAGGAAAAGGTAAACATGCCTGGTGCTTTCTAAGGAATCAGAACACAATGCCATCAGGGAAGGAGTTGCCGTATACCACCAGCTGGATCTTCAGGGGTAAAGGATGTGGTTTTTGCTTTTCAAGACAGGTAAGGCTCAGGAGGGGCATGAAACCACAGACTGTTAAAGGAAGCAAAACAAAAAGATGCTTAATTTTCTCCAGGGAGTAATTTTAAATAAGGAAACGTGATTGGCAATGGCTGTCCTTGTGGGGAAAGAAAGCCTGGGCTTTGCCTCAGAATTCTCTATCACACGCAAGGGAAGCTGGTTAAGCTGCCCAATCACTTCCCAGTGTGCCAAGAGGCCACAGTCGCCATTTAAAAGTGATATATATCCCACATAGTGAAAAGCAGCAGAATATGACTATATTCTGCAGAGATGGATGTGCAAAATGTGAGATTCATCTTTTCAACCTGCAGAGGAGGTTTGAACTGTTCAATTCTGAAATTCCCGGTCAGCATTTTTGATGGCAGTCATTGACAGGAACTAAGCTGCACCCCCCCACCCAAAAAAAGATGCAATATTCACTTGAATAAGGGTAAAAGAAAAGGTGAGGTCTTCAGGTAACAGAGAATCAAATCATGGTATCAATAAACTTATCAGTGCAGCACCCAGCACCAAGCACACTGGAGTCTGGCCCTAGCTTTGCTACCAATGAATTGTGGTCACCTGAAGAGTTCATTTGACTTCTCAGTTCTTCATTCTTTATTTGTAGGAAGGGGCAGCAGGGGAATGCTTACTTCATGAACTTGTTCTGACAGTCCTCATAGGTATGATGTGAACTATTAAAAGCCAGGACCCTCAGATCCCTCTGGAGCATCTCCTAGCTGGAGGTTTCAAGTCCTATGGGAAGCTGGCTGGAACGGAGATGTGGCCACTTTCTTCATTATACTCAGGTGAAATCTGTAGTATATTCACTAGTACTCTACCCTATCCTAGACTTTACTCTGTGCTCAGTCTCCAAGCTGGGGTCATGCAAAACAGCTTTTCCTCAAACAGACTGAAGACCTAAAATAAACACTCTTGACTAGAGCAACGTAAATTACTATTAAGCGTAGCCATATGGTCATAGGAACATTGCCTAGAAGCTTGTTTCTAATTGTTTACATTTTATTTTCTTTTTCCCTGACAAATATACATATTGACATTAACTTATTCACCATTTTGGCAAAATAGGTCAGGAGAGCAAGACCATCCTGGCTAACATGGTGAAACCCCGTCTCTACTAAAAATACAACAAATTAGCTGGCTGTGGTGGCACATGCCTGTAGTTCCAGCTACTCAGGAGGCCGAGGTAGGAGAATCGCTTGAACCCAGGAGGCGGAGATTGCAGTGAGCAGAGATCGCACTACTGTACTCCAGCCTGGGCGAGAGATCAAAATTCCATCTCAAAAAAAAAAAAATTATATTGGCTGGCGGTAGTTCTCTGATGATGGCTGCTGTAATTGTTACTTTTGTATGTCAATTTGATTGTGCCACAGGGTGCTTAGCTATCTGGTTAAACGTGTTCTGTGAGAACATTGTTGCATGAGATTAACTTTTGAATCAGTAGATTTAGTAATGCAGATTGCCCTCCCTAATGTGGATGGGCCTCATCCTATCTTTTGAAAGCCTGAATGGAACAAAAAGGCTGAGTAAGGAATTATTTTCTCTCCCTGCCTGATGGGCTTTGGCTGGGACATCAGTCTTCTGCCTTCAGGCTGAGGCTTGGACTGAAACTTACACCAGTGGCTCTCCTGGGTCTCCACCTTGCCAACTGATCTTGGAACTTCTCGGCTTCCATAATCATGTCCATTAATTCTTATGATAAATCTCTCTCTTGTACATGTGTATGTAAATCAACATATGTACATATAGATATATATGTAGAGATACATATATAAACAGAGCCAGTAGATCTCTATATAGAGAGTGTCTATCTGTCTATCTATCTATCTATCTAATCTTTCTATTGAGATATCTCCTATTGGTTTTATTTCTCTAAAATGTCCTAACACAGCTGGCATAGGAAATGTTGACCACAACTTTTAGATCTGGGATGTTGAAGCATTCTCTGCAGATATTATGATGGGTACGTCATAGAGCATGATTAGAATTCAAGGATCTGAGCGTTGAGTACTTCGTATTTCATTTTGCATACTCTGGTTAAAAAGCGAACTAATCAAAGCCTCAGAGGGGAATTGAGTAGCCCATGCACCAGGCTGAAATCATTGCTTAATATAGATGACAAGAAGTATTAGAACAACATTTTTCAGTATGTCCTGTTTCACATGGCTCAGTGGTAGAAACTTTGTATAAATGAAATTAACGTAAGTAAGCTATTCTCTTTGGAGACAAATGTCTAAAACAAAGCACAATGGAAATCACTGATTCTGGTTTAATTACTATTTCACACATATTTATAGAGCGTCTACTATATGGCAGCCATTCTAGGCACCTAGACAAGAAAGACATACAAAATATTCTTAGTAAAAGTATGAAAATCATACAGCTGATGCTACAAAGCCCTGGGTGAGCTGAAAGACACCAAGAAATAGGGTGAACAAATACATGAGCTAAAAGCCACACTGACCTACCTCACAGTTTTTCAGAAATCAATGAGTTAAAGGTAGTCAAAGAGTTATGAAAGTTTCTGTGTGTTTCAAAAATAAGATGAGGTGTTATTACAATGGAAGGCTTAAAGTAGAAATCAGACTTTGCAAGTTATTAGTAGCAGCCCATAAACCAAATTACATTTTGCAAGAAATAAAGTGGGAAAGGTACTGGGAAAGTGAGCTTCTCCTTTCAGAGTGACATTTTTGTGATAAAAATATGATGGGTGAGAATAACAAAGTTTGGTGTGAAGTTCCGCTGCACAGCTATTAAAACTCTTGTGAGGAGAACTATAAAGAAACTCCCAGGCAACAGCTATCCTCAGCAAGCGCATAATGAATTATCTATAAGACTAGTTCAGCGTTAATAAATAGGTTTCTCTTATGTTTGTATTTGCAATAGTAGTGGGAGATATTCTAAGAGCTTACTTCATACATGAGCCATTTTGGGAAAACAAAAAAAATACAAACAAAAACATACATTGTACCATCATACCTTCTTTATGGTGACTTGGGCATTTGGGCTATTCTGAATTCCATTTCATAGAAAGATAAAGTTACATTTCAGACACCTGCCAAGCACATTCTTTCTTGTCTTCAATTAACCTTCCCCCAGCCCCAGAGGTGTAATCGGCTCACTTCCCAGATGCACACTAAGCTCCTTCTCCCTCACTTTTCCTTACTTCCTTTACTTCCAAACACTTTCGCTGATCATTCCATTATATCCCTTCATCTTTGTATTCTTTCCTACCTTCTCTCTTTCAGTTCTTGGGCTTTTTCTAATCAATTTGTAAAGCCAGGAAGAACATGAAATTAAATAATTTTTTAAATAATTTAAAAAATTAAATGTTTAAATAATTAAAATCTACACACTCACAAACGTCTGCCATGCTGACAAACCACCACGGCTCTCTTGACCATCTACAACCTATCATCAGAATTGCTCCACTCTGTCTGTGCCTATATCTCTTCTGGGTCACAAACTCCACGGGCCTTATCTTTTGATTAATTCAGTATTTTATTTTCCCCTATTATAATACCACAAAGATACTCAGGGCTCAAAAATGTCTTAGTTGATGCTGACAGTAATGGAAACACATGAGGATTCATATGAATTAAGCAGCAACTATCCAGATGCTGAAAACAAAACTGGGCCCAGTGGCTTGCGGATTCTCATGCTCAGCCCTGGCTAAGGCCATGGAATGTAAAACATTGTTAGGCCATTTTACAAAAAAACTCAATTAAAACGTACAAAATAAAGTGAACGCCCAAAAGGAAAAGTGATTTGGAAAATGAACTGGTTAGCACTTACAGTAATTACTAGAGATTACTACCAAATTACTAACCAAATTACTGGTAGAATGGCCATATTATTCTACTCCTTAAAATGACGTTGCATACCAATTTCAAGTAATTGTACATAATTTCCTTGACTGAGTCCAGATAGTAATTTGAAACTGATCCCCACGCAGGGTCTCCATATTTCTTCCCGTGTCTCTGACTGGAGTTTGATATTGCTTTAACCTGAAGACAACACTCCCCACCCCCACTTCCATTCCCAGCCCCTTGCCTCTTTTGGCCAGACTAATAGCATAGTGGAACACACAGCAAAAAATAGTGTTTTTACAAGTCTGACCTTACGACTCTGTGGTCACTCACATGACATAGTTTGAAAGGGTCTCAGACAAGTTGCCCACAGCACTCTGGGTGCCCCAAATGCCACCATTTATTCTTTAGTTGGGATGAAGCACTGGGAAGTAATTTACTGGATCCACTTAACAGGGATATTTAGGAGAGGATGAGATCTCCAACTACAAAGAAAATTTCCTAAAATGGGGAAAACACTGGGTGAGGGAATGAAGATCTGTATCACAAATTCAGTTTCCAGAAGCAGATGCTGAATTGGAGTCTGGGGTTCCAGATACTTATTGGAGCGCCACACCTGGGAAGGGAAGAGGGAGGAAGCATGAGCCTCCAGGATTGCAGGCCCCCCAAGAAGGGGCATGAAGCACAAACAATGCAGCCCCACTGCAGCTGAAGGACCCTCAGGAGGAGCTGAGGAGCTGTGAGGCTGGCAGGAGGCCTGCTGACTAGGCTCCCTGCAGTTGGGCAAGGATCCAGTCAAGGAGGCCTCTCTGATACATGGTTAGGCTGGGGACACTCCCAGTAAATGTCTACTCTACGGTTTTAGGGCCAGGCTTTGTACTAAAGAATTAGGCAAGATCCCAAATTTAAAAAAATAATAATAATAAAAAAGAAAAAAAGGCCGTCTTCAGAAAACAAAAAATGGCATGACTAGCTCTCTCATAAAGGATACACCAGTGATTGCAAAAACGCTGTTGTCTTTTCAAATCAGCCTAAACTGGATTTCCAAATTAGCAGCCCCAACTGTGACTGCGCAGTTGCTTGCATTTGTAGTGCTGAAAAGTTGTGTTCACAGATAAGAGAGAACCATCTAACATAAGGCTACCACATTTCCCCCTTCTCCAGATCTGGGAAATGTGGTTGATTTGCATATTTAGCATACATTTGCATTCTGTGTTCAATAGCCCCTAACTCTAATTATGTCAAATAAGATAAATTAGTACATTTCACTGCCATTGCATTCTAGCCCTGTGGTTAGGGGCTAAGGAGACTTAACCCAACTTTTTCCTTCTCCTTCTGGCTTATTCCCTTCTAGGACAGAAGTCATTTGGTGTTCAGGCTGGGGACATTTCAAGGTAAATCCTTAACTACAGAGGAGGGGGAGGGTAAGAAAAAGAAACAACCAATGATATCCAGAAATAGAGTTGTACATTTTCTGTTCTAACAAGTAAATTTAAAATGCCAACTTGATCCAAGTGTAAACAAAAAATGAACCTCGTGGATATTTTAATAAGTTAACAGAAGGCAAACGACTTTTAAACAAAACAAAAAGTATTACAAAATCAAATCCAGTACATCATCTTTCTGCAACATAAAACTTCCTATCATGCTGGGAATAAACAGGTTTGTAGATGGTGAGTGGTTCTAGAACCAGGAAGGAAGATAGCAAGCATCCAGGGGAAGGTCGTCATTGTTCTCCAGTCCGTCATTTGTGTCCCATCCTCTCTTATTGAGATTTATAGGTCATTCTGGAGTCACTGGAATCACTCATTGATATGTTTTGCATATCGTGATAGGGCCTCACAAATCCCCCAACTTCACCCCTTTATCTCACGGGACGTATATTTATGAAGCACTCTCTATGTGTTAGCAAGGTTGAAGGTATCAAGATGAACAAGAACTAGAAACCCAGCTTGCTAGGAAGCCACATGGAAAACTGACTGAGAGAGTGATTACAATATAACAAGTAACATAAGAGAGGTGTGTGAAAAATGTGATGAATGCACAGAAAACCAAATGCTTACATCTGCTTGAGAAGCAGTAGAAATGTAAGATTGCATAGGCCATAAGAGGTTTCCAAGAGGAGAAAATATTTTATCCTGCTTAAATTGGAAGAGTAAAAAACTCTGAAGATCAAGAGGTGGGGAAAAGACTTTCTAGGAAGTGGGAATTATGTGTATAAAAGCACTTGCATTCATGAATTTGAATGCCCAATGAATAAGTCCAAAAATATACAATGTGTTTATGAAAATAAAGAGAAAGATGCTTCAGCTGCGACAGTTGAAAAAGAATTCATGGAGGCAGTGAGGCTTTCCCGCGAACACCAAAATGGTCCGATCTGAGGGGCAAGGTACTCCCGGAAGGAAGAACCTGCACAAACAGATGCATGGCACTGGATCTTATACGCCTCATGCAACACGTGAATCTACTGGATTAACTCAGCCATGAGAAGGCAGCAGTAAAATAGAGACCAAGGTGCCTAAGAAAATACTGTACGCATGCTGGGGGTCATGTATGCCTACTTTAAAAAAAAAAAAGGGGGCTGAAACAATCACATTAAATCATTATTTTAGGTCAGGCACCATTTAGTGATTCTTTATAGAAAACACAGACAGGTGAATTAGGAACACACCCGCAAGAGAGCACAGGATTAATTAGTCCTGCAGACAAGAAGGCTATTGTAGAAGGCTGTTAGAGAGCTGCAAAATTACCATATTCCAGGTGTGAAGAGAGGAACAGCTCAGTGAGGTTGGTTCCAGTGGGAATAAAAATAAAGCACAGGTATTCAAGGCATTTGGAAGACTGTCTTATGAAACATGATTTTATTTAGGTTAGGATGACATACAGGAATACTGTTAGCGTTTTGAGACTGGGTAAATAGGAGAATGAAAAGGACAGGGAAAGCAGGAAGATGAGAGGCGATGGGACAGGGAATAACATTATTATGTGTCAACTGTATTTCTAGTATTTACCTATCAAGTTTATATTTAGCTCATCAATCCTTATAAAAACCCTATAAAATAAAAATTATTCTTCTACACTAAAAAATCACAAATCAGGGAGATTTCGCAAATTGCCCAAGAGCCCAGGGGTAGTGAACTGGAGAGGCAAAACTGAGTCCTGGATCTACTGCACTTCAGTTTCTGTTTAAGCTCTATTCAATATGCCTCACATGTTCCAGTGAGAAACATAATGTGTTTGGACTTAGACACGGTGAGTTTGAGATGATGGTGGAACATTCAAGAAGAAATATCTAGTGAGCAGTCAGACATAATAGGATCATAGATTTATAGAGCTGGAAGGCATCTTAAAAATCATCTAATCGTAGAGCCAAAATTCTAAAATGAGATTATAGCTGGGGTTATCCATTTGGGAAAAATTCACATATTAGAAAATGAATGAAGTCACCATATGAGAGAAAATATGCAGTAGAAGGTTAACGATTGTCCTTTGGGTGTGCCCACCTTTCTGGGGTGGGGAGAAGAAAAGAGATTACTAATAGGACAGGACAGGGGCTTCCTGAAAAGGGGAAGAGACAGTGAGGTGCCTCCCACATCCAGAAGGCAGATTGAGGAGCAGGTATCAAAAATGTTAAATGGCTCCAATAAGTCAGAGAAAATGAGGCAACTGTCTGTGGTGGATAGAAGTGTGTTGGTTGCCGTAGAGAGAACCTGTCAAAGAAATCAGGAAAATAATATAAGGAGACAAATACCAGGGGTCAGAAAGATTGCTTGGGGTTTCTTTATTTGACTAGATCTTAGAAAATAAAACAGGACTCATGAGGAGACATATAAAGTGGGAATTCTGTGAATATATAGCTTGGTTATAGTCTGCTATAGTTTAAAGACAGAACATCACAAGTTACAAAATAGCATAGGCTTTTGGTTTACTGAGATGAAAACTGTTGACAGCTATTATAATTCAGAACAATCTTTATAGCTTTGTGCAAGCTTTCATTAGTGGCTACAATCAAGGGTCTCTGATAGGTGCCACACAAATAATAATAACAGTAAGTTAGGAACATTACCAAATTGGTTTTACTAAAATATATAGGTGGTTATACTCAAAGAAGCTATTTCACAGAACTGAAAAGTGATTGCTCAGATTTGTGACACATCATTTAAAAAACTATGGTTTCCCATAGGAGACCGTTGCCAAAAATAAAAGCCTTAGTTACATAGAGGTGCACCTGATTGAATATCAGTGGAAGGAGAGGAATTAGAGCCGAGTCCAAGCTGTGCAGCTCTCTGGCTGACATTGATCATGTGCAGTGGACAGCATCTACCTGGACCACACGCTGTGCCTTCTCCTCCACTCCCTCTTCCACCATAACAATTAACTTACCAATGAGCCACGAATGCACCCCACCACCAAATGCCAGGTATCTTCATATAAGACATGGCATAAGACCTCTTCTTAAATGGACTGTGTCATTCTCTGCAGAACAGAATGGTGGATGCCACTTGCTAGCAATGTCTAAAATCCGGGGAACTGATAAGCTCTGCATCTCTATGGGCTGCAAAACACAATATGGGTCCTTACTAGAAAGGAGCTAGCATGTTCAAGTGTTCAGTCATCTAAAACCACATCTTGCCAATCACCATTCTCTTTGGGTGACTGAGTTAATTTCTGCCCGTGGTTAAACATGCTGTTTATCCTACTTTAGCTGGAGGTCAAGAGACACAGAAAGAAAACACGATTCATTCCCCAATAATATCACCTACTTCACATGACATCAATTAATTCCCCAATAATATCACCTACTTCACATGACATCATAGTTTATATTATTAATATTTTGTGAATGACACCTTGGACTGAGCTATGCAGAAAATGAAGTTGGTATTTGGGGTAAAAGGGCTTTCTCAAATATTAAAAAAATAATTTTTACTGTCTTTGTGCTACAGTTGAAAATATACAACTTCAGCTGTCACCTGCAATAAAGAATTTTTTTCTCTTTGGAGGTAGCATATAAAATATTCATCATCTTGGAAGCATTAATTTCAAAATAGAGCAAACTCGTGGTAGAAAATCAAACAGTAGGGAAAACAGTAACAAGAAAAATAAATTTCTCTTGGCATGTAACATTTCCCCTCCCTGAGTCCTCATTCCCCCTATCCAGTTAACCACTTCATCGTTTCTCCTGTATCCTTTCAGAAATGTCTTGTGTAGATACATGTCCCACGAGACAGAAACACACACACACAAACACACAATTTCCTTTGCCTTCATTATACAAACACCATTATAATATACATACTTTTCCACTAGCTTTTTTCAATTGTCATGCCTCTTTACCCTCTTTCCATAATAAGTATAGGGCTATCACATTCCTATAAGGGCTACAAAGTATTCCATTGTATGGATTAGCGTAATTTACATAACTAGTCCCATATCAATAAAGCTTTCAAAATTAACTTACTATAAAACTATTTTTGTTATTTGTAAGCATTTATTATTTCTATTTTATTTTTTATTATAAACATTTACTATTCTCTAATTATCAGTCGTTAAATAACAAGCCTCATGAACCTTAGGAACTTGAACAACAACCATGCTACTGTGGGCATGGACTCTGTGGGTGTGGAATTTGGCCTGGGTGGGGGCGGCTTGCCCCTGTTCTATGATGCCTGGGGCCTCAGCTGGGAAGTCTCAAATGACTGGGAATGACAGGGCTTGCAGTGTGCACAATGGCTTCTTCATTCCTTATCTGACACCTTGGCAGCGACCGTGAGAAGGACCAGCTCCAGCTGGGGGCCTCTCCAGCATGTGGTCTCTGGGTAATCCGAGTTTTCAGGCAGGTGGCTCCTCCAGGGCCTGCCCAATCCAGCTAGGCCAAAGCTGCCTGGCCTTTTCTGACCCAGCCTGAGTCAGGCAGAGTCACTTCTGCCACATTCCATTGGTTATGAGCAAGTCATGAGTCCATACCGGGTTCAGGAAAAGGGGGCCCAGACTCCTCCCTGTGCTGGGGGAGTCGTGGCCAGCTGGTAGAAGACCGAAGAGTGTATGAGATGAGATGTCCCTGCAGCATCTTTGGAAATGAAAATTGCCACAACTGTTTTAAAAGCCAGTGCCCCTGCCTCTGTCCTCTGACCTTGAGTGTTTCCTGACTTCTTGCATATACATCCCAGAACGCCATCGTGCCCCGCTCGCAGAATGCCAGTGGCTCACTACAGTGGAAAGAGCACTAGCCCCATGGAGAGCACATTGGATTCAAGCCACTGAGCATCTCAGAGCCCCAGTTTTATCATTAAAAAGAGTAGATTAAACTAAATTAGGTACAAGCCTCTGCTCACTTACAGAATTTTATCATTCTAAGACCCTACCTGTATAGTCATGCACCATATAACAACATTTAAGTTACTGACAGACCACAAATACAATGGTGGTCTCGTAGGACCATAATACCATATTTTTACCTCATCTATGTTTAGATACACAAATACCACTGTATTACAGCTGCCTCCAGCACTCAGTACAGTAACACTAGCCTAGGAGCAGTCGGCTCCACCACGGAGCCTAGGTGTGTGGTAGGCTATGCCATCTAGGTTTGTATAACTACACTCTGTGGTGTTCACACACAACCACACCGCCTAATGAAGCATTTCTCAGAATGTGTCCTGGTGTCAAGCAGCACATGACTGTGTTTCATCTTCCAACTCCTTGTTCTGAAAAGGAGGAACAAGAAATAAAATGGATTGAATGCATACCCAGTTTCCCAAGCTATTTTGCACTCACCCCGAAGATGGGGCCTGACCGAGTACAATGAACAACATCGCACAGCCTGAGTGTGACTCCAGCCCGGCCACCTAGTACAATAGGCACGTTTCTAAACTTAGGAATGAGGATGATGATACCCATTTGGGAGTATCTAAACAAGAAAATAGGGGTACTAAAATTTCATTTTATAGAACGATCACTTTTTGCTTCCTTTTCAGAGCAAGGGATTGAAATATGAGAGAAACAGGTAGGATTGATGTAATCAGAAATGGTTTAAGAGAGTGTCAAAAACATAAGGGATCGGCAGATTCACAGCTCCCTGTCCGCGCTGCGGCACCTCTGCCAGATCTTCTACTACGCTTAGCTTTCTATCTTACTCTGCCTAAGCTGTGCCATGTGAAATATATTTCCTATCCCAGAGAGAATTTCTCTCAGGGATTTATACATAGCATAGGGAAAGTTGAGGCCAGGCCAAGGGCTGGTCTCATGACTGTCTAGATTTTGTTGCTTGTAAGACCAGCATGGAATGTCCTTTTCCATTTACAGTAGGATTTGGGAGAGGCTTGGAGGGGCATGCGGCCTTTGGATGAGAGTGTGGAAGAGAAATTACTGGCAAAGAGTGAAGGGGGAATAAAGAGAAGAGGGGAGGCACAAGGAAAAGCAGGGTGTAGGAGCTGATGTATCTGGATGTAGACAGCCTGGTTTGACGTTCAGTTCCCTTTCTGTCACTAAGATGGCCAAGATCTGGGTGGGACGTCTCACCCCATACCACAAGGCACATGGGCCCAACCAGGGTCCTTTGGGACAGACAGGAATCATTCCAGGCTGCACGGCCTAGAATTTATTATTTAGGTCAGACAGAGTGGAATGGATAACTTCCTCTAGAGATCAGAGGCTGTGCGCTGTCTCTGATGTGTGACAAATTGAAGGAAGCACAGCCATGCCTTCAGCATGCTCGGTGAGGGATGCTCATGGAGAAGGAACGTGAAGGAGCCTGTGCCTGCCTTACTTTCCATTTGTTTCAGTTTCTCCCCCCACGCATCTGCTGTCCTTGCAAAGCAGGAAAAGGGAAAGGAAATGTCATTTCTCTGGAGATGTAACAAAAGGTTATTTGCTTCGGAAAAAGCTCTGTCTTAAATAAATGAAAGTTGTCTGTATTGTTCGTTTGTTTGTTTGGCTTTTTTTTGGCTCTTTCTCAGTCTCCCCATAAATCACTGAAAATCACCTTACCATTCCCTGAATTTGTAGGAATCTCTTGCTGCTGTGTAAAGGCATAAGAATGGGCCAAGGCAAACATCTCTAATGTCTTCTTTCAAAACCAAAATGCATTTTAATAATTTAAAGCCACTGCTCTTTCAGTCACTTGATAAATTATTCACAAATTTTACAACAAAAAAAAAAAAGAAAAAAAAAATCTGTTCCCTTTACAAGTTCTGGAACATTAAATCATGTCAGAATAGATGAAAAGGACAAATCAGCCCTAAACTCTTAGAAATCATGCCATTTACTTCTTTATCTGAGAGCAGTGCCACAGTTTACAGGGCACTTGGCAGATGATTTTTCAGGACTTATGTCCAGGTACAGTGAGAGAATGACACTGTAGGAATGAAAGAAGGTGGCTTTTGGGCAATGTATAGAGAACATCTAACTGTTTGCCTCAGGACTGCAACTTTAAGTGATATTTTAAAGAGATCTCAAGGACAGACAAAGAAAGCTGATTTGCTTAAGGTAACTCTAGTTAATTCTGGGCAAGGGAGGAAGTCGGAATAATGGTGGCTCCTTCTGTTCTTACGTTAAAACACCCCTTACATCCTCCTACCAAGCACGGGCAAGTGCTACAAAGTTGCTTTCTGTTCAAATGTCCATGGGACATAACCTTCTGGAGCTTAGCAAGCAGGTACTTCTGACCTCATGGAGTGGAGAACCTTTGCCTAGAAAAGATTCTAAATTTGCATCCACAATGATAACAATGCCCCACCCACATAGTCATGTTGTAGCTGAAGATCTTGGAATATTTACAAGCATCTCTCATCTCATTAGAAAAACATACTCACTGAAAGGTCCAAGTGATTGATAATGAAGGCCAACTGGGCAGAACTATTAGGTTTTCCTTCCTGATATTTCCTACCAGAGATGTCTCCCTCTTACAGCCAGTGCCCAGGGCCTAATTACAATTAATACATTTTGTCATCAGTATTTTGTCTTCCAACTCCATGGTTTACTTTTGTTCTGGATCTAAGAAAGGTAGCAGCATTGTAGAAGAACTCATTAGGATATCACACTTCAATTAGTACAGGGATGAGGTTTGTCTGAATAAATACAGCCCATTCCATTCTAACACAGTGCTGGCATATAGGAGATGTCAATAAATGCTTGCTTCCCGAATGAAAAAGTGAACAGAAATTGCAGAAATACGTCAAAGTTTAATTTATTGTGTGTGTAACACAAGCATAGACACCGTTCAATATGCACCATTTTAATAGGCAGAAATGGGCTATTAGTATTTTTAATTTGAGAGTGGCAAAACCTAAACTAATTTCATATTTTAGGAAAGAGATTCTGGATGAAGCTTCCATCATCATCCGCAAGGCAACTTTTTATCTTTGTGGGGCCTTTGTAATTTTTTTCTACTTGCTATGCCTTCTTCCTTTTATAACCTAAATTTTTCTTTAATGCTCCTGAGATGCCTATTTTCAGGGAAT
Organism: Homo sapiens; assembly: GCF_000001405.40. Lineage (NCBI taxonomy): Eukaryota > Metazoa > Chordata > Mammalia > Primates > Hominidae > Homo > Homo sapiens. Next base: position 132,890,170 of record NC_000011.10, read on the forward strand.
TCTGATGTCAAGGGTGTTCTTGGAAGCTTCTGAGTGTTGGCTAAAATACCTTCTCTTCCACTTCAAAGAAGTCCTATAATGCTAGAACCATCTTCACTGACAATATCTTTCTTCACCCTCCAAATCTCACTGCTCAGCTTCTGGGGGAGTCAAGTTACAAAAGAGCCAACATATGAAAAATCCATTGTTCTTTAATTTTACTTCAACAAGATAGATGCAGACATCCACATCAGCATTTGGAGACCGGAGAAGTGAAGAAGCAGAAGAGAAAAATCACTGAGTTTCTAGAGTATGCTCTTTATTTAGACATGCAACTTTTACACAGAATAATTTAAGGGAGGTTACAAAGATACATACAAAAGAGCAAGATAAAATAAAGATAAGAAAGAAAAATGGGCCAGGCACGGTGGCTCATGCCTGTAATCCCAGCACTTTGGGAGGCCGAGGCAGGCGGATCACGAGGTCAGGAGATCGAGACCATCCTGGCTAATATGGTGAAACCCTGTCTCTACTAAAAAAAAAAAAAAATACAAAAAAATTAGCCAGGCGTGGTGGTGGGCGCCTGTAGTCCCAGCTACTCAGGAGGCTGAGGCAGAAGAATGGCGTGACCCCGGGAAGCAGAGCTTGCAGTGAGCCGAGATCGAGCCACTGCACTCCAGCTTGGGTGACAGAGCGAGACTCCATCTCAAAAAAAAAAAAAAAAAGAAAAAAAAAGAAAAGAAAAATGACCCTATGATGAGAAATACAAGAAACAAAGTCAGAGCTTGATGAGCTCAGCAAAGCACTAACACTCTTTACATCTCCCCTCTCTATTATGAAGTATGCCAACATCATCTTACCTTGTTTGTGTCCGTCCCACATGGTAGTAGTATGCAATTTACAAGCCACATCCAAAGTTATTTACCTTAAGAGAAATCAGCATATGTAATTTAGAACTTTTTTAAAATTAGGTAAGGTAGTTCTAGGTGATTGTTGGTAACTTTTTTGGAAGTCTATATTACAAAAATTATTTTAGGTAAGTTTCCCAAAAGTGTCTGGCTGTCTTGGTTCAAGTGTCAACTTCACTGATAACTATTTTTACATCTTGGGCACACAGCAATTGTTGCTGTTCCTCTCCTACCAGACCCAAGCTCATCCATCTGGTCAGAAAGATTTTTTGAGACATCATAGCAAAAGTAGCCATTTTCCTCCCTTTTCAACCTTTCTTGCCCAGGACTCCGTATTATTTTTCTTAAAATACTTACCAATATTTAAAACTGAGTTTGTTTATGTGCAAATAAACAAATTAGAATATAAACTGGAATATTTAAAATTCAGTTTGCTTATATGCAAATAAACTAGATATGAACTGGAAGATATAAATATATATTTGGAATATATAAGTGTATATTCCAGTTTATATAAACCAGAATATAAACTAGAATATCAACGCCATGAGAGCAAGGCTTTTATCTCTCTTGTTCTCTCTTAGGCCTCCAGTGTCTAGAACATGGCCTGGCACAGAGCAAGTGCTCATTGAAAGTTTGCTGAATTAATGAACAAATGAATGAATGTATAAATATTTTGGATAATATCTTGTCACCTCTAATTTCATTCAAATATTGTCTTTACCTTATATTAGCTGGGTAAATCAGCTGCATGAAAGAAATTCTCTTAACGTCCAGATTTTTCAATTTCCATGTTCCCTGTAAACATCCTCTCTTCATCCCGCCCATCCTCTCCCACCCACACCCCTGCTGCCGTGAATTGTGTACCCTCCTGTCTGAGGGTTCCCCTATACCTGGGCTCCGTTCCCACCCTTGCTTCTCTCCTCAAGGACCCACTGCATGGATTTCCAGCTCCACTCCCTCTGGCTCTTTTCCAACAGTGTTGAAGAATACTAAGTCGATGCAAAGCTACAATATTAAAGTATGAATACTTAAGGACTTCTCCTCCATCGCTTTTAAAAGACAAGAGCCTTTGTTCCAATGTCATCACCTAGAAAGGTCTGTAACTGTGTTGAGTAGCAATGAGGCTGGAGAGCTGGAGAGGCTGGAAATCACTAAATTTACAGCGGAAAAGGCAGACTTCTCCCCTAGAAAATTAGAATAGATCCTAAAGGCATATCCAGGAGACAGAAGAATCAATAACTCATTCTAACTGGGTTTAGAAGAGAGTGTGGGGTGGTTGAGAAGAAAAGGAGAGCTATTTGGAGTGGGGGACAGAAGAAGGGCTTGTAAAATATGGAAAGAAATATAGAGAAAAAATAATTTTAACTACATCGATGTGCATTACAAAGAGAGAGGCCCTTTCTCGCTTTCAAAAGTAAAGTATTCTTGGCCGGGCATGGTGGCTCACGCCTGTAATCCTAGCATTTTGGGAGGCCGAGGCGGGTGGATCATGAGGTCAGGAGTTTGAGGCTAGCCTGGCCAACATGGCAAAACCCCGTCTCTACTAAAAATACAAAAATTAGCTGGGCCTGGTGGTGGGTGCCTCTAATCCCAGCTACTCGGGAGGCTGAGGCAAGAGAATTGCTTGAACCTGGGAGGCAGAGGGTGCGGTGAGCCAAGATCATGCCGTTGCACTCCAGCCTGGGCGACAAGAGCAAGACTCCATCTCAAAAGTAAAGTATTCTTTCCAATAATATGTGTGACTGTTGTTGCAATACTGCTATTTATTGAGTAGAATATAACAAAGAGCAAGAAGCTAAAAGCAACAAAGCCCAGCTTTATCTGGATTACATTCAGATTTTGGCATCCTTGAAAAGCAAAACAAAACAAAGGCCCTTCCTATAGCTATTTTCATGTACTACTCTCCTTCTCACAACTTCTATTATACAAAGGTTGTCCCCACTCACTGTTTATAATTCCTTCCTTCTCACTCACATTTCACCCCTCTGCCATCAACCTTCTACCCCCATTAACCCTTGTTTTTGAAATCGTCAATCATCTTGACTAACTACAGTGGGTGTTTTAGACCCTTCGTTGTCACAGAACTGAACCATTTGGTGGTTCACTTGGACAGGAGCTATAAAAACTCCAGGCCTATGGTTGCAGTGAGCCAAGATCGTGCCGCTGCACTCCAGCCTGGGGGATAGAGCAAGACTCCGTCTCAAAACAAAACAAAACAAAAAACCTCCAGGCCTAATCTTTCCAGCATGGCTAAGCCATCATCCTCGGGAAATACAGACGCTTGACCATGGCTGTGAGAAGTGCAGTTACCGCCCCTGCCCCACCCCGGTGCAGCCCTATTTGCTGCTGCTGGGCACTCAGCTAGCCCATCACCTGTGCTTTTGTTTGGTTCCCTGGGATCATCAAGCTCTGTGTGTAGTCTCCTTGTAGTTAGTTCCTCCATCTAGTCTAGAGGTGAGAAAAAAGTCTGTTCCACAACACCTTCCCTGGGAAGGGTGCAATTCGGAGACCATCAGGAGCTCTCTGAGAAAGAAGCCACTAATGTCTTTCTAATATCAAACTCTCTCTTTGCCAGCCTCTTATGAAGGCTAAAGGTGAGGAGATAGCAATATCGCAAAATCTGTTTTAGCAACTCTTTGCAAGTATTGCCAGTGGTCTGGCACCTTGCTTTGCAATATGGTAATAGCTCCCATTGTTTTGAAGCTTCAGTCAAAATATAGAAAGAATTTCATATTAAACCACAGTTTCCAAAGATGGTGGGCTGTATCTCGTCTCCTGGCTTCCAATAAGCAAGGTGGAGTTATAGGCTGTCTTTACACACTCTTATCAAAGTGCTGCATACTTGTTTCTTGGTCTGGTTGTCTACATTAAATTGAAAACTTCTAGAAGCTAAAGATGCGTCTTTACATCACACACACACACAAGCACATGCCACACCACAATTTACTCCACTACTCTTGTTCCTTCCATCATGCTTCTAGTCTTTTCTTCTCTAAATAACCAGATTTCTTGTAAGAATTATAATGTTTGCCTCTACTTTTCTACCTCCCATTCAGTCCTCAGTCTACTCATTTAAGTCTGGTCTCATCCTTGCCTGAAATACTTTTCATTAATGTCATCAATCATCTTGTTACACTAGGTCTTTTATCAGTCATTATACCTGACTTACAAGCAAGCACTTGGTTCTTTGGACTATTTCCTCCTTCTTGAAATAGTATTCTTGAGCTTCTTATATTTAAAAACAACCTTGCTCTCCAGCTAACTTTCTGGCTGATTCTTATGTTTCATTCATCCAAGCTAAAGCTACTAAGTATTAAAGATCTCCAAGACTCTGTCTAAGGCACTGTCTTCTTAATTTCTTCTTTATCCTCCATAGAGCTAATCCACACCCATGACTTCAGGGGCCCACACCACTTAAGAGCCTAGAGCTCTTCTGAGCAGCAGAACTTGTGATGGTTAATTTTACGTATCCACCTACTGGATTAAGGAGTACCTACAGAACTGGAAAGCATTATAGTGGGATGTGTCTGTAAGGGAGTTTCCAGAGGAGATTGGCATGTGAGTCTGAGTAGACCAAGTGGAGAAGATCCACCCTCAGTGTGCTTGGCACCATCTCATAGGCTGGGGGCCCAGACAGAACAAAACAGGCAAGGCAAATAGGTTTCTTTCCTGGAGCTTGGATACACTCTTATCCTGCCCTTGGTCAGCAGAACTCCAGGCTCGCTGGCCTTTGGACTCTAGGACTTACACCAGCAACCCCCACTCCTACCCCAGGTTTTCAGGCCCTGGAACTTGGCCTGAACAACACTACTGGCATTCCAGGATCCCCAGCATGTAGATGGCTGTCACAGGACTTCTCAGCCTCAGTAATCAGGTGAGTCAATTCCCCTAATAAATCCCCTCACATATATCTATATATCTATAAATAGCTTGTTGGTTCTGTCTTTCTGAAGAACACTGACTAGTGCAGATTTTAGTACCAACAGTGGTTCTAGAGGTTTTCATAATTGGTTTGGGGTTTCTAGAATTGGCTATCTAATCTGGTTAAATCTAAAAATGCCAAAGACTCTACTTCTAACAGCACAGAGAGCACTGAACTCTCTAGTGCAAACTGCTCATAGAGATACATAAAATAGGTACATTTGGTACTTTTAATTCACCACTTATAAGAGACAAGAAACTTGGTGACTTCTATATATGATACCCTTAACATTTGTGCAGAACCAACGAATATAATGACTTTGGTTGGTTGCTCCTAATGTCAGTGGACAAAGGGATGAAGGAAAAGAATGAGTTCAGGTATTCCATTTCCTGCCCCAGCTCTACATAAATAGCTGAAGAGCTTCTAAGTGTGCCCTGAGTCTGAATCTCCTCCCATGTAGCCACAGGTCTGGGATTGCTGAAAATCAAACAAGAGCGCTTATCATATGACTGACTGAATCACAGCAAAAGCTGAACTCTCAGCTCCGCAGGCGTCTGTGGTTAAAGTGAGGCCATTGGTTGAGACAGAATGGGATCTGTAAGTTGAGATGGGGATGTGTGGGAGGGCTCTGATGAGGCTGGAGACACTGAGCTATGAAATTCTGATGAGTGTTATTTGCTAGCAGAAGTGGTTCCCACCCACAATAGTATAGGGTTTTCCATCTCTGTCTGAAGGAGTTAACCCTGCATTGTCTAAGAAAATGGTAACAGCCTCCATGAGGCAGTTGCCAAGCAAGACAATGCTGAGTCTCCTCAGAATCCACCCCCCCTGCCCCTCTTTGCTTCTGGACCTGTAACTAGACTTGAGTCCCAGCAGGCCCCTAGAGGTGAGGTTCAAAGTGTGATTCAGGAGGAGGTGTGCCATGTTCCAAAAGAACTACTTCAGTTTTCTAATTTATACAAGCAGAAGTCTGGGGAATGCTTGTGGGAATGCATACTGAGAGTGTGGGAATATGGTGGAAGAAATATAAAGTTGGATCAGGCCAAATTTACTTATATGGACCCTCAGAGCCGAGGTCCTCAATTTAACTTTGCAGCTCAGGGAGTGAGTTTGTTTGATTGAGTGGTAAAACATGGATCAAAAAACATGAGCCACTGTGAGTGAGCTGGAGATGCCTGATCTCCCTTGGGCTAACACAGAGGAAGGGATTCAAAGGCTTAGGGAGATTGGAAAGCTACAGTGGATTTGTCACTTAAACCCTACTCGGACACACCAGGAGGGTCCAGAAGACAGACTTTTCATCAATACTTTGAACAATGGATTTGTGAGGGGAGCCCCAGCACCCCTGAAGAGCTCTGTGATTGCTCTTCTCTGTAGACCAGACCTTACAATGGGAGCTGCTGTTATTCAGTTGGAAAACTTAAATGCAATGGGAGTAATTGGATCCCAAGGTGATAGGGACCAAGTGACGGCACTCAACCGTCAAAGACAAGTTGAATGCAGTTTTCAAAATGGTACCTGGTATGCACCTACTAAACTGGCAAATACCTTTTTCTCCATTTGTGTTCATAAGGCCCACCTGAGGCACTCTGCCTTCAGCTGGCAAGGCCAGCAATACACCCTCACTGTCTTACATCAGAGATATATCAACTCGCCAGCTTTATGTCACAATCCAGTTTGCGGGAATCTTCACTGCCTTTCCCTTCCATAAGATTTCATACTGTTCTATTGATAACCTTATGCTGATCAGACCTCATGACCAAGAAGTAGAAACTACTGTGGACTTATGGGTAAGGCGTTTGCATATCAGAGCACGGGAGATAATCCAATTAAAATTCAAGTGCCTTTTACCTTGGTGAAATTTCTAAGAGTCCAATGGTGTGGGGCATGTCAAGATATTCCTTCTAAGATGAAGGATATGTTGTGTATCTGGCTCGTCCTACAACCAAGAAAGAGATACCATGCCTAGTGGGCCTATTTGAATTTTGCAGGCAACACATTCCTCACTTGGGTGTCTTACTCTGGCCCATTTGTTGAGGGTCCCAAAAGATTGCTAGTTTTGAGTGGAGTCCAGAACAGAAGGCTCTACAGCAAGTCCCAGCTGCCATGCAAGCTGCTCTTCCTCTTGGGCCATATGACCCAGCAGATCCAATGATATCCAAGATGTCAGTGGCAGATAGCGATGCTGTTTGGAGCTTTTGGCAGGGTGCTGTAGAAGAATCACAGCAGAAGTTCTTAGGATTTTGGAGCAAGGCTCTGCCATCATCTGTAGATAACTACTCTTTTGAGAGAGCTCTTGGCCAGCTACTGGGCCTTAATAGAAACTGAACGCTTGACCATGGGCCACCAATTACCAGGTGACCGGAGCTGCCCATCATGAACTGGGTGTCATCTGACCTACCAAGCCAGGAAGGGCATGCACAGCAGCAGTCCCTCATCAAATAATGGACCAGCACAGGCCCTGGAGGTACAAAGAAGTTACATGAAGAAATGCCCCAAATGTCCTTGGTGTCTACTCCTATCACACTGCCTTCTCTCCCACCACCTGCACCTATGGCCTTATGGGGAGTCCTCATGATCAGCCGACAGAGGAAGAGAAAAATCGGGCTTTGTGGACAAATGGTTCTGTATGATACAGAGGCACCAGCTAAAAGTGGACAGCTGCAGCACCTCAGCCCCTTTCTGGAAGATCCTTTAATGACAGTGGTAAAGGAAAATCTCAAGCGGCAGAATTTGGGGCAGTGCACCTGGTTGTGCACTTTGCTTAGAGGAAAAATGGCCAGATGTGTGATTAGGTACTGATTCACAGGCTGGATGGTCAGGGACTTGAAAGGAACATGATTAGAAAATTGGTGGCAAAAACATTGAGAGAATAGATATGTGGATAGATCTCTCTGAGTCGGCAAAGGATGTGAAGTTATTTGTTTCTCATGTAAATGCTCACCCAAAGATGAGCTCCACAGAGGAGTATGTTAATATTCAGGAGGGTAGGATGACCCATTCTGTGAATACCAGTCAATCTCTTTTCCCAGTCATCCCTGTCATTGCCCAGTGGGCTCAGGAACAAAGTGGCTATGGTGGTAGGGATGGAGGTTGTGCACGGGTTCAGCAGCATGGCTTCTACTCACCAAGGCTAAGCTAGCTACAACCACCACTGAGTGCTCAGTTGGCCTGTTGCAGAGACCAACGCTGAAACCCTGACATGACATCATTCCCCAGGGCAATCAGCCAGCTACGTGGTGGCAAGTTGATTACATTGGATGGCTTCCATCATGGAAGAGGCAGCATTTTGTCCTTTCTGGAATAGACATTTCCTCTGGACATGGGTTTGCCTTCCCTCCATGCAATGCTTCTGCCAATACTACCATCTGTGGACTCACAAAATGCCTTATCCACGCTCATGGTATTTCACACAGTGTATCTACTAAGGAACTCACCTGACAGCCAAAGAAGTACAGCACTGGGCCCAAGTTCATGGGATCCACTAATCTTACCATGCGTCCCACCATTCTGAAGCAACAAGCTTGACAGAACAATAAAATGGCCTTTTGAAGTTGCAGTTACAGCACCAGCTAACGTTGCAGGACTGGGGCAAGGTTTTCCAGAAGGCTGTATGTGCTCTGAATCAGCATCCAATATATGATCCTGTTTTTCCCATAGTCAGGATACATGGAGTCAGGAATCACAGAGTGGGAGTGTCACCACTCACCAATACCCCTAGTGACCCACTAGCAAAGGTTTTGCTTCCTTTTCCCATGATTTTATGCTCTGCTGACCTAGAGGTCTTAGTTCCAGAGAGAGTAATGTTTCCATCAGGAGACACAACAATGATTCCATTGAACTGGAAGTTTAGACTGCCCCCCCCACCCCCGCAGCCACTTTGGAGGCCTCATGCTTCTGAGTCAACTGGCTATGTTATGGTGCTGACTGGGTGACTGATCCGGATCAGGAAGGGGAAACTGGATTACTACTCCACTGGATGTAAGGAAGACTATGCCTGGAATACAGGAGATCCCTTAGGGTGTCTCTTAGTATTACCATGCCCCATGATCAAGGTCAATGGGAAACTACCACAACCCAATCCAGGGAGGACTACTAATGACCCAGATTCCTCAGGAATAAAGGTTCAGGTCACCCCACCAGGTAATGAACCATGACCAGCTGAGGTGCTTGCTGCAGGTAAAATAATACAGAATGGGTAGTGGAAGGCAGTTATAAATACCAGCTGTGGCCATGTGACTAGTTACAGAAACAAGGACAGTAATTGTCATGAGTATTTTCTTCCTATCTTGTTAAGGATATGTTTTGGTGTACATATTATATACATGTTATAAATATGTTAAGCAAATATCTTTGGTTTTGCTCATCTCTTATCCCTTTATTATGTATAATAAGATTTTTTGACTTTATATCAGTATATATGTGTTGTTAATTTTACATCATAGTGTTTCAGTTATCATCCAAACACTTTACCTTCTCTTCTAGGGAAGAGATTAGTGCATTTTCAGTTGTATGCAGATAGTTTCACCACGTTAGGTGGAACTATTTCCTTGTTACTGTCTTCATTTGGAGGTTAAGTATGGTTTAATGGGATGCAAACAGGTGCCAAGTTGACAAAGGTGGACCTGTGATGATTAACTTTAGGTGTCAATTTGACTGGATTAAGGAATACCTAGAGAATTGATAAAGCATTATTTTGGGGTGTGTCTGTAGGGGATTTCCAGAGGAGACTGGCATGTGAGTCTAAGTGGACTCGGTGGGGAAGATCTGCCCTCACTGTATGTGGGCACCATCCCATAGGCTGGGACCTAGACAGAACAAAAAAGAGGCAAGGCAAATAGGTTTCTTTCCTGGAGCTCGGATACACTCTTCTCCTGCCCTTGGTCAGCAGAACTCCAGGCTCTCTCGCCTGTGGATTCTAGGACTTAGCCCAGCAACCCCCACTCCCACCCCAGGATCTCAGGCCCTGGAACTTGGACTGAGCAACACTACTGGCATTCCAGGGTCCCCCATATGTAGACGGCTGTCACGGGACTTCTCAGATTCCATAATCAGGTGAGCCAATTCCCTTAATAAATCTCCTCCCATTGATTTTTATGTCTCTAGAGAACCCTGAGTAATACAGACCTGTACAACTTGCATTCTTTTTATCAGCTCTTAACTGCAAAGCAATTCCAAGTAGCCATGCCCACAGCAAGTTCATAATGGACTTATTATAGGCTCATAATGGGGTCTTATTTCTGTACTTTCTATTTCGATGAATGTTCCACCAGCCATTCAATTAGGCCAGTCAAAAAATGGGGTGTCATCCTTGATATCACTCTTTTCTTCCTCTGATATGCAGTCTATCACCAAGTCTCAATGATTAAGGGTCTTTCAAATCTGTGTGTGTTTCTCCATTTCCACCCATCACTGTAGCCTAAACCACCATCATCTCTCATCTCAACTCTCGCCTTGCATCCCAAAGGGTCTCCAGGTGCACTCAGGCCCACTGATACGCATTTCTTCCCATTGCAGCCAAAATTATCTTTAAACAAACAAACAAAACATTTTTCATGTCATCATTCTCCCCTCAGCCCAGCCTCACTCATATCTTCTATTGTTTTAATAGAAATGAAGCTCCTAAATGTGCCTTACAGACTTGGCACTGTCTCCGCACGCTGTGACCTCCAGCTCCATTGGCTTGCTTTTCTCCTTCCTGCCCTATGGGCTCTGCACATTCTGTTCCTTCTCTATGAAACCCTCCCTAGCCAAACTAACTCCAGCTCCTTCATGTCTACAGTCAGAGAAGCCTGCTCTGGCATTTTTAACTAGTCCAAATCTTCCTCTCAAATTGGCAACAGGCAGTTCTAGGTGGCTCTCCATTCAATCCACTAGCGCCCTTGCCATCTCACTTCAGTTTGTGTTATTATTTAAAGTCTATCTCCGGGGCCGGGTGCAGTGACTCATGCCTGTAATCTCAGCACTTTGGGATGCCAAGGCAGGCAGGAGTTCGAGACCAGCCTGGCCAACATATAGTGAAACCCCATCTCTACTAAAAATACAAAAATTAGCTGGGCAAGGTGGTGCACACCTGTAGCCCCAGCTACTTGGGAAGCTGAGGCAGGAGAATCACTTGAACCCGGGAGGCGGAGGTTACAGGGAGCCACCATCATGCCACTGCACTCCAGCCTGGGTGACACAGCAAGACTCTGTCTCTCAAAAAATAAATAAATAAATAATAAATAATAAATAAATAAAGTCTATCTCCAGTGTTTGCTCCTTATCATAGGCTCAGTGTGCAGTATAGTGCCTCACATCCAGGACAAGCTAAATAAACACCAGCTAAATAATTAAAATCTCACCATAATAAATCACCAATGAACAACACAGTGTCCTTTTAAACTGAATAAATAATTGATTGAGTCCTCAGTTTTCTAAAGCGTGCAATGGGAAAATAACTGTTTCACAAAGTTCTTCTAAAGATCAGATGAATAGCCCAGCGTTGCACTTGTCATGTAACAGACTCTCAATCACGGTTTGCTTCCTTTATTTCTCTGCAAAATATACACAGACGATGACATGGAGGCAGGATGTGATGTACAATTAGCTATGGCTCAAAATAAGGGCAACAAATTTGGGGTGCAGGTTCCCCACTAACATGTCACACTGGCCACTCCATTTTCCCCAGGCACCGTGCTTCTCCGAGATGGGCACGGTGCGTCCTCAGCTTTTCACCTTGCCTCTCTATATTTCTCTGCGACAGCAGTAGAATCATCAGTAGTAGTGAAAGAGAAAAGATAAAGAGGCATAAAGGAAAAAGAAATGACAGTTTTCAGGCATGCCAAGTAGATTACTCAAATGCATCTTGATTTACACGTGACAGATGTCTTCCTTAAAAATATATGTAAACTGAATTGTACTTGGAATTCACAAGGGAATCTTGGTACTTAAAGAAATCCTCTACTGAATCCTTTTGGAATAAGAACCACCAACAGGATGATGAACTCCCCCCACCACCGGTGTTTGCGTCATGGGGCATTATGTAATTCCTTTTTACTCCAGCATAAGGTAAATGTATGTATGGCTTATGTAAATGAAGATACTTCTAATGTTAATTTCTGATGAAAAACCGTCCAGTGGGAGGCCAGATCAGAGGAAATGGTCAATAAATCAAGCTCGGGGTCCAGGAATTTATGGATTATAGCTGGTTGGAGCTTTCCTGAGGAACCCCAACTTTCTTCATTGCAAACTGAGGCTGAATGGCTGTAGGGTGCTGAATTCACACAAGAAGTTGTTAGCCCGATGGGGATGGGGCTCAAGTAGTCAGGGCTCTTGGGAATGAGCACAGTTAATAGTGCAATTAGCTTGGAGGAAGTGAAAATAAAAAACTTCCTGAGGGCTTCTGTGAGTAAGACACCCTGTGTGACGTGCTCAGCATAGTGTCTGGCACATGCTGGGTGTGCACGGGTGTGATTTCTGTGACTTGGCTGTTGAGCGGCCTGCAGTGCACATTGCCCCAACCAAAGGACTCAGGCCAGAAAACTATGCTGACGATCTCATCAGGGATGGGGGAGAAGAAAAACAAGAATTCAGAAGGAAATTCAGATATTTTACTGGGCTTGTTGGGGCTCAGAAAATGACAACCCAGAAGTCTGGTGCTTCTGCATGCTTTAACAAGAAGACTTTAGAAGCAGCCTCATAATCAGGACTTTCTGACCTCTTCTGCCCTCACCCCTGGCACAGGGAGGGGCTCTCTCTTGAATTTCCTTATCTGATTAAGGAAACTTCTTTCCACAAGAAAAACAGTGGTCTCAAGACTTGCTCCCTAGGAATCTCATCAAATAACCAGGAAAGAATCAAGGAGACTAAAAGTTGTCACCACACCCAGATAGACTTTTCATCTATTCTCATAAAGGCAACTCCGAGAAATTACCTGGGAGACTTTATCTGCATAATAAGACAACCTTTGTTTGCAGTGAAGTTCTGCCCTCACCTTTGCACCACCTCCCCCAGAGCCCAGAGGAACTTTGCTCTAGGCAATTGTTTCTTGGGCTCATTCATTTCCCCTGAAAACCATTTCCTACCCCTCATACTTGTCTACATCCCCCATTTACCTCTCTTTCATTTAAGCCTCAACTATCTGGCCCTTCTTTGAGTCTCATATTATGGGACTTCTGTGTCCATAGCCTGTTGATAAATTTGTTATGGCATTTTTTTCCTATTAATCTGTCTATAATCAGTCATTTCCACAAAGCTACAAAGAGGGCAGAAGGGAAGCTTTTCCTCCACCCTCACAGGCTAAAGGTTTCCCATATGTGACCAAGGACAGGAGGTTGTTTTATAATATTTATGCCATAAACTAGACATGGCTGAGATCTATAACTACACTGAGGAGTTACTATTTCTCTCTTATTTATCAAATTCCCTGAGAAGCCAGACATTACTGTTGTAAACCAAAAATAAAATTCTAAGCTCCCCAACTTTCTGAATGGAACCCTTCTCTCATTCAAGGCCATTCCAAAGTTAACCTGAAAAACTACTAATAGTTCAGGCTATGATGGGAATTGGGCGTTGGACATGCCTCATTATACCCTCCTCCCTTTTGGAATTCAGGCCCAGCTCAGGAGTTCACAACCAGCCTGGGCAACATAGTGAGACCTTATCTCTATAAAAATAAGTAAATAAATAGAAAAATAAATACACAAATAAAAAAATAAGAGAGAAAGAAGGGGTCAGTCCATCATCACTCTCCCAGCCAAAGTTAAAATAGTGGAACCCTAGAACAACAAAGCAGGAAACACCGTTGGGAATGCTCCTCACTAACCTTTCCCCTCACTGCTATTCTACCTTCTCCCTCTGTTATTTAAGGGGAAAAAAATGAGTGTTTGCATGTGCACGTGTGTGTAGTTTTCATTGGTAATGGTTGACGAAATTGGCGTTAAATTGTAGTTCAAAGATTTGTCTTTGATAGATGGCATTCTCTATCTGAAATCAGAAATCAGCTATATGGCTTCAAGGAAACATATTATCTTATAACCCCTGAATGTCAATATATAATTCTAGGTGACTGGATCAATGATGCCTGGTGAGTCTTGAAAGTTTTGCCATGGGCTGGCAAACAAAGATTGGTCCTAAAGTGTGGGGGAAAAGGGGAGAGGAGAAGAGATGGACTCACACTCAGCTGGAAAAAATCTTGGACACCCTTTTTTGAGCTTATTGGTTGTCAATCTACTGATTCAGGAAACACTTTTCACCTATTTGGCCATTAATACAGCACAAACAACACACAGAGGAGAATGCATTTCTATCTAATAGAGCAACAGATGCCAGGAGCTGCCCAGCACTCATCCATGCCCAACTTCCTCACTCCAACAAATTGTAAAATCATAATAAAAAAATCTAAATAACAACAGCAGCAGCTAAATTATTTCTCCATCTCAATTGATTTAGATGGAATGTCATCTTGACAGATCTATTCTGATCGAGTTGTCTAATTGAATAGAGTTCTCATTGCTCTTGAATTTGTGACCTCAGACTGCTGTGAAATAAATGCAATTTGGAGAATTGTTTCCAAACAACAACTGCTACTCCTCTGGGAACTGACTATTGCTTCTAGTTTTTGAAATTGTTGGTGAACCACCTACTGACTAAGCTATTAAGACTAGGTGTTTTGTTTAGATTCCAGGCTAATGGTTCTATAAATTCAAAAGCAAGAAATATCGCAGAAGCCTGCAGATGGCCGTGCACTTAAGAGGAGACACCCAAGAGGCTGCTGGCCAGGCTCCTCAGATCCTGACCTAGTTAGCAGCCCGCACCCTGGGCAGTCTGAGTGGTGGTAATTAGAGCTGTGTGTGGAAAAACCTGCCTAATGAAACTGCTTCAGAGGTCGTGAGTTTGTTTGAATTGGGATTTTTCTCTGGACCTAAAACTAAGACTGAGCTTGCCTCAATGTTCAACAATAAAACGAAATGTTTCAGAGACCCCACAGAGTTGCAGTTGCATTCAGAACCCAGTGTACATGCTCAGTGACACTGGGATCCCTTAAGAACTTCAGCTACTTCTTGGACATGCATTTATTTCACCGTAGTGCTAAACACTAAGAAGTCCAAATGGACCATCTCCTTCAGTTTACACAACACTACTGTGGAGGTACTGACAATTACATACCCATTTTATAATTAATGAGGCTCAGCTGTGTTATAGAACTTGCCCAGTGTCTATCTCACAGATCAAGGGACAGAGCTGGGACTAGAAAGCAGTTCTTTTTTTTTTTTTTTTTTTTTTTTTGACAGAGTTTCACTCTTGTTTCCCAGGCTGGAGTGCAGTGGCATGATCTTGGCTCACTGCAATCTCCGCCTCCCAGATTCAAGCAATTCTCATGCCTCAGCCTCCAGAGTAGCTGGGATTACAGGCACCTGCCACCACGTCCGGCTAATTTTTTGTATTTTTGGTAGAGACAGGGTTTCATCATGTTGGCCAGGATGGTCTCAAACTCCTGACCTCAGGTGATTCACCTGCCTCGGCCTCCCAAAGTGCTGGGATTACAGGCGTGAGCCACCACACCCAGCCTGGAAAGCAGTTCTGACTCCAGAGCCCAAATTTCACCACCATGCTAGGTAGATAGTTCCCAAAGATGGAAGGCTGAAAATACATGGGACATATTGACCTTCATGATGCAAAATTAAGAGACCAATTTCACTTTAGGAACACCCAATAGTGGCAGGATAATCTAGTCACATAAAAAAAAAAAGTGAGCCCTTGAGTCAAATTGCCCTTCCATAAATCCTAGTTCCAGCATTTTCTTCCAGTATAAGCTTAGATAAGTTATCAAATGTTTCTACGCCTCTGTATAATGGGAATAATACCATTGTTTTGAGAATTAAACAAACTAATATGTGTAAAAGCAGAAGTCATTGCCTGGTATATAGCCAATGTTCAATAAATGGGAACTATAATTTAATTAATGATGCATGTCTTAGCATTCATAGTCTTCAACCACTCCTCAAATGCACAGATTTTCTAAACTACAAGGAATGTTTCAGAATGTGAGCATGAAGCCTCTCTACTTTGGAAGGGTTTTTTGAAATGCAGCCTAAAATGTGACTTTTATACACCATGGTTCTCTTCTTTCTTCTCTTTGCTGCCTTTCGACATTCTCTTTCCCTCTGCCCCTACTAGAATGGGGGCACCTTTCATCGATGCATTAATCCATGGCTAAAACATGACTCATCGTAGAAATGCAAAGGAATATTCTGTCTGTGTAGCAGGCAAGGACCCATGGGGCAGGTTCTCATCAGAATGCTTTACAATAATATCAATCAGTATTAAAAATGTATGTTCTACTCAATTTTTAAAACATCTTAAATAAATCTTTAAATAAAGCTATTTTGTTTTATCTTTAGGGCCTATGAACAGTCAGCCCTGAGGGGCCCTTGCTTCCCTAAGAACCGCCCTTTCTAGAAAAGCCTCCCTCAGTGTGTGGTTTTCTGGGGGATCTCTGTGCTGGGGGAGTCAAGTCTTTTTGGTAATATTAATTTTAGATTGTGTAGGCACCATATTAACAGGGGAAATGAATACTATTCCATTAGGGTCGTTTACCATTCAGAATTTCTTCACAGGAAGCAGCTAGTTAATCCTTGCCCTTGAGGAACACACACTGTACTCTTCTCCTAATACCATTGAAAATGTCAGCGAGTGTACAGGAAAGGAAAAGAGGGTACTGCCCTTGTTACGGGGCTGGAAAAACTCAGGAGAAGCTGAAAATGGAAGTAGATATTTCCAGAAAGGAACAGGCTGCCTCTTTTATAAACAACTTTGGGCTGGCAAAGGTTGCTGGCCTCTGTATCCCCACCAGTGTTTCCTTGGTTGAAACCCAAATCCCTTTAGCAACCAGAGTGAGGCTGGTTGGGTTTCATGTAATAGAGGGTAGTGGGGATTGAAGCAAAATGCAGAATGCATATGGTAAAAGACATCCATGTTTATTTAGTCAACAAAAATATCGACAGCTCTCTACCTGACAAGGCAAATATGCTGGCTTCCTGGATCTGACAATCATCCCCTATCCTGACCATGAAAATCTGCCCAGAGTCTCCTACTAACCAGATTTTCCTGCTTACAATTCACAGCCCTCTAACATATCGTAAGAATTGCCATCCATTTTTACTTCAAAAATTGTTTTCTATCTACGTCACTGACTCCCAACAGGGGGCCGCAGCTCCTTTTGCAATATGAACCCTCCACATTTTCTCAATCCATCCTTCTAACACTCTAACGGTAAAAGCTGTTTTACGTTCCCTGGTCTTTCCATGGGGGTTCATGCCTGTATGCATTTCCTTATGCTGTTACCTTTTCCAGGAATGCTTTTCCTCCTCCATTTGTCCTTTGTCTGCTTCAAGAAATTGGCTCATGCCTGTAATCCCAGCACTTTGGGAGGCCGAAGCTGGTGGATCACAAAGTCAAGAGATCGAGACCATCCTGGCCAACATGGTGAAACCCCATCTCTACTAAAAATATAAAAATTAGCTGGGCATGGTGGCACACCCTTGTATTCTCAGCTACTCAGGGGACTGAGGCAGGAGAATCGCTTGAACCTGAGAGATGGAGGTCGCAGTGAGCCGAGATCACGCCACTGCACTCCAGCCTGGTGACAGAGCGAAACTCTGTCTCAAAAAAAAAAAAAAGAAGAAGAAAAGAAAAAGAAATTCAACTTCATGTAAATGTGACTCCATCAACATGATCCCTTCAAATGACCTTTACCCTGACTGCTCTCTAAGTCCAGTAGAATAAACCATTTGCTCATCGATGCTCCAAATGCTCACTGCACGTTGCTCTGTTACAGCACCAGCACGCTATGGTCGAGTTAGTAGTTTACACGGTTTCCTTCCCCACTGAACTGTGACATCTGTGCATGTGGAGGCCTGGTTTAATGTGCCTTAGTTATCTCACAGCTGGCAAATCTGCTGACCCATGGTAGGTCTGAGAGATGTAGAATGAGTCAATGAAAAAAAAATTGACTAAATGAGTTCCAAAACATATTGTGTCCCAAAGCTGTTTGGTAATTTTGCTCCCTGAAATCATTTGTAGTCAGGGATTTCTAAAAAGAAGTTGATGGTCACCATGACCAATAGTCATGTTATACCTCTAGGAGACAACAAAACACAGGAGCACAAGCGAGAGGACTTTCAGCAACAGCACAAACTCCTGCCCATCAAATACGGCCTGACTAATAACAGGAAGACTGACAGGAGCATGACAAATGATGTTACAGAAAGAAAAGTGAAAGACATTAGTCCCCTCCCCCAAAGAAACATAAGGTCTCTCTCTCTCACACACACACATATATGCACACACGTGCACACATAGGTACACACACAAACTTGAGGTCAGAAGACCCACATTTAGATTCCCCCTACAATTAATTAGCTGTTTAACTCTGAGCAGTCACTCAATTTCTCTGGGTCCCTATAAACACATTATTTTCCAAAACAGAAAAACCTAGTGTATATGAATTCCAAGTTTTGTGCTTACTTGAAAAGTCTAAGCTTCCAAGCCCTCTCCCTGGGTCTTCCCACTAGCCTTCTAGATACTTCCACAGGCACTCCCTTGTGCAATTCAGGCTAAGTGGTCTAAGGAGTCTAGGAGACTTGGACAACAGTGTGGTCACCACCCCCGGATTGACCACAGCGCCACCAGTTCTCACCAGACAGTTTCATCTTATTTATTGTAAACACAAAGATAAGGTGCTGCTTGGTTAGAAAGACATAGCGCATTGATTTGTACATGCCATAAATTGGCCCTGCCTTTGCACTTTCACGTTAATAAGTGATGATAGAGGAGCCTCAGACAGGAGTCTACTTGGGCTTTCTAAACATCACATTTGGTGGTCACAGGTAAGGATACTCAGCCTTCAGACCTGCAGGATTGAGGCTTGCAGTGGACTGTGGGCACCAGCTTGAGGAATCCCAACCACAGCAGCTCCCTGCACCAGAATCACAGGTTCCTCAAGCCCTGGCAAACCCCGGAAGAGCGTCGCTCAGGGGTCGCTGTGCCATCGCTCCTCCTCAGAAGGGCAAGGGTGCCTCAGAGACAGAAGCATCAGTGCGGGATGCCCACCACCCACACGGCAGAGCTGAAAGCGAGGAGCAGCTTCAGCTGCAGCCCTTGGGAGGTCGTCTCCCTTGGCCACCCAAGTGAACAGTCTCCTGCAGGGCTGTCTATCTGAGTGGGACATTTTTCCACTTCTCACACATCCACACTTTAAAAAAAAATAACCAGTCTAATGGTATGTTAATAATTCCAGATGGAACCCCAGACCTCAAGGGCTGAGTGTAACAGAAATTTCATGTAGGTCAAAATACTTGGATGTGTTCTTTGGGTCCAAAAATAGAAGTGGTGTTCAGGTTGTGCGAACATTCTGAGAGACCATTTCATAGGCATTTCTCAGAAGAGAAACGTGTGAGGCTGGAATGCTTCTGCATGCTGTGTGCCACAGCTTCCTGGAAGATGGCAGCCCACCCCAACCCAATAGGAGCTTCAAGGCCAGGTGAGATCACCAGCCCTTCTACCGCTGCCATCTGCACTTTGCTAAACAGAACCTGCAAGAAGAGCCTCCCAACTGACCAGGCTTCAGTCCGTTGTGGAGAGGGAGGGTGACAACACAGGAGGAAATGCTTCACAGGGCATTTCTTCCAACTACCAGCCTGTCACATCAGTGTCGGCTGATGTCACTCTGAACAGAAAGCTTTGGGGCCCAAGAAATGCCAAGAAAATGGCAGCCAGTGGGCAGGGCAGCCACCGGCCTCTTCTTGCTAATATATGCAGCGGATGTGGCATTTCTGACAATATTGCTTCTGCCTCACTTGCCATTTAATGTTAAGAGGCTTCTAGAATCTCCTGCATTTAAAGAGTAATGACTGTTTTCAGGGTAAATGCTCTGTTAAATAACCCTGGATTATTGTGTCGTGTTATTACATTTATAAAATGGCATTTCAAAAAATAATAATTGTTTTAGAGTTAATTGATGTTTTTAACCATCACTGTGTGGAGAATTTTTATTCAGAAGACAGGGAGTGAGCAAGGGAGAAAGAGATTTCCATCGAGAGAGTCGGTACTGAAAATAGAAACCTTTCCTGCATGTGAAATCCTGGTACAGAAGGCACTCCTCCTCTGAGCACTGCTTTCAATAAGCTCGTTTCACTGCAATTAAAGCAGCCGCAGGACAAAGGTAAATCTCAGCCGCATTCCCGAATGGAGTCTGCAGGCCTCGGGACTGGCAGTGGTACAGCAGGGCTGGGGGTAGGGGGCCTCAGCACATATTCGCCGGCCATTATGCCCCCACAGGGGCAGGCCGGGCCCCAGAGCAGCCTGAAGCAACGGCAGAGACCTGCAGCTCCACAGAGCAGTGACTTTTCAGATGTGAAGGTAATTACACGGCCGAGAGTCTCAGAATTTCATACCGCAAGAGGCAGAGCTGAATGCAGGGATATTACAGAATAAAACTTGGAAATTCCAAAATCTTCACATAGGGAGGATGCAAATGGCGCACAACCCTGAACCGCATCCCAGGTGCGGTGGGGATGATGTCACTCTCTTCCTTCCTATCTGAATCCTTCTCTCACTCTCCTCAAGCATGTCTAGAGGGCAGTGCCTCCCATTACGTGAGTGACAGATGATCCCTTCATCACCTGGTTTCTTCTTACAAGTATTTCCCTGAAGTAGGAATTGGGTATAATTTTTATGCTAGCTTTAAATATAAATATATGCACACACATAGAAGATAAAGCTCATTTTCATGATGATGGAGCTTAACAGACAGCCCAAGTCTTTCCAGTTGCAACTCAATTGCTGTTTCCGCAATATATTCTATCATCCAGAATCTTCTTACAAACCCTCAGGACCATTGTGGCTGCATGACAGGAGCCAGAGAATAGCAGAAAGTGAACAAAGACCCCAGGTAATTTGGAGGAAACTAGAAAGATGTTGGAATGCAAGGGTGAAAAGAATGATGGAGATCATTTAGCACAAATCTCTAATTTATAAGATGCAGAGATTAAAACTGAGAACGTTAAGCAACCTTCCAAGATCATACATCTGGATATTAACGCTGCAACAGCAACCCTCATCTTCTGACTCCAGAAATCCTACAATTCACCCCAATTCTCTTCTACCAGTCCTTGCAAAAGTCTGCGTGTAAACAATATCCATTTTCTCCCTTACTCTCAACCACCGCCATCAATAATGTGCAGGGTCAACTTTGCGAAGAATTTCAAGAGAATTTTGATATCTCAACAGCTGGAAACCAGTCATTTGAGCAACAGATATATGTCCTAGCTTCTTGAACTGCCAAATAACCAGTAGATGAGTCACTAATTCTGTGAACCCAGAATGACCCTGCAAACAATCATTCTATGGTGCAGAAAGAGACACGACAGAAGGAAGTTGGAATCTATTACCTCCTAATCAAAGCACACTTGGCAGAATGCCCTGGCTTTTCACACATTCATCAAGACATCCCGAGGAGAGTTTGCCTGATTGTCTCGGGAACTCTCCTAAGAGTAAGTGGACTGACATGTTATGCGAAAGAAAGTCAAACACAGAGACCAGTGAGCGCCATCTGACAGCAAAGATAGCAAGCCAAGTGACTCTCCAGTCATACAATGTACCATGAGCCTTGGCATCACATGCACTGAGGGGACCCTTCTCCTCTGTCCTCACACTCCATAGCCTCTTTAGCACAAGGCCACCCAAAGAGTGCAAATATGACTTAAAGACTTCACAGAAAGTGTGCCCCTTTCTCCATTTAGTCCAAAAATGATAAAGTTTGTAGTTACAGCTCTGTGTATTTAAATATAAAGAACTCTAATATTTCTAGACTTGTCAGGCAGGTAATTCCAAGAGTTGGAGCACTCTTTGCTGTCACCCAGGGACACACAGGAGCTTAGATTCAGAATGCACAGAGCTGGAAGTATCAGGTGAGTTATCCCTTTGTTCCTCTTCAGGACACAGGAAATGGAGGAAGTAGAGGTTAATCATCTTGAAAATTTGGAACTAATTGAGACGCATCAGTGAGATTCTGGGTATTAAGCTCTGGGACCATTAGAACACTTGGAATCTTCAGCATCCTATACAGCAACTCATGGAATAACATGGACTCTTTCTGACATATAAAAGAAATAAAGTCCTTCAAGACTCCAATAAAAAAAAAAGACAAATAAATAGCTAAGACTGCAAAGCTCTCAGATATAATATTGAAATTTTGACCTTATCTTTCATAAAGCTTGAAACTGTGATGATAAAATATTGTGACAGAAATATTTATATAGTATAGTACGTTGCAAATTCA